>NC_000015.10:39034449-39337480 GCF_000001405.40 Homo sapiens | reverse complement strand
ATTCCCTGGGTGCCAGCAGCTACTGACTTTGCATCCAGTGATGCAGTTGAGGTGAGTAGAGAGAGGGAGGCCTGTGGAAAAGGGTGAACACTGACTTTTAGAATCTGCCAGTCAGTGTCTAGGCAATGTCTAGTCCCAATTTGCTGAGGACTTTCCTGATTTTAGCATGGAAAGTCCCCATCTCAGGCAAACTGGTACAGTGGATTACCCTATATATCTCATATCTTCCTGCCTTTAACTTATTGCATACATAACTTTTTTTTGCTTTTTACCAGAGGATCAACTCTTTCCCGTTGAGGCATCTGTGCATGGGAAGAGCACTGTCGTCTGCAGGTTGCTCAGCAACCCTGCTGTGTGTCCAAAACACAGGGTTTTACTTGGATCAGACTGGCCAACTTTGCCCCCTAATGGGCCATGTTTATACTTAAAAGTAGCACAGTGAGCTCCAGTTTTGATGAAAAATGGACAAACCATTTTGGTCCGGAAGTTTGAAGCTATTAGCTCGATGAGGACGGGCTCTATCACTATTGGATGTTCTTCATTTGCTGTGCATGTTACCTTGGAATATGGGCTTTGGTCATGCGTGAGGACAAAAGAGACAGAGAAACATCAAGGAATGCCTAGTTTGATATATTATTCAAGGATTCATCTTGAAACTGGAAACAAGTGTCCTTGAGTCTAAGCAGACGTATGTAAACCAAGGCCCCAAATAAGTGAATGCAAATACACTATTGACTCCCCTCCATGGGCAGTGGCTCTTGGGAAAACTCATGTCAAATTATCCACCACGTTACACACTAGATATTTATGAAATATTCAGCTCTGAACTTGGCTGTGCAGGAGAGTCAAAAGAAAAAGGCATTATAGTTCTTATTTTAGGGGCATCAAAATTCAGTCATGAAATAAGAGGCAAATACACCTGAAAAAAACCTGAAAAAGCTTCACATTGTGAGGCATAAAAGTAGGTATTCTAGAAATTCAGAAGAGGGGATATGGGTGTGGGCAGGAGAAACCGAAGAGGGCTTCATGGAGGAGGGGGTGCTTCTGTGGGGGATTGAAGACTAGAGAGGAGACAGTGTCTTCACAGAATCACAGCCATTAGTGAAGGCTGAAAACTCAAGTCTGTTTCTCTGGGAGCCCAGTATCATCTCCATTACTTTACTCTTGCTTCTGTCACCAAAGGCTGTATTTAAAACATGGTAGGTGAGCAAGAGAACAGACGTTTCACCTTCTTTCCTCTCCCATAGTCACTTCTTGATTGCTGATGGCAACTCTAGTCGGTTTCTTGCTCAATTTCCAAATTCTCAATCCCCTCACAAGTTTCTGGGTCATTTCACTGGTGTCCTGAGTTATGGTATTATATTCAAGTTTACGGGCTAGGCGCAGTGGCTCACACCTGTAATCCTAGCAGTTTGGGAGGCTGAGGCAGGCGGATTGCCTGAGCTCAACAGTTCGAGACCAGCCAGGGCAACACAGTGAAACCCTGTCTCTACTAAAATACAAAAAAACTTACCCGGGCCTGGTGGTGTGCACCTGTAGTCCCAGCTACTCGGGAGCCTGAGGCAGGAGAATTGGTTGAACCTGGGAGGCATAGGTTGCAGTGAGCCGAGATCATGCCACTGTACTCCAGCCTGGGTGACAGAGCAAGACTCTGTCTCAAAACAAAAAAAAAAGATTATAAGGGCTGTCAGTGTTTATCTTTTCTTTTTACTCTTCTCATATGCTTGCCAAAGCAGAGGAGCTGAAATAATTTCTCTAAGAATTGTTAAATTTTCTGCTACAGTCAAATAAGATGTGATAGGCTTTACTCTTCATCCTGTCAGTGTGTGGTAATTTTATCAAATTCTACCAACAAAAAGCATGGGGTTCTGTTTGACCTGTTTGGCTAATGTTTCTAGGTGCCTTAACATTTAGGAAGGACCTCCTCAGGCTCCTCTTCTTGGACCTGGGTTGGACTCCTTAGGATTTTGGATTTAATAGCCTGAAGTGTAAAGGCCAAGAGCTCCAAGTGACTCACTCTGATTTCCTTATTGGGGGCCAGTTTGCAGCACTTTCCCGGTAAAGCAAACCTCTAAAGCATGTAGCAATTGCTGTGTACTTAACTTTTTGCAGAAAAGGGAAATGCAATTGGACGTGTAGCTTCTTGGAGGGAGGTTTTGGAAACAGAATGAATATATAAAGATGCCAGCAGGAGCCAGCTCGGGGGTAGATGAGGATGGCAGGTGGCGGCGAGGTGGGAGTGGTGAGGGGCCATGAGGAAGAGTGGTGGGAATGAGGCGGCAGCACCTCCATCCCAAGGAACTTTGCACATAGTGATGAAACAGTCTACCAGTGATGATATAGTCTACTGTTCTATGTCTTGTACTGAACTTGCAGTTGAACAGATGGTACAGTTCCTCCCTGTAGGCTGATGTCCCAACTTTTGTGTTAGTCTAGTGTGGCTGACGTGGGGAAATATTAAAAGTAAAGAACTGTGAGGAGTCTTGACTCCAGGGACCGCTCAAAAGCCACCCTGACCAATATCCCTGTTTCTGACATTGCAAATTCTGTCCTATTCATCCTCAGTGTCTGACACATAATGAATGTTTGTTGATCAAATAAGTGACCATGTGGGACTCACTGAAGAGCTGTTTTGTGAGAGAAAGGGAATACATAACAAGCTTTCCCTTGTCTTGGCAGGTCTTATGACAAATCTCAAACATAAAATTCAGGCTGGGCATGGTGGCTCATGCCTGTAATCCCAGCACTTTGGGAGGCTGAGGTGGATGGATCACCTGAGGTCAGGAGTTCGAGACCAGCTTGGCAAACATGGTGAAACCCTGTCTCTACTAAAAATACAAAAAATTAGCTGGACATAGTGGTGGGTGCCTGTAATCCCAGCTACTTGGGAGGCTGAGGCAGGAGAATCGCTTGAACCCAGGAGGCGGAGGTTGCAGTGAGCTGAGATCGCACCACTGCACTCCAGTCCGGGTGACCAAAAAAAAAGTCTCAAAAAAAAAAAAAATTCAATCTTGCATCCATTTTAGTGGCTCATCATTACCTTCCCCATCATCCCCTTCCCAGTCTCCAGAGTTAGGCATGCTTACTTAGTTAGGCAAGTGAGGATAACTTGCAATATCTCAAAATGTGACAAGTGGGTCTTTGATCTAAATATTTTCTTGAGCTAGAAGGCTATGGGCAGAGAGGATGGAACCCTGATTTCTCCATTGCTGCTTGCCACTGGGGAAAAGCGTTAGGAGTTCAGTGCCCTTTGTGTTCACTGCAGGAGTCGTCCTGCTGCCACATTATATTCCTGTCTAGAATTGCAGAGAAGAGACGTCAGGACTTGAAAAATTGCATATGCTGACATGTTCAGGGTTATGTTATCACTCTGTGGAAAGCCTTTCCACTGCTCTTAAAGTTCGTAAAAAATGATGTTTTCATCACCTCAGAGGGACTAAGCCAAACATTTGGTAAGTTTCTGCCTCAGTCTGTTTGTGGACTGTTATGGATGAAAGATGCCTACTTCAAAACCTCATCACTGCTGGGCCTGAGTGGTGAGGTGTTTTTCAGTTTCAGTATATACACACACACACACACACACACCCCAACACATACACATATATAGACACAGACACACATAGACACATACAGATACACACACAAAGGCATACAGACACACACACACACACACACACACACACACACACACAGAGACAGACAAACACATAGACACATATTGATAAATATACAGGTGGTGGAAATGGGGAGAATAATCTCTGACAGAGATATAGAAATTTTGTTGAAAGGTCTCCTGTTGCAGAAATAACTCGTACAAATAAATAAATATCAAACAAATCTGAACAGTTGGGGAGATACAGGCTTGATCAAAGTTCGTTCTGACCTAGCCAAGCAGACCTTCCACTGGATTCTGGCTAGATTTAACTCATATGCAAAATGACATGGGCTGGATATGTGTGTGCACCCTGGCTCATGTCATGAGCCTCTATTTCTGCAACAAAACCTAAATCAGGGAGAATGGAAAGCTCTGGGTCTAAGTTTAGTTACTCGGCTCAATCTGTACATGAATAACACTGAATTTATGTCCAAATTTTGCCAGAGAGAGTCAGTGCTTTTTAGCAAATGCCAAACTAAATAAGCTGTTGATTTAGAGTTTTTCAAGGTATCCCCCTAACCTCCTACCCTTTAGAAAGGCCTTCCTTAACATTTTTTCAAAGGGACCTGATCCTATTGGCCTGCAATTACCACATAGGTGACCCTTTGACATGCTATATTACCCTTAAACAAATTTATTTACTTCTAATAGAACAAAACTAAAATACATCCAGTGCCTGAGGGCATCTACGTAGGAGATAATCATAGCAATGAGAATGAATCTCTCCCTTCAGTCTCCTTGGACTGTAAAGGAAATGGCTCAGAACGATGCCTCTGAAGGTTGCCAGACCAAAAGGATGAACCTTGTCCATTGTTAAAAGCCTCCCGGTCTGGATGTCTGTTTATATTTTTCGTATGTGAACTTGTGACCCAATAATAAACTACCTGGCTCTCAAACCCATTTCCTACCCTAAACTTTTCAGCTGGGCCAGCCGTGGGCAGGTGTGCTTCTGCCAGTTGCCTACCCCTGCTGCTGATTCTAGCTGTGAGCATTTGTTCCACAGCGCAGCCAGCACCCTTTAAATTCCGTTTGAGCACCTTGTGACTGGCTGCTGTGTGAGGAACAAGACAAAAATCCTCCCAGCTGCCTCCAGCAGGGCTGGTTCTGACCCATGTTTCTCCTCTGGGCGTGAGAAGGATGCTTTGTGTGTTCATTTGAGCAGGCACAGTGGCTTTTCTATGTGAGGGTAAGCTGATCATGGGTTCTGGTTGGCTCTGTGCCATTCTGCCTTACCCAGAAACCCATGAAGGACCCTAACACCTGAGGGTTACATACATGCCTCAAATTAATTTTCTTTCCTTTTCTTCCAGTTCACTTTCAGGCCAGGCTGTGCAACCCTCAAGTGTGCACATCTGCTCTGGGGTCAGGCTCTTGGTGTTTTCTCCTGGTGGACTCCCAGACTCCTGAGGATTTCTCAGGCTGCTTCCCTGCCTGGAACAATCTTCCTAGCTGCTCTTCTGGCCAGATCCCTCTTTCCTTCAGGTCTTAGTGTTTTTCTAAAAGCCTTTAAGCTACCAGCATGGTTTGTAATTTTCTACACACACACCATACTCATTTTCTGCAAAACACTTATCACAATTAGTGAAGATATATGTGTACTTATTTACTATCTTTCTCCCAAAATAGAGAGTAAGCTCTATGAGAGTAAATACCACATCTTTATTATTACTTTACATCTAACACTTACATTGCTGTAGATTGCCAATAAATAGACCTTGATTGAATCAATGAGTGAAACTACTGTCAGATCCTGAAAATGACCAGGACTCTGCATTAGTTTTCCCAGAAAAGGTCAGAAAACAGCAACTTTGCCTCTCTTCCTTTTGGAAAACTAGGAGAGTCAAAAGGAGAGTTTTAGCATGACAGGGAATAGAAAGATACATCCAGCAAGACTTTCATTATTGTCCAAGAAAAATATCAGGAGGCTAAGCTAACATCTTTGTGCTGAGCCCAGACATGCCTGGTCCTACCAGCTACCTTGCCAGCATTTCCCGATCTGCCTGGTCTGGCAGCCCATGTCAGAGCCTCTGTCTCCCTGTATGGTTAACTATTAGAGTTCCCGTAGAATTGTTGGCACATCATTTATCCCGTGGCATCTTCTCAACAAGGATTAATCATCCCTGTGAGACTTGTTTATGTACTTGATTGATTTGGGTAATTCCTGGTGCCTTCTGAAGGGGCAAGCCCTTTGCATAGAGCTTATGGAGGGCCAGGATATCTGCTACCTAAGTTGCTCTCAGTAAAGTCAATTCAGTTCCTTTCAATTCCATTCTACCCAATCAAACTTTGCTTAACTACAATGTAGATAAGTAGTGGTTAATGAAACCATTCGCTAAGCCACTTAAGGAATTTCCTCCAATAGGTGGCATTGGTGTTTTCTGGTCTCTTTGGGAACCTCTAAGTGTTGCTGCACAGGTCTCTAGATCTTTGGAGGTTTTCGATGGGGTTGGGGAGGAGTGATGCTGGAATGGCTTATTCACCCACAGCTTCCAGAGTGACCATTTCAGGCAGGACACCGCTCAGGCAAGGTTACCTTTGCCAATGACCTCTTAAATCTTTTTTAGTAGTCCTTTTTGTCACCATTTATCTTTCATGTGTTGTCTCCCGTCCTCATGTTTTTCTTTCTCTCTCTGCTGTGTTGGTAAGCATGTACACTGACACACTCAGGGGTATCAGTTTCTACCTGGGCTCTGGATCTAGACAGTTGGTAGGATCTGATTCTAGTCAGGGGTGTTACTTCAGTACCTTTTGCAGTATTCTCTTGATTATCATTTCAAGTGATTCCTTTGGTTATAAACTTGCTGTAATGGCCTTAACTGAGCACCTACTATGGGCCAAGTACTCTGAGCCCTGCTTTCAAAATAATTCATAATTCATTACAGAAAACAGATGCTTGAGTAAACATAAAGCGACATCTCACGTTGCATACGTGTGTGAGTGTGTATCAGTGTTCTACAGGGATTGCTGTCATACCCTGATAATGACCAAGTCCCTGAATTCTTGCTATGTTTCTGATTGGTAAGAATTTATATATTTACATCAGGCGTTGCAAATTCAAATGTCTATGTGATTCAGGCAGAAAATATACATGAAATAAACTGTGGGACTATGATATATTTGAGAGAGCACACCTACTCTAAGGAGGCTAGAGGCTATGCAATATTTTCTGATTAATGCTATTCAAGAATGAGGAACCAATGTTGCCTACTCTTTTGATTATTCAAGAGAACATAAAAATTCGCATTGCTCATTTGACTTTTTCCAATGTTTAAATCATGCTATTGGCCAAAAAACATCCAACCTACTTTTGAATGCAGCTCGCAGCCACCAATTCATAAAACTGGTTTGCACCAGGAATGCAGACTTTTTGATGAATATCTTAGCTGAACTGAAATTGTTGGGCCTAATTTTAGGGGCTTTTAGCTACTGTGTTATCAGTTTATCTCCTGTGGTGCTGATGGCCTTAGCTACCACGGATCGCTGTGTACTCTCTGATGATCCATTATCCTCTGGAAGATTCACCTTATTTGTTGCTGTGCATGTGGTGAGAACTTCACACGATGCCTGCAAAAATCACTCGGAGTTCTGTCGCTTTGAACGCTGCTGGGTTGCCCTGGTTTCTGTTTCCTCTTTCATCCTCTCTGCCTTTATGTGAATTCTGCCTTCCCTAAATTCTGTTCTTTAGAATCTCCTTTTCTTTTTCACATCTCTTCTGTTCTCCTGACCCTCTGGTAGAGACTAGTTTAGTTTTTCATGAAAACTGTTTATTCTTCTTCCTAGGCATGTAACTGGATGAGACCCCCCAGCCTTCTCCTTGCAGCTAGGGAAGGCCATATGGCTTACCGGTGGAGTTTGCCTGGACTAACATCAACTCCCTCCTACATGCAGGCTTCCCAGCCCTGTAGTTCCTTACTCAGTAGCTTGATGCAGATAATCACTGCGATGTTAAAAGCCAAAACAAAATTAGCTGGGCATGGTGGTCTGTGCCTGTAGTCCCAGCTACTTGGGAGGCTGAGGTGGTAGGATCGTCTGAGGCTGGGAGGCGGAAGTTGCAGTGCTTCGTGAATGTACCACTGCATTCCAGTCTTGGTGACAAAGCGAGACCCTGTCTCAGATAACAAGAAGCAGCATGAGACCCTCACTAGATACAGCTGTCCAATCTTAGACATTTTAGCCAGCAGAACTGTGAGCCAAACAAACCTTTTTTTTTTAAATAAATTACTCAGCCTCAGATATTCTGTTGTAGCAACACAAAATGGACTAATACAGGGTATGTTAATGGACTATTAGATGTCTGCTAGACTGTAAGCCACATAAAATCAGAGAGAGAGTTTTCTAATTGTCTTTTCAAAGCTGTGTTCCAAGAACCAAGCATAGAAGCAAACACACCATAGGTGTTCAGAAAATGCTTCTGGAATAAATGAATGAAATAATTTCTTCATAGAACTTTGTTACGGACTTAGCCATTATACATCCATCATATACCTCAGTCTTCATAGCATAACAAATGAAGAAATGGAAGCTCACAGAGAGGAAGTGACTATCCAAGGCCAAATATCTAGTTAATCCCAGGACACAGATCAGCAAGCACAGAGTTTCAGTCTGTTGCCTTTTTTTCATCCCATCTTCCATCCACAGTAACCATATTTACATCCACAGATGCTAAGGAAAGAAAAGCAAGATTTTGTGCCTTTGCTTCTAACCTATTAATCTCGACTAGAATGAGTTGCATATTAATACAGTTTACATGTGAAATAAGTTCTGAATGGGCCATATGCTTTGCTGGGGATTCATGGGAAACCTGTTTTGGAAATCAAATGGCAGGAGAGACATGTAACTGTCATTTGATCTGTACCTTATGAAGTTAAGAAAGTCATCCTGCAAGAAGCAAACTTGAACTGGTTTTTTTTAGAATGGGATATATTTCGTTTGGAGAATAGGGTCTTGGAATACGATACTGGGTATAGCGAAGCTCACAGTCAGCAAAGGGTACAGTGTGTTACTGGGTGGTCATAGCCAGACTGAGGCACAGGTTGAGTAAAGCTGAAAGGGCTTTCGGGAGCTTGGGAACAACAGGGCAGGTGGATAAGCAAACCCAGAGATTATTTTTGATAGTTGGTGCTTATATTTCTTTTATTTGAATTAAAATATGATGCAGGTAAATATAAACTCCATTTTTAAAATGTTTCTGTAGAACAGCTTCCCACACACACACAGGTTTATCCCAGCCCAGTCAACGACAAACTCTTTTCCACACAGACCTTTCAAAACTCAGCGCCGTGATGGAATGACTGAAAAGGACTCTTCTGGGTGGCCATTGCTGTTTGTTTCTGGTTTTATAAATCTATGATTCTGTGCTATATGTCTTTTCACTGTCTTTCACAAGTAGGCATATCCCAAGAAGTCCTGGTTGTCACATTAACCGTCACGGTGGCATTCACTGTGCCTGGCATAGAACCTGTCTGGATGGGCAGGTTTAGGTGATGGAAGAAACACTCATACTATCCTTGAGTGAGGTTTGGATGAGTTGAGGTTTCATGGAATAAAAACTTTGCCAACTTCTTCTCCAAGAAAATAACATCAATCTAAGAATTCAATTGGAGGAGGGCAATTTATTTTTCAAAAGTTGCTTTGTGCTTGCAAGTTATTCTTTTGAAGATGGAGTGACTCTATTTTTGATAAGCAATGCTGGAGAATGAACGAATACAAGGAATAGGGATTCTGGGTCCTCAGAAAAGAAGGCTATATCTTCTCTACTCTTCTCACTTTCAAAGTCTTGTGGGCCAAGATTAGGTTGACCTCAACCAACTGGCACTGTAGCCCTATTGGAGGAATGCACAAGCCCTGTGTCACTTGTCACTGCTTGTCCTAAGTCAAGAGTCATGCTCCCAGGAAGCCGGAGTGCAGTCCGGCCTCCAGAAAGGCCTTCCCAAGACAGCACAGGTGAGGATGCCTGGGACTGGTGCCATCTGAGCTATCACACAGGCTTGCTTTAGTTCTAAGACTAACTCAAATGCTGAGTACAGCCCTGGACCCTGAGAGTCTGAGGGACTGAGTTAAGGGGACCGTATGCAGTCCCTTTCCTAGGAGGAACTACTCTTATAGTTTACCCTAAGAATAATAGGTGAAATAAATGCATAAAAAGGTAGCTTGCCAGATCCTCAAAACATGTAGGATTTTCCAAGGAGGAGCACTTGAAAAGAAGATATAGTTGAACTTTGGGAGAGAAGTATGAAAAGAGAAGCAGGTCTTTGCAATGCTGTGGAAATGTTTCCAGCAGCCAGAGTTGCTCTGTGCTTATGGGCATCATGTTATGTGTTCACAAGGGAAGTTACCTTTCCTGTGAATGTTGGTCTTGACTTGTCCTTTTGGACGAAGGGGTGGGTTCTGGAGGGGAGCAGAGGATGGAAGTAGAAGATCTTACCATATTTTAAAGGGAATTTTTAATATTTGATTTTAAACAAAATGCATAGAAAGTTAACCAACTGCACAGATGAAAAGGGGAAATCCCTATGTCCAAGTTTTGTCACTGTGGTATTGAGCAAAGTCAAATTTCTGCAATTTCAAGGGGGTATGTACAAAGCTCTTCTCTCTATGTATGGGACAAAAGCTGCTTCTGCCTAAACCGTTTTGAGTTGCTTCATAATTTTCACATATACCCCTCTCTCCCCATCAGATACAAGCTGCAGCACCACATGGTTGGGCAATGACCTTTTCACACTTTCGAGTCACGTTGGACATTTTGCAATTACAAATTTAATAGATAACATGTGCGTCAAAATCAGCTTTGAGCCTTCCTGTTTGACGGAGTTTTTGGACAAAGAGCTGTTCTTCTGAACTCGTAACATGCAAAGTATGCAGGTAGCATGTAAAGTTATTTTCACCTTATTTATTTTCAAAGACTGTATTTTTTTAAAAGAATCAAGTTAAAAAAATACATTCTGTCACTCTTACCTCATGCCAAAGCACTGCAGACTTTACAGTGTAATCTGCATTTGGGCACAGACAAAGCTTGAGAGGTTGAGCTCAAAGGGAAAAAAAGGTTTGTGAGAGTTATGAGCAGATGGAGGGAGGGCTTTATTTTTAATTAGGAGCTCATTTAGAATGGAAATCTGTATGTAATCTGAACTACTGTGTGTACGGTGGTGGACATTAACTGGGAGAACAATGAGAACTTCTGTTGAAGCTTTATCTGAACTGCAGCTCTGTTTTCCATACCTCAGTTGTCCAGGTAACGATATTGTCAAATCCAGTGACTTGATCATAAGGAGACTCTCAGATGGGGCATAGGAAAAACGTACACAATGCCTGATGATGGGGAAGTGAGGAGAGAGAGCCTGTGAGAAGGAATGAATCGCTGTTGCAAGCTGAGATGCTTTTCTTCCCCCTTTATTAGACACTTCTTTCCAAGTCTGGAGTAAGTTTCTAGAATTCTCTTTGTCTTTTCCCTCTGCGCTTTCCTAGTTCTTTGTCATCTTAACAGCTTTTGGAGGAACCAGTCAAATATTTAAACTGAGACATGGTTCTTCTTCCTTTCCCTTCCACAGGAACAAGTTGCATCTGGTAGCCATGTCATAAACCAGTGTAAACACATCTCCTTTTCTGTCTTAAAATTCACATAACTTTCTTGACCTACTTTACATACAATAACATTAGAGCCAAAAATGTACTTTGCCTCATCAGATAGGGGCTTTGCTTGCCTGGTCCTACCTCTTTTCTGTCTATCAGTATCTCTTGGCAGAGGTACTTCCATTACAACCCAGTGTCCTGGGGCTGGAGATAAAAACACCCAACATGTAGCAGTAATGGATGAGCTAAGTCTGACAGAGAGATTAGCTCATCAATTTGGGGGTTTGGGTGACGATGGTAAAAATATAGCTGTGCTTTCCTCAATCTCATTCTCTTGTGAGCACTTCTCTTCTCCTGAAACACTTGAGTTCTTTCTAAATAATGTGGCACGTGAGAAGAGAGCATGATACGACACCATTTGAGAGAAATCCATCAAGGTACAGGCAGACCTTGAGAAGAGTTCAAAAAGTATAATTTCTGGGTAGTGATTGTAAGTTTTTAAATAAATTTTTTTTTTTTCCAAAAGAGCTTCAAAGGAGATGGCAATATTTTTAACTGAATTTGATCTAATTCTTTCTTGAAGCTTACAGAAGAAATTCAGTGTGGAGTCCAGGAAAAGAGAGGTTTGCCCCTCTGTTGGGGAACGAGGTACATAGGACATAGGATGGCAGCCTTTGATGGAGCTTAAGAATGGCACCAATGAGATGCAAAGGGGAACGGGAGAGGCATGGAAATGTCAAAGAGAAAACCAAGACTATACATGCTTTTAAAAATTACTTATGGGCCGGGCGTGGTGGCTCACGCCTGTAATCCCAGCAATTTAGGGAGGCCATGGCAGGTAGATGACCTGAGGTCAGGAGTTCGAGACCAGCCTGGCCAACATGGTGAAACCTCATCTGTACTAAAAATACAAAAAAAAAAAAAAAATTAGCTGGGCATGGTGGTGGGTGTCTGTAATCCCGGCTATTTGGGAGGCTGAGGCAGGAGAATTACTTGAACCCGGGAGGCCAAGGTTGCATTGAGCCGAGATTGCACCACTGCACTCCAGCCTGGGGGACAAGAGCAAGACTCTGTCTCAACAAAACAAAACAAAACAAAAAAAAGTTTTTTAAAAAGCATTTTTTTCCCATTATAAAAATGTAATATAAAAAACATTTTTTGTATTATTGTCCATGGATTGGGGCCAATTAACTTATGATAGGTAGAATTAAGTGTAGTAAAGAAAGCGCCAGTGGAAAAAAAGAACCCTTGGGAAGGAGGGGAAGACTGAAAATACATTCATCCATTAATAAATCCTTCTGCTTATGAAATTTTAAAAAAAATTCACACATTATTACTCTCTTTGCACAACTCAGACATAGTTATTATTCCTTGTGGTATGTAAGAAAGGTGGGTCTGAAAAAGGTATTCCAGATGTGAAATTCAGATTGTGTTGGCTGATAATTCAGCTGAAGGCATTTACTCTCTGTAGTTTTCCAAGCCGTTCTCCTGGAAGGACACACCTGAGGGTGGGCAGATGCCAAGTGTGAGGTGAGAGGAATATGGAAACCCAGGCTGGTTCGTCGAGAGAAAAACAGTCTCCTTTAGAGTTCTGTTTGAGCATATTCATAAGGGCAGTCCTGCCCACCTTGGAGGAAATCTTGGGAAGATAAAGTGAGGAGTGAATACTGGGCATTTTTACATGGCAGTACACCCTCAGGGGCAAAGCAGATATGTCTTGTGGGATTTGGGATTATAACATCAGATATACTCAAATATCAAACAGAATTTCATGGATCAATGTCCCATTTGTGTGCATTAACAAAACAATTAAACATTATAAATAGTGAAGGCAGAAGCTAATATTTTCATGTATGAATTGGTCAGTCTACAATGTTTATTAATATAGTCATGTTTGGAGGCTGAGAAGCCAGTAGATTAGGGAATAATTTAGATTTCAGTTTTGAATACAACTTTTTGCTTTATTGTAATTAAGTCTTTCAAGGCTTCTATAAGTGTTTCCTTCATAATCTGGACACTTATTTGTATTGCCTGTTGCATTTATTATAATTACTAGTAACTGTTCACCTTAGTAAGATCTTGTGTTAGTCGAGAGAGATAGAAGAATGAAATCAACAATGAGATCCTTACCTACAGGCCAGACCCAGGTCAGCACCTGGACATCTTGTGATCAGTAAACTAAACCAAGTTTGGGACTGAAGGCTTTAGTTGGCTTTAAGAATAATTATGATATTAACTTGAGTATTTATTATGTGATAGGTGCTTAGTATATTACATGTACTATCTCTTTTAATCCTCCAAAGCCACGCCGGAGGCAGAAACATCATTCCTCCCATTTCACATACAGGAAAACTGAGTCCTAAAAGGCTTTAGCAACTTGTATGATGTTACACTGCTGGCAAGTGCAGGGTTGGGATTAGCATCCTGCTCTGTCTGATTTTAAAGTGTGAACTGGATTCCAGGGGGTGAAATCACTGTACTTCTAATTTTATGAAGATTGATGTAGAAGGCACCATCTGCCCGTAAAACACCTTTAGATAAATCCTCTAAGCACAGATTTTAGTTCTCTGCTAAAGTTCAGTTACTTTAGGTTATGGAATATTAATTACTGACATAGCTCTTCTTTTCCCTGTTCTTCTTGAGCAAAATCCAAAGGCAAGTGAGAGCCAAATAAAATCTAGGCACCAGAATGAGCCCCAGTTGAGTGCTACCCCTTTCTTTCTCCTGAGAATGTGCCCCAGCTTAATTTATTTCTACAAATATTAATTAAAAAATAAATACACCATCCAGTACTATGTTTAGTGCTGTTAAAGAAAATAAAATCAAAATACACTTGAGATAATTAGGTCAATATAAGAGACCACATTTATGTCAAAATAAATGATATAATTTATTAATATATTAAACATTTTTATAATTAATAATATATTAATATGAATATATTAATATAATTTGTGTCAAAATAAATGATATGATTCAGTGCTCTGCTGCCTACACAATTATTCTGTTGAAATATCATTTCCTTGATTTCTGGATGATTTGAGATATTTTTTCAAATATCTGATTTGAATATTCACTTTTACCACCACTGGACCAATAGCCACAGGGAACTAGCTGAACCATGCTTTGATCCTCTTATGTGGTGCTCAGTCATTATGAGCCCACTAAAGAACATCTCATCGGTCAAAATAAAGTTCATTCTGAAAAAGCAGAGACCCTTAGGAGAGACATCAAGGGTATTTTCTTTTCTTTCTGGAATGGTCAATATCTGAGTATACTCAGGTTGTACACATATCACTGTGATCAAAATAGGCTCCTCAAAGTAGCAAATATCAATTCCCTGCTACACATACAGGCAGTATGGAGTAGCCACTTTGCATATTCATAAGAAATATGCAGTTAATCTGTGGGTAGAAAGTGGGTGATCATTCTCCATTTCAGCGGATTATATCCCTCTCCAAAGACCAGGTCTGGCTGTAATAAGTTTTTATTACATTTTATAATTAAATATTTTTATATATATAATATTTTATAATTCAGGTAGTTGGTTCACTTTTAAAATCTTGTAGATGATTTCATCTTTCCCCCTCCACATGCCCCTTTGCTTGTAATTCAAGATTCCTTAAATAAGTTCTTCTATCAAATGTCCATTTGACATTTACAAAAATGTCTTCCTCCCAGGGCAAAGACAGGTACCCTTCTCATATCTTCTAAAACACTAAACAAGAGGAGAAATGGGAACACATCCCAGTGAGAGAAACATGGCAACTAGCTGGATTAGTGTTTTCCACATGGAAGGGCTTTGGGTCAGAGCTATGTAGCTATGAGGGCATATCCTTAAACTCTGCAGTGTGGCGGAGGGAGTGGGGGGCTTTGGGATCCTGTAGGAACCCCCTGGAGCTATATTAGGAGTGAATGAATCAGTAGGAACCCTGTTTCCAGTGTTAGAGATCCTGACTTGTCAGAAATTCTGTCACTGTGCAGGCACATTCCAAGGCATCTGTCTATGCCTGAGCCCTCAGTGGGCCGTTCCCTAAGTTCTTGTAACAAAAGCCAAAAATAAGCTGGGGAAGTATATCACAAACTATGTGAAAAATGCTCCAGATAATTTGCATTTTTAGATCTCTCATTCAAATGGAACCATATCTCTATGTTGACTTTGGACCCTAGATGAATTCCTGTGCTTCAGGGTTTGAGTATCTTTGGCATGATCTTTAGAGGGATAGATCATTAGAGGTTGTCGTAGCAATGAGGGGTTCTGCATTTGTTTACATTTTGTAGTCTTGTCAAAGCAGAGGACAAAAGTGTCTATATTTTGTATCTTATATCTTTTGTTTTTTTTTAGTGATCTGACATAATGTACATTCAAGAATGTTCTCCTTAGGCCGGGCGCCGTGGCTCACGCCTGTAATCCCAGCACTTTGGGAGGCCGAGGCGGGCGGATCACGAGGTCAGGAGATCGAGACCATCCTGGCTAACATGGTGAAACCCCGTCTCTACTAAAAATACAAAAAAATTAGCCAAAAATTAGCCGGGCGTGGTGGCAGGCGCCTGTGGTCCCAGCTACTGGGGAGGCTGAGGCAGGAGAATGGCGTGAACCTGGGAGGCGGAGCTTGCAGTAAGCAGAGATCTTGCCACTGCACTCCAGCCTGGGTGAAAGAGCGAGACTCTGTCTTAAAAAAAAAAAAAAAAAAAAATGTTCTCCTAGGGCTAGAGTTTAGTTGCAGCCATAATTGTTCATACTCAAAGTGACTGGGAAGAACTTCTCCTTACCCCGACTGTAGACCAATTGACCAGCAATAACTGGTGCTTCTCGCTGAAGAGTAAGATTCCACGAGGCACGAGTTGGCAATACCCAGATTGATTTTGGCTTTTCATTGTTTTGACATTGATTTTATTGACATATACTTAATAACTGATTTTGTTGAACCAATACATAAAGGTCCACAATTGTGGATCCCACTGGTATTTCTTCCCAAAACAATTATAGAAAATCAAATAAAAGGAACATTAGGTTCATTGCATTTAGGAAAAAAAAAATGGCCCAGCCTCTGTGCTGGGGTTGAGGATATAAAGATAAGTAGGTTGTGGCCCCACTTGCATAAAGATCATTATCCATGTGAGGAGGGATAGAGGGTTGAGACATATAAATAAACAATCTTATGATGAAGGAATAAGCCGCAAAGAAGTGTGGTTAACCAAAATGGATGTTGATTATGCTGCAATGAGGGAAACTATGGGAAGTCCAAAAAGTGACACAGAGGTTGAATTTTAAATATAACAAAGGCCCTGACAGATGTATAATGTGATGAAGACCATTCCAAGCAGAGGGAAAAACCAAGAACAAAGCTACATGTGACATTCCTAGAATCTTCAGAGGTGTACGAACATTGAGACATAGCCGAGAACATAAAATGTGTTGGGAACTAGATGGAGACAAGACTGAAAAAGTCAGGGAGGGTGAGATTTTCTATGCCTGTACTTAGAATTTTGAACTTCATTTTCTAGGCAGAGGGTGGTCATCACAGGGTTTTAAGTGGGAAAATTTTGTGACTACTGTTGTGCTTTCTATGGCTGACTTGCTATTACTGACATTTGTCTTAGACCAGTTAGTGTTACTATAACACAATACCTAAGGCTGGGTAATTTATAATGAAAAGAAGTTTATTTGGCTCATGATTCTGGTGGCTGCAAAGTCCAAGATTGGGCAGCTGCATCTGGTGAGGAATTCATGCTGCTTCCATTCACCATGGAAAGTGGAATGAGAGCAGGCATCTGCAAAAAGATCACATGCCAAGAAAGAAAAACCAAGGAAACCAGGCTCTTTTTAACAGTCTACAATTGTGGGAACAAGTCCACTCCCCCAAGAGAAAGAACTCCCTCACCCCCATGGGAAGGCAGTAGTCTTTTCATGAGGATCCACCTCTGTGGCCCAAACCTCTTCCATTAGGCCCCACCCCCTAACACTGCCACCTTGGTGATCAACTTTTAACATGAGTTCTGGCAAGGAAAAACCACATCTAAAGCATGGCACCTTCAACCTTTCATGCCATCTCAAATCTGAAGGAGATATGAAAACTTTATGAACTCAGTCATCACAATAAAATTAAAAAATAGCCTTTCTCATGTGATTCCATTCTTATTTTATTTTTCTTTTTTGTTTGCTTGTTTTTTTGAGACAGGATCTCACTCTGTCACCCAGGCTGGAGTGCAGTGGCACAATCATGGCTCAATGCAGCCTCCATCTCCCAGGATCATGTGATTCTCCTGCCTTAGCCTCCAGAGTAGCTGGGATTATAGGCATACACAACTCTGCTCAGCTAATTTTTTAATTCTTTGTGAAGTTGGGGTTTTGCTGTGTTGTTCAGGCTAGTCTTAAACTCCTGGGCTCAAGGGATCCTCCTACCTCCCAAAGTGCTGGGATTACAGGAATGCACCACTGCACCCGGCTTTATTTTTCTTTTTTAAGAAATGTAAACAAATTATTTTTATTTTGATAATATTGAGGCACTAATTAAAATTAATATTGACAGTAGTCGGGTACTATTGGCAATAGGGAACCTTTTCTTTTCTCTTTTTTTGTTCCTACCAACTCTTAAGATTGAATCATAGGAAGGTGAGAGGTCACTTGATGCCAGAGGTAAATCTACCATAGGCAGATTCAGAACAGAATGCCCAAAAGGGCTCAACATTTTGCCACCCAACAAAATAAAAGCAGAAACCAACCCTGAAGCCTTTTGCTTTGTATAGCTGCTACCAGGAGACCATCCTTGTCTTTTTGTAGGAGAAGTAGCATGAAACTAGGTGTCGAGGCTGGTATCCTAATCCTATTTCTTAGGTTGACTTGTTGTGTAAGGTTGGGCAAGTCTATTAATTTTTATGAATATATAATGTCTATATTTAAAATGGATAAAATACTAGCTGACCTTACCCACATGATAGTGTTGTTTTTAAGGGGCCAGAAAGATAATGTTATTTTTGGAAGTATAAGTTTTTCTGTAAATACAAATTATGTATGATGGTGATTGTCAGGGTCAAATGTCACTGACTGAGTCCTCCATCTGGTTTAATGGTCTATTCCCTTCACTGGCCTAGATAGCACATGTAAGTCTCTAGGATTAATCTTTTTCTTAAATGTAGAGCAACCCAGTTTTGATAATCCACTCTTGTGTGTGTTATCCATTATATTATTTTAAGGTTGATTATAAACATTTCTAGATTTTACCAATATCTTTCTTCTCTACTTGTGGACACATGGAGTACTTCACTTCTGAATCCCCTTGCATCTTCCCCCATTATTAAATCAAATATTCTTCTAAGGATGTAGAAAAGTCTGTGAGGAAAGTAGTGAGCCCAAGAGCCCTAGAGAAGACCATGCATTGGTAAGAGGTTAGAAGGGATTATGTATTAGTGTGTCTATAGCTTCAGAGGGTAGTCCATAACCACCACTTCTGGGGTCTCAAATGCAGGAGGAGAAGGCCGTCCATCAGCTCCTTGCATTTGGACATGGGTGAACTCAAATGCCCACTGTCTCTCTTTTACTAGCTCACTCTTGCTCACCTTCATATACCATCAAGAAGCCCCTGTTGTAGTCACATTTTGCTCGGGCAACCCTTCAGTCAGTAAGCAACTATTTAAAAACTGCCTTACTTTTTAGTTTCTCTTGCTACGTGTTATTTGTATTCATTGTCTAACTTTAGCATGTTGTTTAATAATTCCTTTATATCAGAGTACATGTTTGTTGCAGTGTAGAAGGAAGATGTAATAATATTTGAAAACTGTGTATTACTGTTGGTCTGGCATATAAACATATCCACTAAGGAGCACATTACGTAATAAATAATTAGACAATTGGTGAATTGTTAGTTAGATGTTGCAAAGTGTTTTAGTGATGCTTGGGGGAAATTGGTTGGAATTTTTAGAAGGGTTGGGAACACATTGCTGTTTTATTTCCACTTAAAATAATGAAACATACAGTCCCAATATATAAATTCACTAGCAGACTTTCTAAGATAGATTAAATCTGGATAACAAAGCATTCCTGCATTCAATATGAACTTAAAAATTGTAAGCAACACAAATCTGTTGCTAGTTTTGGCTTCTCCTAGCAATATGTTTAACTCAGTTATGTCACAAGGTCTAGGAGCAGAATGAAATCCATCAAATGTATTTGTTATTTTGCTTGTCTTGTGAAGAATATTTAAACCAAGATCTGTGGTTGGGGAAAGGTAAGGAGGAGGAGGAGGGAGGAGGATGGGGAAAGGGAGTGAATTCTGGTAATCATTCTCAAAATAACTGAGGACAGAGCTGACAGTATAAAGTTTCAAGGATATTAGTGGAGAATATATACAGTGGGTCCTTTCCAAAAACTCAAACATTCAACTTTATTTTATTTTTGAGATGGAATCTCGCTCTGTCACCCAGGCTGGAGTGCGATGGTGCGGTCTTGGCTTATTGCAACCTCTGCCTTCCGGGTTCAAGCAGTTCTCCTGCCTCAGCCTCCCAAGTAGCTTGGATTATGGGTGCCCACCACCATGCCTGGCTACTCTTTGTGTTTTCAGTAGAGACAAGGTTTCACCATATTGGCCAGACTGGTCTCAAACCCCTGACCTCAGGTAATCTGCCTACCTTGGCCTGCCAACATGCTGGGATTACAGGTGTGAGCCACTGTGCCCAGCCTCAACTTGATTTTAATATGAACTTTCTTTAGGGACACACACTGGTTTGGGAAGTATGTTCCGGCATCCTCTGTTTAAGGACTTCATGGAGTTTATACTATTAATAGTCTGTATGCTTATTTTATTTTATCCTTTTCTGTGTACATTCCCCAGTCAGTTTGTGGAAAACACTTATGGGAAGACATAATGTTTCTCACATGACTAATAAGTTAATATCCTATTTTGAGTGGTTGGGATTTTGAGTTTTGCCAAGGTTTTTAGCCCACAGTTACTTCTTCTCTTTCCAGCCTTGTTTGGCTTTAAGCAGGTGGCTACTTTGACATACATATTAAATCAAGAATATCAGCTTGTCAGCTTGTTAATGAATGAGAAGTTTTGTTGAATGTGTGAAGTCAGATTTTGTCTGTCTACATTGCCTCATTGTTTTTTTGACTTTTATATTCCACGTCAGCCTCATTTCTCCTCCAGCCTTCTACATTGCCCGGTGGCATGAACTCTGGGAAGGAAGTTTGGTATTACCTCAAGCAAATATCATAAAAGGTTGAGGCAAGATTTGTGGATAGGAAGCCTGGTTATGAGAAATCAGGTTTTAAAAGGTCAGATAATTGCTCAGAGAGGAATGAAGGAGTGACCAAATCAATGGCACTTAGGAAAGTGGCCTAAGAAAGGGTCCTTTTCCACAGGGAGATGGCTACCTCTCCTCCTGTTTATTACACCATGTGGCTGATGAGTCTTTATTTCCATTTGGAAACAGAAGTCAAATTCAGAGTCACAGGTGAGATAATAGTAAAACAGTGCATTATATTTATACTTGCCTTTTATTGTCGAAGATATTGCATATTTATTATACCTTTTTGAGCTAGTTTAATGAAGTGGAAAGAGCTAAATGATCTGATAAAATCAGCTAGTGCATCTCTCACTGGAGCATCTTGAGGATCGAATGAAATGATGTTACAGTTCTTACAGTTTTTATCAAGCTGAAAACTTTGCAAGGGTCCCTTAAATTCACTGAGCTTTGATAGCTTGGGGTTAGGTAGCAACTGGACAATCTCTACCTTTCTCACTCTAATGTTTGTTATTCTTATAAACTTTGGTTGGTAAGTAGAGTTGGATTTTTTAAAAAAATTATTTCACTAAAGAGGAACTGGAGCAAAGAAATAAAGTGAGTGGCCTCACCAACTGAGGAGGAAAATCTGAACAGTCCAATACTTTCCCCACAGCTGTGCTTCCCTCATAGGTGTTAGAAGCTGATGGGGCCAGCTGTGGCCCATGAGAAAGGCCCTGTGGCCCCAGACATGGACAATCATTCACTTCATACAAATTACTTTAGAGTAGAGAACAGTAAATTGAGACCCCAGATTCACCATACGGGAGCTCTGATCTCAAAGAGAAGTTACCAAAGCTGCTTCCCTGGGTGAAATGGAAATTCCTGGAGGTCTAAGCTGCTGGTATGTATGAAGAGCTGTATGGCACATGGGCAAGAAGGAAGAATGGCTTCCCAGAGAAGGCAAGACTTACCAGTCATGCAGGAAATGGTGCTCAGAGAAATTTAAGCTTTGTATTTTGATTCAATTTTATTTTCCTTTAAAACAAGTGATTCTTATTTCAAACTATAGATTGCTTTGATAATTTGATGAAGATGAATAGGGTCATTTTAGAAAAATGCACTTCGAACCATCAACCATCATGTATTTTTGCAAATAATTTCAGTGGATAAGAAAATCCCCTAAAGACCATATGTTGGCCTCTTAAGTCTTGGTCCAGAAGTTTTATCAACCACAATAATAGTGGGACTCCATTCTCAAAAATTCTGATTCATCAGATATTAGAGAGTTAGTCCCAGGATTCCAAATTTTTAATAAGCACTCAAGAGAATTCTGGTTTAAGTGAGCTGGACCAAACACTGAGAAGCATTGTCATAGGGATCTCTGGCTCCTAGTTAAAAGGCATTGCCTCAGACTGCCTTAGAGCTCCAATGTTTCTGTATATATTTTCAAAATTAATTATTATCTTTCTCAATTTCACTCTATAAAGAAAACTCAAGTTCCCCATCAAATGAATTAGCCATTTTGGAGCAAAAATCAAAAGAAAGGAAAGAAGATTTTTGTTTTGACTGAGCCAGTTTGGCTGGCTTCCTATCCTGGCATCATCAGTTGAGTATTAAATTTCCAAGTCACTGGGTGACAGTATGCCTGGCTTCATCCCAGTATGGGCATTCATCAGCTGCATTGTACAGTAAGTACAGTAAGAACTGTCTTGTAAGAACGGGCTAGACTTAGTGAGACAATCCTGGTTTGTTCTGAAGAGCATAATCAAATGAGTGATTGCAAATGGAAATTGAGATCAGAGCCAGAAAAGGGGTCTTGAGCAGCAGATTTGTGATCAAGGCAATGCTGCCCAAAGAGGGCAAATTGAGCTCTCAGGAGGACTAACATTCAGGAAAACGTTAGGTAATGGGGCTTGAGTTGGATGAAGGCAAGCAGTTCAGGATGGAGGCTGTGATAAAGATGTTAGTCTTATCAAATACTGGCCAGTTTAAACACATTAGACTTGACTGGACAAAAAATGTTCTACATGGACATTCACTGATGAACCCTTATTACATAGAAGTCCAAGAAATAAAAGTTCATGGATGGTAAAATATGTCCATCTTATTTCTGATGATCATTTTTTGACAGTGAATTTACATAGAAATGATGAATAGCTCTATGTAGTTTTCATTGGTAATATTCTTTATTAGGGTATTATCTAGTTCAGTGGTTGGAAAACTTTACATAGACAGGGTAGAAAATTTTAGACTTTGTGACCTATCATACTGTCTCCATTATAAATTCATTTTTAATAATCCTTTAATAATGTAAAAATTCTTAGCTTTCAGGAAGTACAAAAACAAGGCAAGAACTGGATTTGGCCCTAAAGCTATGGTTTGCTGACCCTCTTATAGATTATCTCAACAGTAGAGTTATTTTCTATTTACATAGTATTTGGTGTTCTCTGATAGGAAATATAGGTCAGTGGAAGAACAGCTATATTTATTTAAGTTTCTCATGGAGGATATATCCCCTTCCTTATTTACTGAAAGGAGGGCTTAATACCATAAGCATGAGAAGTGGTGTTTTCTAAGCCTGAGTCCTCCTGTAGCCATCTAATATTAAAACCTGTAAGGAAAGAGTTGGATTTCAACTTGGTTTCTTTTGATCTATAAATTCAGGTATGATGGTGGTCTGGCCCTTTTGGGCTCTAAATTTAGCAATTAGCTTACTTTTGTTTATGTTTAACTACAATAAGCACCTTCTGGATTATCTGGATCTGGATTATCGGGATCATTATTTTATTGCCTGTGTACTAAAATGAGATTTAAGTCCAAGTAGACATTTGAACATAAGATTATTTGGGTTCCAGTAGGACTGCTTTAACTGTTTCCACATAATGAGACTAAAACAAACATAAACTTCATAATGGCCAAATGATGCCAACAGACAGTTTGGAAGGACTTTATCAGAGAAAACATTGATTGGATATTGAGTCATTGCATAACACATGGTCTATATAGTACAAAACTAGATAGATCTTGTAACATAGCTGTCAGCTCCTTATCCTCCCTGGAGCAGAAGAGGTTCAATTTTAGTCAAACAGTATGTTGGTCACATTTGATTAATGCTTTTAATTTGAATTTCAGTGATGGCACATTTAATTTGTAAATATGCATAAAGCTTGTTCAGTTATGAATATATGTGTGTGTATGCAGTTTAAGTTACCTCTAGGAGTGTTAGGAGATGGTCATAGTGGTCAACGTATAAATAAGGGCCAAGAACAAGGTGGTTGCAGTTAAGGTGGTTAAAGCAGGTCTGTGGTGATCCACAGGAGGCCATTCAGTGTCGTAGAGAGACGCCCCTTCCTAAGGCAGGTGCAGCCTGGAGCCAGGGCTCAAGGCCTTGCCAGCAGTGATTGGCTGGGTTTTAGCCTTGTTCACCCCCTCAGCTGAGCACTGTTGTTCAGGGGTATGTTCCTGTCCTAAGTAAGAGGGGGTGTGATTTAAGAGATAATATAGGGTAATAATCTTTGGGACTTAGTCAATTAAGTCTGGAGATGAAGAATTATTTCCTAACTTCCTCATTGACTGTTTTAAAACAATCCTCACTAAGCCACGTGGCTTTGGTGATGATTGTTTTAAAACAATATCTGATTTACTGAATCTTTCAGAAAAATTGAAATAACTGATATGAATTTTTCACAAGCTTTGATACAGTTAAGAAAAACAAAATGTAAGAAAAGAATATTGAAAGGGCTAAGCAACAGCAGCAATAGACTTGGGCAGGAGGTATGCGCACTACAAACTCGAGACCTGTGGACTTAGGCACTTCCTCTTTGCCATAGGTGTGCTTATTGGGGGTGTCATGGGCATGAGTCCACAGTGCCCTCTACTGCCTCCCAGTAGGTCTGTTCTAACATGCAACAGCTTGGTGGTCTCTTGTCCCCAGAATGAAGCAACTTTTTAAAAAAATTTATAATTATTTTATTTTATACTTTAAGTTCTGGGGTGCATGTGCAGAACATGCAGGTTTGTTACATAGGTATACACGAGCCATGGAGGTTTGCTGCACCCATCAACCCATCATCTACATTAGGTATTTCTCCTAATGCTGTCCCTCCGCTAGCCCCTCACCCTGGTGTGTGATGTTCCCCTCCCTGTGTCCATATGTTCTCATTGTTCAACTCCTACTTATGAGTGAGAACATGCAGTTTCTGGTTTTCTGTTCTGTTAGTTTGCTGAGGATGATGGTTCCAGCTTCATCCATGTCCCTGCAAAGGACATGAACTCATCCTTTTTTTATGGCTGCTTAGTATTCCATGATATATATGTGCCATATTTTCTTTATCCAGTCTATCATCGATGGGCATTTGGGTTGGTTCCAAGTCTTTGCTATTGTGAATAGTGCCGCAGTAAACATACATGTGCATGTGTCTTTATAGTAGAATGATTTGTAATCCTTTGGGTATATATCCAGTAATGGGATTGCTGAGTCAAATAGTATTTCTGGTTCTAGATCCTTGAAGAATCGCCACACTGTCTTCCACAATGGTTAAACTAATTTACACTCCCACCAACAGTGTAAAAGCATTCCTATTTCTCCATATCCTCTTGGCTAAAATCAAGTGTAGTATCTGTTCTTATCAGTTTAATGGAGCAACTTTTAAAGGGAGTTTCCTTCTAGGTGGACCCGTCACTATGGTGCAGAGAAGCAGGGAATGACTGGGTGGAACTGCAGGGCTGCTTCAGTGGGCAGGGAGAGTGCATCAGGGGAACCATGCAGAATGCTGGGCTACTCATCTGCCTCTCCATTTCACAGGAGAAACAGAGAGCTGTTGGTTTGATTGACTTAAATGGATTTTTATTTATTTAATTTATAGTAAGTGCCGCGTATTGCTAGGCCTTGCAAAGTCAAGGGTATCAGGAATATAAGAGGACTGAAAGCAATATTCCTCGTGCTTCCAGAGCAGATGCCTAACCGGGGAGGCAGAGCTCAAGTGTGGTACACTGAGAACGCCTAGGATGCAAACACAGGTGGATTTGTTTATTACTAAAGCGGCACAGGGAAACTTCTCAGAGTGAGAACATATTTTGTCAGTAGGAGGAGCGCCACATAAGATGAAATCAGACTGCACACATGCATGAGGGTTTTCTGTTTAACTTGGGGGTGAAGATGAACTTTCAAAGGGGCCTTAGAGGCAGGTATATTACATCCATATTTTTGAGTATGAAGAAGAAGGGGCAAGCAATACTTAGTGGAAACAAGACAAAATTCAGAGATAAGAGTGCAAGTGGAGTTCAAACATAGTAAGAAGAGAGGTTAATGGTATCTATCTCCCAGCAGGCAGAACACCACCACACTCCTGGGAAATGTTTCCCCAGGCACCGGAGTATGGAGGTGTGCTCTCCCCATTAGTAGGGGGTTCTTAGTATTGAGCCAGGCTTTTGCTTGCTTGAGGCCTGATTACTGTAATACTTGGTCTAATTCTTTTCGACTTGGGCCACAGGCTTAGGCATTGCTGAGCAGCTGCTGTGTGTTTTTGTCCTCTAGCAATGGTGAGCACTTTAGCCTTGATATACTGGAGCCTAAAAACATATGGCAACAGCTCTCAATCAATGTCCTGGAGCTCTCAATCAAGTTGATGTTTTGTTTGGTTGTGTTAAAAATGGATTTGGCCGGCACTATGGTTCACACCTGTAATCCCAGCACTTTGGGAGGCCGAGGTGGGTGGGTCATGAGGTCAGGAGATCGAGCCCAGCCTGGCCAACATGGTAAAACCCCGTCTCTACTCAAAATACAAAAATTAGCTGGGTGTGGTGGCGGGCGCCTGTAATCCCAGCTACTTGGGAGGTTGAGGCAGGAGAATCATTTGAACCTGGGAGGTGGAGGTGGTTGTAGTGAGCCGAGATTGTGACATTGCACTCCGGCCTGGGCAACAGGGCGAGACTCCATCTCAAAACAAAATAAATAAAAAAGGATTTAAGGATAGTTTTCATGGCATCCTTTCCCCATAATTGCAGATATTAAATGCAGCCTAAGAACAAGTGTTAAAACATCCTCAGAGACAGTTTAGTAGTGAAACACCCAAGTCTTTCTGACATTAATAGGCTTTAGTGGGATTAGCTTAGTAATAGTTACATAATGTGTGATTCGTGGCAATGAAAATGCTAAAAGGGCCAATTATTGCATCATAATGGACACACCTTTAACATAAAGATACATTTGTCATTTTGTGGTGTTCATCTATATTTAAATGAAGGATACGAATCATCATTGTAATGGCAACTTTAGCTGTCAGGGATCCTGTTGCAGCTCTGCCTCAGCCAGTCTGTGCACAGAGCATGGAGCACCAGGGCCATGGAGCATGTGGGCTATGGAATCGGGTTGCCTATTTTCATCTTGACTCCATCACTTGCTGGGCAACCTTGAGTAAGTGGCTTAACCATTTTCTGAGCCTCAATTTCTTCACCTATAAAGTGGGGGTCATACTAGTGTGTCCCTGTAATTATGGGGATTAATGGAGATAACATGTGAATCACACATAGCAATGTTAGGCATAAAGTAAGTGCCTAAGGAGTATCGGTTTCTTTAGTGTTGGATTTGTTGCCATCTTGAGCTCCGTGTATCCAGAATTTAAAATGGAGATCATTCTTCCCAGCAATGTTTTAAAACTTGTAGAGCTGAGTTCTTCTAGGAAGACAGAGTAAAAGGACACCATTTCAGAAGAATTATTGTATCTCAGGAACCTAGGGCCTAAGCTGGTCATGGCCTCTATTTCTGCTGTCTAACACACATTCCAGTTGTGTCCAAGTTTTCTTCCTCCACCTCCAGGAACATCCACATATTAGGAGGCCTAAATTGAATTGTCATCATTATTTTGCCAAGGCTACCACTCCAACTCAAAATTCATTAGTACCAAGGGCCTTAGTCTGAAAATCTGACATGAATCTTTTTGGTAAAAGAGAATCTTTGAGATGTTTTCTTTGATGGCCTCAGGCTGGGGCAGTAACATGTGTCTGAGTCCTCCTCAGTTCGAGGTGGGCCAAATATAAGATACTTGTGGATGTCGGCCAGACTGAAGTGAGGATTATTCTGGGTAATCCTGATCATGGGGTCACATCCCATTCCTTTCACCGTTGGAGTTTAGCAGACATCTACATTTGGGTAGAGTTTTATTCTCACTACATAGTGGACAGCTCTTCTGTCTGCCCACAGGCAGACTTTGCTGGTTCTGAATGCTTGAAAGGTTTGACTTTGCAGTCTGCTTCTGCTGAGGATTTCCTACTCCTGAGCCCTAGAACACTCAGATGTTAAGATGCCAGAAAGATGAGGAAACAATAAAGAAAACTGAGAAGCAACCAGTCAAAGGAGGAAGATAAAACCCTAGGAGAGTGTAGGATCCAGGAGGCCAAGGGAAAAAAGCGTTTTGAGAATCAGAGAGGGGTCAAGGACATCAAATGCTGCTAATGGATAAAGTAAGAATGAAGACTAAACATCATTCGTTGTTGGCAATATTGATTATATTAGTTTGGTGCATTAGTTTTATTCTCCCTTTAATTATAAAATCTCCATGGCATTAATTATTATGCTTTTTTTTTTTTTTTTTTTTGCAAACCAAGAAGCTAAGATTCAAGATATATAAACTGTCCAGATTCACAAAGATGGGGAAAAGTCGCAGAATTGAGGTCTGCACTCAGGTTTTCTGACCATGATTTTCCTTATCTCTGATACCACATATTTATACTTTGGTTTAACTTTAAATCATAGATTTCCTTTTCCTAGGAAATAACATTTTAAGACTCATTATACATTGTGTATATAAGATTTTGTTCAACTTTTAAACTTATAAGTATCAGGAATCTGATGGGGATAGTATTTTTAGAAAACTCCTACCCTGGCTGGGAATCAAGCTAGGCCTGTGCATGACCACCTTCAACATTTGGCCCTTCTAAGAATCTCTGGATATTTTGTGGAAAGTAGAATGGGAAGAGAAAAACATGAAAAGTAGAGACCTGATACGTCCTCAAGCGTAGTCCTCTCCCAGATCATGTTTAGCTAGCTTCCCCTGAAGAGACTTCTGAGCAAGTCAACATGTATCGGCCAGGGTCATTCAGCATTCTGGGCAATGGCACAGGCATTAATTCTGGGACAGATTAACTCAAAGATTATTGAAGAAACAAGACCTAGGTATAGAATCAGATTCTGTTGTTTCTATTTTGCTGTAAGAAAGCACTTGTATGTAGACTATGTCAGGATTACCTCAATTCTATCCACTGCTCACTTAGTTTAAGATTATTTTAAGTATCTTTAAAGAGTAGTGTACATGTAAAGAGTTTAGGTGAGAATCTGTGTACCTCATTAAAGTACTGGAATTTGGACACTAGTATCAAGTGGTTCTTTTGTAGCTCAATGAATGACATCATAAAAATGGAACATTCAAATGAGAATGTCCAAGGACCTGCTGACTTCACTGATGAATTCTACCAAATATTTAAAGAAGAACTCATATTTTCCAAAAAACCAAAGAGGAAGGAATACTTCCAAACTCTTTTTACAAGGCAAGCATTACCCTGATAACAAAACTAGACAAGGACACTGCAAGAAGAGAAAATTATAGTCCAGTATGCTTCAAGAACATAAATGCAAAAATCTTCAACAAAGTACCAGCAAACCAAATTCAATAGCACATTAGAAAGACCATTCACCGTGATTACATGGGATTTAACCCTAGGGTGCAAGGATGGCTCAACATATGCAAATCAATAAATGTTATACACCATATTAACAGAAGGGATAAAAACCATATGATCATCTCAATAGTTTCAGAAAAAGCATTTGACAAAATGCAACATTTTTTCCTGATTAAAAACTCTCAACAGATTCGGTATAGAAGAAATGTACCTCAACACAATGAAGCCCATATACTGCAAACCCATAGCTAACATCCAACTCAGTGGTGAAAAGTTCAGAGATTTTTCCTCTAATATCAGGTTCAAGACCAGGATGCCCACTCTCATCACTTCTATTTAACATAGTACTGGAATTTCTAGCCAGAGCAATTAGACAAAGGAAGGAAGTAAAAGGTATCCAAATTAAAAAGGAAAAAGTTCATTGTCTCTGTTTGCAGACATGATCTTATATTTAGAAAATCTAAAGATTTCAGCAAATATCTATTAGAACTAATAAGTGAATTCAGTAAAGTTGCAGAATACAAAAATCAATACACGAAAATCAGTAGCATTTCTATATACTTACAAAAAAATTACCTAAAAAGGAAATCAAGAAAATGATCCCATACGTAATAGCTATAAAAATATTTAGGATTACATTTAAAGAGGTGAAAGATTTGTACACTGAAAACTATAAAACATTGATGAAAAAAGTTGAAGACACAAATAAATAGAAAGATATTCTGTGTTCATGGATCCGAAGAATTGATATTGTCAAAACGTCCATACTACCCAAAGTGATCTACAGATTGAATGCAATCCCTATGAAATTGTGAATAACATTTTTCACATAAGTAGAAAAAAATCCTAAAATTCATATAGAACCACAAAAGACCCTGAATAGCCAAAGCAATCTTGAGCAAAAAGAACAAAGCTGTAGACATCACACTATCTGACTTCAAAATCTACTACAAAGCTATAGTAACTAAAACAGCATGGTGCTGTCATAAAAGCAGACACATAGACCAATAGAACAGAATAGAGATCCCAGAAATAAATCATGCATTCATGGTCAATTGATTTTTGACAAAGATGCCAAGAACACACAATGGGGAGAGAAGACTTTGCTAAGTTGTGCTCAGAAAACTGGATATTCACATGCAGAAGAATAAAATTAGACCCCCGTCTTACGTCAGACAAAAATCTACTCAAAATGGATTAAAAACTTAAACATAAGGCCTGAAAATGTAAAACTACTGGAAAAAAACATAGGAGGAAACCTTCATGACATTGGTCTGGGCAATTATTTTTTAGATATGAATTCAAAGCATAGGCAGCAAAAGCAAAACTAGACACATGACATTTTATCAAACGAAAAAGCTTCTGCACAGGAAAGGAAACAACAGAGTGAAGGAACAATCTACAGAATGGGAGAAAATATTTGCAAAGTATACATCTAATGAGGGGTAATATCCAAAATATATAAGGACCTCAACTCAATAGCAAGAACACAAATAACTTGATTCACAAGTGGACAAAGGACCTGAGTAGACATTTCTCGAAAGAAGACATACAAATGGCCATCAGACATATGGAAAGGTGCTCAACATCATTAATCATCAGAGAAATGCAAATTAAAAGCACAATAAGATATCATCTCAGACCTATTAGAATGGTTATTATCAAAAAGACAAAAAATAACAACTATTGGTGAGGATGTAGGGAAAAAGGAACTCTTGCACACCGTTATTGGGAATGTAAATTAGTATAGCCATAATGGAAAATAGTACAGAATTTCCTCAAAAAATTAAAAATGGGATTACCATATGATCCAGCAATCCCACAACTGGGTATATATCCAAAGGAAATGAAATAAGTATGTTGAAGAGATATCTGCATGCTCACGTTTATTGCAGCATTAGTCCCAATAGCCAAGCTGTGAAATCAACCTAAATGTCTAAATGCATCAGTGGATTAATGGATAAAGAAAATGTGGTATATATACACAAAGAAATACTATTCAGCCTGAAAAAAATAAGAATATCCTGCCATTTACATCAGTACAGATGGACGTGGAGGACATTATGTTAAGTGAAATAAGCCAGACATGGAAAGACAAATACCATATGATCTCACTTATACGTGGAATCTAAAAACTTTGAACTCATGGAAGTAGAGAGTACAGGGATGGTTACCAAGGTCTAGAGGATGGGGGCAGAGAGAAGATACTCGTGAAAGGGTGCAACATTTCACTTATGAGAATAAATTCAAGAGATCTGTTGTACAACATACACTGGAAAATTACTAAGAGAGTAGACTTTAAGTATTCTCAGCCCCTAAAAATGATAAGCATGTGAGGCAATGCATGTGATAATTAGCTTGATGTAGCCATTCCACAATGTATACATATTTCAAAATATGTTGTATACCATAAATATATTCAACTTTTATTTTTTAATTAAAAAATTTTAAAAATTGAGAATGTACTCATGGCTTTGGAACCATGTGAATAAGGTTTCTTTGTTAAGGGACTAATGAATATTTTTGTTTATGGGCCCAGATGGTTAGGTGGACTGAGGAATGCCATGAAAACGAAATACTTGAGGAGAACTGAGAGCACAAGGGAGATTGATGTGGCTGACCCATTGTTGTCCTTTGCTTTAGTCCAACCTAGAGATTTTCATTATTTATTTTTCACACTGAGAAAGACAACCTACAGTGATATTAGAGATGTAGCGATGGTGCAAAATTGCTGGAGAAAATAACCTGAAGACAACTGGAATATTACTTGCTTCTCACAGATATCAAATTCACATTTACCCACCAAGTAATTTCAGATCAGATGTCTTTTTTCTGCATTTCCTTTGCTTTTCTACAAGCCACAAAAGACAGCTGTCATCATGAGCTTCATCAAACCTGAAACAAGTCACTAAAAATTTGGCATCATTGACATCAACAGTAACTGGTAGGCTACTCAAGATGGAAAATACTTTCTTAAAATTTAACTTTATTTTGAGACATAAGGTAGTGGAATTCTTGAATTGTAAAATGCTAACAAACAGAATTTATTAAAAACCCAAGGTTAATTAAAACAACCCTAGTCATGAGCCATTTCTAAGTTTTACAGGGCTGTTTTGAATAGTTTAAAAGTAGAGACTGGTGCTAACTCAAAGTACTCGGTCCATTTGGATCCCTATGAACGTCCAAGACAACCACAAAAATGCTGAGAAGAGTCCACAGCTTTGCATTCAGAGCCTCCATGACTGTGCCCATTGTTTGTGAATGTGGGTGGAAACTAGAGCCCAAACCTCAGAGAATAAAACCTGCCTGATACAAAAAGTACCATGAGTAGATTCTGGAATGGCCGTGACCCAAACAAATTGGAGAGGATTGAGGAGACTCCAGGATACATATAAAGTTCAGGGATGGATGTTAGGTAGCTTTATTCGTTAGGGCTTGATGAATTGGCATCGTGTGGGTGGGGCAGGATGTAAAGTCTTCAGTTCAAATGAAATGAGGAATTTATCTGTGATCCTGCCATCAAGTAACTGCACATCATCTTGGCTCACTCTGAATCTCTCTGTGGTTCTGTTTCCTTACGGGTAAAATGCGGGGAAAGGGATTGTCACTGCCTCTCCCAGAATTAATGAGGTGATATTCACAAAGAGCATTGTACTCTTAGGAAAGAATGCTCTGTGGCAGGATATTATAGGGCAGTAACATCAAGCTTGTTTAAAACGTGTGCCTGCTGTTACCACGTGGGTGCTATGGCTCAGCAGTCTTGTATATCAAATATAAACCAATGCATATGGAACTGTTTAAGGATAACAGATGATGAGCTGAATAAATGAAATAGTTTATTTTATACTAAAGGTAGTTCATGCTTAAAAAATGCCTTGTGGCTGCTATTTCATCTTCAATACAGTAAAGACATACTTGAGCAATCCCATTTAGATAATCACTGGCCATTGATGGCAGAAATTAGAAATGCAGAAAAAGATTGGGTCAGTGAGTCTGTTTCCTGGGAGACAGCAGGGAGGAAGCAATTTCAGCAACGATGCTGGGATACTCATGCTGTGTGTTAAGCCACCTTCACAAACTTGCCTCCGTGACTGTGGCTGTGATACATGCCCAGACAGAACTCGGGATTGGCTACCCCTGGACTCACTCTTCACAGCTGCCTAGAATCTTTTATACCAGGACCACGTCAGAAACCTCTGGGATCCATAAGTAAATAGCAAGGCTCTGCACTCAAGAGTGGCACCTGCAGATTTTCCACTTTGCTTTTGCAAGTTATTCAGACACAGCATTTCCATTCATCAGGAAAATAAGCCAACTGCCTCCTAAAGAGCATCTTTTCCTATATTTAGGGGTTCTGGGGTCCACTTGCTGAAATCAGATAACTTCACTACCTTAACTTAAATTCTCCAGTGGATTCCCATTACACTTAGGACAAAGATCTCATCTCTTTACCACAGCTCACTTCTAACCTCTTGGACTAGCGATGCCCCTTGTTTGCCATGCTCTAGGTGTAGTTTCAGACTCAGTTCTACCCCAAGCCTTGGCTCTTGCTGGTCTTGCTGGCTAAAGTGCTCTGCCCCAAATCTCCAAGTGCTGGTAACCTCATGTGCACCTCCAATGTCACTTACTCGAGTCCTTCCCTGATCATCTGATCTAAAGTCCTCTTCCCTACCTACTCTTCATATATCATCTTATTTTATTGTGTTTTTGCACTCACACTAACTGTAATTATCTTGCATATTTTTCCTTGGTTATTATTTCCTCCTCATGAAAGTGGAGAGCTTGACTGTCTTCATACTTTTGGGGCTCTTGTGTCTGGAAGAGCACCTGGAACATAGTAGATTCTAAGTATGATTTCAGTGGATGAACTAACGGATAATAATTCACAATTTGGACTTCCAAATTCTGTCTGGGATTTTTAATACTAGTAGCTGTGACTAATTCTACATAGTGATATGTTTGCTGGGAGGAAGTCTTTCATCTAATGTGCAGTAAAAGTAGTCTAGAATTATTCCATTCTTTATGACTTAGCTTTAAGGGCAAGTGAAATTCTAGAATTGCAAAATGCTAACAAACAGAATTTATTAAAAACCCAAGGTTGATTAATACAACCCTAGCCATGAGCCATTTCTAAGTTTTACAGGGATGTTTTGAATAGTTTAAAAGTAGAGACTGGTGCTAAGTCAAAGTACCCGGTCCATTTGGATCCTTATGAATGTCCAAGACAACCACAAAAATGCTGAGAAGAGTCCACAGCTTTGCATTCAGAGCCTCCGTGACTGTGCCCATTGTTTGTGAATGTGGGTGGAAACTAGAGCCCAAACCTCAGAGAATAAAACCTGCCTGATACAGAAGGTACCATGAGTAGATTCTGGAATGGCAGTGACCCAGACAAATTCTAGAGGATTGAGAAGACTCCAGTTTACATACAAAGTTCAAGGATGGATGTTAGGTAGCTTATTCTTTAGTGCTTGATTATGTTAATCATCATCAAACAAGATGATATATGTTGGTCATCATCAAAAGCTAACAAACAAGCTTCCTTATAATTGTCATCTTATTGTGTTGAATCACTCCAAAAATAGCTCTAATACACTAATTAGTGCAGACTATGGGATCCAGAGGAACAGCTATTTTTGGAGTGATTCGACACAGAAAGATTTCTTACTAAATTACTGTTCATTTTCTAGATATATAGAGGGTGGCACAAGAATCCAGAGATTCAATCTCTGTTCTCATCCTTATTAACAGAATGTTTGAAAGAAGATCAACCTTTCTGACTTTGTAGTGTCATATATTACCTGCCTGATCTATATCTAAATGATGTTATGAGGATCAGGTGAAATATGTGGCTGAAAAGTCTCTGAAGCCTTCAAAGTGCTATTTGGATGTAAAATATCAGTTTATACATGAACATCTAGAATGATATATCTGTTGATTCCCGTATTTCTTACCAGATGATATATTTTATTCCTTGTATCTGCAGTTCCCAGTGTAGTAGGTATTTAATGCATTATTGAATGAATGAATACTATTATGATTTCTTTCTTTCTCTTGGCCAACTTCTGTCTCCTCATTGTAAGCATTATTAGCTTTGTATTTATTTTTTCACTCTCTTTTATAAACTGTTGGCTATTAAAGAGAACAATTTCATAGAGTTCATTTCAGTGTGATTTTCTTTTATTTTGGTCACTGCATATGGTCTGGACATGGGTCTTCAGCATCGCAGGGCATGGGATGAGGGTGAGAGAGAGAGCGAGAGAGAGAATGCATCTGTTCAATAAATAGAGTGAAGGGTAAGGATCACACAGACTGTGGCCCATATCCTTCTGGGGTGTGGACTTGGGCATATTTGAGACTTTTTACTATTAATACTAATCACGACCGCAGCCCACTCTAATCCATGTGCCATGACCATTGGTGAAACTCTGAAGTCAAGACCTTAGTGAATCATGTCCTAGTCTGTTGGGCAATACCTTTATTTTTGGATTTGGGTTATTTGTAGATTGCCCTTTTTTGGTATAAATGAGCAGTACTGTTTATTTCCATTTTGCAATAAAAAGCTACTGGCTATTTAGCCAGAAAGCAAATATTTTCACTCTGAATTGCTTTCTGGACATTTTTTCCAACAGTGTTTGATTTGAAGCTGTGAAACACATTACTCCCCTTCCCTCCTCCCATCCCCTGCCCCTGCCATTTCCTCTTAGGTGGATCAAAACCAGTGCTTCAGAAAATAAAGCCAGTATTCTTTGATTGCTCCTTTACCATATGAAAGCATCAGAGAGGCTGAAATAAATGCCTGTTTGGTCCCAAAACACTGCCATCCAGGAAAATCTGCCAGCCAACCAGGTGTTCCAGAATATTTTGCCTGAGGGCCAGCCTGCCCAGGAACTGGCATTGAAATATGTCTGGGCTTTGGTATTTTCTGTGCAGCTTAAAGTGCTACCTTTGGGCACATTTATTGGGATGCATAAGAAATAGTGTACAATCTGCATAGTGATAAAGTTTTGTGTGTCTTAGACATGTTCTCCAGTTGTAGAATATTTCTCTTACAGACCTTTGGATCCCTCAGTTTCTTTTTTAAAGTTAATTTTGTATTTTTCCACCTGAATGTCTTCTCCACTCTCCATTTATTTAACTAAATTTTTAAATCTTGTTTGTTTCCTTATCCACTGAAAACTTTACCCCCAAACCTTTACCCTTTACACAGTAACATACCTATCCACTCACATACACGCACACCACCACTCACCCACCAACACACCAAAACAAATTGTAAAATCTTAAACTTAAAAGTTTAATTTCATTTCCAGCTGTGATTTACTATCAGTAGCCTGGTTGTCCTTTATTTTAGTCATTTCCAGCCCTGCCTGGCTAAACTCAAGTCGCTCAACTCCTGATTGACTCATAGTCTAGGTATTTGGTAGGAAGATTTTAATCTTTCTTTTTCATGTTGGTGACATTTCCTAGTTGTGCTCTGCCATTCTTTAGGTAGCTGATAATGGGGCTTTTTTCTTTTTAATAATAGCAAATAAGAACAGTATAATTAAAAAAAGAATGAAAGAAAAATAGTAATTTCAGAAAGAACCAGTATGAACATAGCAATGAATTGCAAATTTGTAAAAATAACTTGGGTATTAATATATCAGATTCCTGAAAAGTGAGTAAATGTTTTCTTCTCATTTTTTCCCAGTGTCTTCTAAGTAGAAGATGAAGGATGCTTTGCAGGTGACTAAAATGCACTGCCTTGTTATTACAGGGAGCGGACTCAAACCTTTCAAATATTTTGAGTGGTTGGAAAGAAGAAACACAAAACAATTCTATTTTCTGAGTTTTAAAAATGTCTGAACCCCTGGAAGACCCAGCCAGACCAAATCTGCTTTTTCTCCTGGATCCATAATGTACAGTGGTAAATTAAAGGCTTCGAGAAGCTCTGTAGTAAAGAACTCTGTTTAACTTGATGTTTTACACATTCATTAGACCATGAGATTCTCTTCTTGTAGAATAAGAATCAACATCTCATAGAAAATTTCCAGAGACCACAGTTAAAGAAGGGTTCTCTGAAGCCTTTTAAAAGCAGAGAGTAGGCAGCCTGAGGTACCAACTCTGCAGTGTGATCAGCAGAGGAAGACAGAATTGGGAGAAGCAGCAGAGGTCTATGGCTTCTAACTGGAACCTAAGGATAAAAGCACAAGAGATGCTGAGTGGTGAGCTTCTGCCCACAGAGGGGACAAGATTGAGGGAGAGGAAAGGGGCTGAGATGTCCCATGTGACCCGAGCAGGCATGCAATAAGCTCATCCCTCAGTTAAGCCAGGTTTTTCCAACTTTGTTGGATATTTGAATCATAGTTGTTTTGTTCTGCCATAAAGACAATTGACTGAGTTTTGATTTCCCAATGTACATGGGGGAAAAGTAACCTTCCTGATTCATTAATTCAGTAATTACTCAGTATATCTCTGGTGAGTATTCATAATCATATTGTTGTGAATAGGTTTGAATAATCTGTCTTGTTTTCAATGGAAGTTACATCAATTAGGTTTCCTACAAATTACACCCCCCACCCTCTGCTTCCCCAACTCACACACACATATTTGTTTCCCATTCTGTGGTGACACATAATGAAAGCTTATTGAGAACCTGGTCTGTGTAAGACAGCTGCCCTGCAGATGTTCCAGAATTGTATTAAATGCTCTACACATTAATGTTGACTTACAGGAGTCTGAAGTTTTCACCCCAATCTCAAGCACTTTAACTCTTCATTCCTCTTTGATTTACTTTCAAACTGAATGATTAAGGAACAATATGGAAACCACATGTAAAATGCCCAGTGAGTTTTCTTTTTTTTTTTTTTTTATGTATAAAAACAATGGAGAAAGCCAATGTAGAAATACCGAGGCCAACCAGTGGTTTACTTTGATGCTTACCAGGGAACACTAGGGAAATTTGCCAGTACATGGATCCTGTTTGGAAGAATCAGATCAAAGGAAGAAATATACAGTGTCAGACCCTGGCACCTCCCAGGTTTGTATGTTCAAAGTGCAGTGTCTAAAGCAATTTTCATTCCTTGTCCATGTTGCATTGTGTGTCACTCTTCTCTTTTAAAAAGTCCTCAAAATGAAAAGACATATGCTCATCATGAACAAAGATGCAACAGAAATGGAATTCTCAGGTAGCCTTGGATTTACATTTTATTTGGGGATTTATTGACCTTTGGAAAGGTTGAAATCCCAGATAGTAATGTATTTCATGTCCTTCACCCTTTCTAAGAATATCCTCAATTTCGTTTCATTTTTAATTATTATTTTGTGTTAATTTGCAAGAGCCCCTGAAGAAATAATTATTCATATAATTAGAGTCTATATAAATAGAGTTTATATATAAGCAGAGTCTATAACTCAGCTCTTCTCAGAGGCAATGAAAGAAAGGTTAAAAGGAACTCTGGAGAGACTATGAAAAACGGACTGATATACAAGTGGCCTAGACTTTGTAGCTGCTGAGATGTCATAGCTCGTGGGATGATACAGGGATTTATGAAAAGCCTGTGATCTTCTGAAGTTCCAGATGGAGGTGTGGAGTGCTCTTGGTGGCAACATTTCAGAGAGGGTGCTTGACATTTGTACTTAAACCTCTAAACTTGGCAAAGAGCTTGAGTATGATTACGACAGAGAAAAAGGTCTGTACCTTCATCATCTATGGTTTTCTGCCCTTATCACAGACCCTAAACTTATAAACGAGTAGAGCCACCTCATGTCACCTTCAGTTGCCTTCTGCTTCTGCTCCTAAAAGAATCTGGGAGGAACTTCTAAGTCTGGTAAAAAGGGTGGATGGTACATAAGCTTCTCACTTTGTGTCTTATAATAACATTCCTCAGGCTTTCTAAAAGGCCAACACCTTGAAAAAGTATGTCAAATTGCTTAGTGTTTTGAATGTTTTAAATGTTGGAGGCAGCTTTGCTTGGTTCTGATGGTACATTCAGCATTTAATTGGAAACCAATTTCCCTCCTTATTTTCTTGAAGGAGATTTGGTCCTAGACAACTGTACTGCAGAACTGGGGGGACTTCCAAAAAGGAAACATACTCCCAAGATTTTGTTTCTACTCAAATACCAGAGCAAAGCTCTGACCTCATACAAATCAGTTGAGAGAAGCCCATTTCTGGCTGTGTATTTGGATCCCAGAATATTATTTCCCCTTGCATTTCATGATTCCACCCCTCCAGATTTGGAGTCATTCACTGTATGATATTTGTGGTGACATCTTAGACTTCAGTTTCCGTAATGAATGCACCTGAGTTCCAGCACTAATTTTCTCTTCCCTGGGAAAAACAAAAAAACACAAAACCATTTGTATGGCCCCCTGAGTTGTCACTTCATCAATAAGTGAGGCTCTGTGCTTTGGGATAGTTCAACAAATAGTTTTGCCACTGACCACAGATTTGGATGAAATGATCCTTTACTGCAGACAGCACAGGAGTGATCCAAATCAGGACATATGGGGAATGGTTTCTCTTGCCATGTGGCTTTTGCATAGGATCATATAACCACCAGGCCAACAGACCCACTCATTAACCCCATCAACTGCAAATAGAGTAAGTCTCAGGAAAAAATAGCTAAATTCAAACTACACAAATGGCTTCTGTTTTCTCTTGTCATTACATCCTTGGATCTTAGGCATTACATTAAAATTGATTGGGTTTGTTTTTTTTGGTCAAAAACCTCCTCAGATCTTTTCGCTTTAAAATTTTCCAAAGCCTCCTTACATGTCTATGGTTTTTGTTTAAGAATTTAGAAAACAATGAACAAAAACCTTTCTCCCCACCCAGTTCAAACTTTTCATTTTGTTAAGCTTGTAAGTGTTATTACCTTTTTCATAAGGGTTCATTTAAATTAAGCCTCAATGATTTGGAGTGAAATTAATTAATAACTAATATAAATGTATTAAAGATCATGTCTATATATAAATCTATTTGACTGTTTTGACTACATGAAACCTACTTAGTAAATTGGAACTCACTGAATAACCAGTTATTTGGGTATGTATATCTTGTTGAGTGTTTGGGTGATATCTCTCCTTTTCTGTTGGGTGAAACCTCTACTTTTCTTTTAGGTTCCACAAATAAATGAACATAGGACTGAGAGGGAAATGCAACTGAGAATAGTTACATATTTTGTTCAATTACTAAGAAACATGTCATTGTGAGACTAGTGCTGTACTCAGGTGTCATTTGCATTTTCTTTTCTTCAGAAGGCCTAACACATTACTCTGGTGGATCTTCTACTCATTAATACTCCATTCCACTTGGTGTTTGAGTCCTTTGAGATTCAATTTCATTTTGTGACAATGCTGACTTACTGGGGCAGCCGACAGTATGAGAAGAATGAATTGTGTACATAATGTTTGATTTGTACCTTCATGTATTATAATATGTCAATGTATTGACAAGTGGTAAGAAACTAGAGCCAGTGGGGAAGATTAGTGGGAAGATGTTGCCTGCTGCTGCCTGTGTAAATTCTCACACAAGTGGCCCTTGTACCTAGCAATTTTAAGTGATGTTTCATTTGTGATTGTGGAAAACTAGAAGGAGCATAGCAAAAGCTTCTTTTTCACTTGCTCTTTCCTTGGGAAGTTCTAGAAGAAAGGGACAGGAGAGCATGCTGATTTTAAAGAGGGAAAGTTTTTAGTCTTTCAGCACCTCAAGAATCAACCTGTAGTCTGTCTTCTGTACCCTAAAATGTCTTAGCACCCATGTGCTTAATGATACTGAGTTACAAAGTTAAAGTCAGGCCTGGCGTAAATGTACATTCATCCTTTCTTGGATTGTAAGACTTTTGGGGACAGGATTTGTGTTTTATTTTTTCTGAATCCTGCAGAGTGTTTAATAGTAAAATAATGAAAATAATAGTAATACTGGCAGCTAACAATTGTTGAGTATTCACTATAAACCAAGCAATATATTAGGCACTTTATATACGTTATCTTGTTTAATCTTGATTATAATTCTAGTGTTGTTATTATTAATACCTTATAGATAAAGGAATTGAGGCTTAACGTTTGCATAACCTGCCCAAGGTCATGCAGCTGGTGTAGTGGGTTGAATAGATTCCCGTAAGATATGTGCAAGTCCTAATCCTTGGTACCCGTGAATGTGACCTCATTTGGAAATAGGGTCGTTGTTGATATAATTAAGAATCTTGAGATGAGATTATCTTGGATTTAGGGTGGGCCCTAAATCCGATGATTGGTCTCCTTTTGAAAGAAAAGAAGGGAGATTTGAGACACATGCAGAGAAGAACACCATGTGAAGATGAAGACAGATTAGAACGATGCATCTACCAGAGAAGGAATGCCAAAAATTGCTGACTACCACCCCAAACTGGGAGACAGGCATTGAACAAATTATCCCTCAGAGGCTTCAGAAGCAACCAGCCCTTCTAACACCTTGATTTCAGACTTCTGGCCTCCAAAACTGTGAGAAAGTTAACTTATTGTTTTTAAGCCACTTAGTTTGTAATAATTTGGTCCAATAGCTGTAGAAAACCAGTATAGCTAGGAAGTGATGGAATGTACACTCCATTATTGGAAACATGGCCCCACTGCCTATGTTTTCAACTCTAGTCTTTATATGCTGTCAGTATTGATTAGGCTGATGTTATGTTTATAATATTTAATAAATAGTGCTGGAATTTTTTTTTTTTTTTTTTTTGAGACGGAGTCTCGCTCTTGTTGCCCAGGCTTGAGTGCAGTGGCGTGATCTCAGCTCACTGCAACCTCCGCCTCCCATGTTCAAGGGATTCTCCTGCTTCAGCCTTTTGGGTAGCTGGGATTACAGGCACATGCCACCTTGCCTGGATAATTTTTTGTATTTTTAGTAGAGACAGGGTTTCTCCATGTTGGCCAGGCTGGTCTCGAACTCCTGACCTCAGGTGGTCCACCCGCCTTGACCTCCCAAAGTGCTGGGATTACAGGCGTGAGCCACTACACCCAGCCTAGTGCTGGATTTAAGTTTTTTGAAAGAATACAGATGAATAAATTTTGATTCTTCTCATTTCTTTGGAAAAATGTTAGTGCAAGAATGCATGTAAAGTAAGAATAGCTGTATTTTTTGGTGATAGCCATTTGGAACAACTACGGGCATGCTCCCAGAAAATTACCCCTTAGTTCACATATGTAGCAGACAATTATAATCCCCAATATTTAGTATTTTAGGTTCATTGATCAGGTGTTTGCTAAAAACCTCCTAAAATGATAAGGCCATCCTGAAGCCTACTAGCCCCAGTTAGTCCATTGGTGCAGTCTCTACCCAGGAAGCTCCCCAAAATATCTCTCTAGGAGCATCCCTCCCACAGAGAGCTTATTATTACTTTTTTTTTTTTTTTTTGGTGGAGATGATTATCTTAGTTTAGAAGCCCCTCATTTTAACTGGGCCTACAGTTTAGTCTGCAGAAATACAAAGGGGTGGAGTAAGTTAATGTTGAAGTGAATGTGGAGAGCGAGGACAGAGGAAGGAATCTTAGATATTTCCCACAACTGGAAGACAAGTGTGAGAGGAGAAATCATTGCCCAGAAAATCACTAAAAGAGAAATATAACATTCTTCTTGTGGTACATGTATAACTAAAATACTTGGCACTTTTCTGTAATCAATGATTACTCTAAAAAAAGTAGATTTTTTAAAAGGTAGTTCTTATTTTCTCTTAAGAGAACCAGTCCTGACAAATTCACAGCTAAATTCCCCTGGATGTACAAAGAAGAGTTGGTACCATCCCTACCAAAACTATTCAAAAAACAAATTGAGGAGGAGGGACTCCTCCCTAACTAATTCTATAAGGCCAGCATCATCCTGATACCAAACCTGGCAGAGACGCAGCGAAAAAAGAAAACTTCAGACCAATATCATTGATGAACATTGATGTAAAAATCCTCAATGAATACTGGCAAACTGAATCCAGCAGCACATCAAAAGCTAATCCACCATGATCAAGTAGGCTTTATCCCCAAGATGCAAGTTTGGTTCAACATATGCAAATCAATAAATGTGATTGTCACATAAACAGAACTAAAGACAAAAACCTCATGATTATTTTAATAGATGCAGAAAAGGCTTTCAATAAAATTCAACATCCCTTCATGTTAAAACCTCTCAATAAACTTGGTATCGAAGGAAAATACCTCAAAATAATGAGCCATCTGTGAGAAACCCATAGCTACCATCATACTGAATGGGCGAAAGCTGGAAGCATTCCCTTGAAAACTGGCACTATACCAGGATGACCTCTCTCACCACTCCTATTCAATGTAGTATTGGAAGTCCTGACCAGAACAATCAGGCAAGAGAAAGAAAGAAATCACAACCAAATAGGAAGACAGAAAGTCAAAGTATCCATGTTTGCAGGCAACATGATTCTATATCTAGAAAACTCCATAGTCTTGGCCCAACACCAACTTCAGCAAAGTTTCAGTATACAAAATCAATGTACAAAAATCACTAGCATTCCTATATACCAAAAACAGCCAAGCTGAGAGCCAAATCAGGGATGCTATCCCATTCACAATTGCTTCAAAAAGGAAAAAAAATATCTAGGGCTACAGCTAACCAGAGAGGTGAAAGAGCTCTACAATAAAAAGGAATGCTGAGGCAGGTGGATCACTTGAGTTCAGGAGTTCGAGACCAGCCTGGCCAACATGGTGAAACCCAGTTTCTACTAAAAATGAAAAAATTAGTTGGGCATGGTGGTGGGTGCCCATAATCCCAGCTACTTGGGAGACTGAGGCAGGAGAATCGCTTGAACCCAGGAGGAGGAGGTTGCGGTGAGCCGAGATTATACCACTGCTCTCCAGCCTGGGTGACAGAGTGCGACTCTGTCTCAAAAGAAAAAAAATAATTACAAAACACTATTTAAAGAAACCAGAGATAACACAAACAAGTGGAGAAACATTCCATGCTCATGGATAGGAAGAATTGATATCATTAAAAGGGCCATTCTGCCCAAAGTAATTTATAGATTTAATGCAATTCCTATCAATCTACCAATGACATTCTTCACAAAACTAGAAAAAAACTATTTTAAAATTCACATGGAACCAAAAAAGAGCCCAAATAACCAAGGCAATCTTAATAAAAAAGAACAAACTGGAAGTATCAACTTCAGTGTTGAATCATACCCAACTTCAAACTATACTACAGGGCTACAGTAACCAAAACAGCATGATAATGGTACAAAGACAGACACATAGACCAATGAAACAGAATAGAGAGCTCAGAAATTAGGCTGCACACTGACAACTATCTGATCTTTTACTAAGCTGACAAAAACAAGCAATGGAGAAAGGACTCCCTACAATAAATGGTGCTGGGGTAACTGGCTAGCTATATGCAGAAGACTTGAGACTGGACCCCTTCCCTACACCATATACAAAAATCAACTTAAGATGGATTAAAGATTTCAGTGTAAAACCCAAAACTATAAAAACCCTGGAAGACAACATAGGCAATACCATTCTGGATATAGGAATGGGCAAAGATCTTATGACAAAGATACCAAAAGCAATTGCAACTAAAGCAAAAATTGACAAATTGGCTCTAATTAAACTTAAGAACTTCTGCACAGCAAAAGAGACTATCAACAGAGTAAACAGAAAACCTACAGAATGGGAGAACATTTTTGCAAACTATCCATCTGGCGAAGATCTATTATCTAGCATCTGTAAAGAACTTAAATTTACAAGAAAAAAACAACCAAATTAAAAAATGGGCAAAGTACATGAACAGACATTTTTTGAAAGAACAACAAGTTCTTTTGCAGCCAACAAATATATGAAAAAAAGCTCAATGTCACTGGTCATTAGAGAAATGTAAATCGAAACCACAATACTACCTCACACCAGGCAGAATGGCTATTACTAAAAAGTCAAAAAATACGAGATGCTGGTGAGGTTGTGGAGGAAAGGGAGCATTTACACATTGTTTCTGGGAAGGTAAATTAGTTCAACCACTGTGGAAAGCAGTGTGGTGATTTCTCAAAGAGCTAAAAACAGAACTATCATTTGACTCAGTAATCCCATTACTGGGTATATTCTCAAAGGAATATAAATCATTCTACCATAAAGACACTTGCATGCTTATGTTAAGTGCAGCCCTATTTACACTAGCACATATATAGCATCAACCTAAATGCTCATCAATGACAGATTGGATAAAGAAATGTGGTACATAAACATATGGAATATTATGCAGTCATAAAAAAGAATGAGATCATGTTCTTTCCAGGGACATGGATGGAGTTGGAGGCCATTATCCTTAGCAAACTAATGCAGAAACAGAAGACCAAATACTTCATGTTCTTACATGTAAGTGGGAGCTAGATGATGAGACACATGGACACAAAGAGGGGAACAACAGACACTGGGGCCTACCAGTAGGAGGAGGGAGAGAGGATCAGGAAAAGTAACTTACGGGTGCTAGGCTTAACATCTGGGTGATGAAATAATCTGTAAAACACATCCATGACACACGTTTACCTAAGTAAAAAACCTGCCCATGTACCGCTGAGCCTAAAATAAAAAAAAGAACCATTCCTGAAAGGACTTAGAACAGAGGCATGGATCATCCTCCTCAATTTACATTAGATTTGGTTTTGGTAAGAAGCATTCTTGCCTTGTGCTTTTTGTCAACACCATCCAGTGGCTTGAAACATCAGGCAGAAAAGCCACCAGTAACTAACCCTTGGAGGAAGCTGATATTTTGTCTGAGTAAAAACTGTGAAATTTCATTCTGCTAAAACCAGTGACATTTTAAGGGTGGCATTATTGAAATGGTAGGACATTTGGATAATTTTCCCACTCCAGAGCCATTTCATATCCTTTTCTGTAAAGTGTATTCCTCTTTATAACTCCGTAAGTTTGGCATTACTATTTCTATTTTTCAGATGAGAAATTGAGGTGTGGGGAGGTTAAGTACCTGCCCCAGATCATATGGCTTTCAAAGAACTCCGATCTCTGGGGATATTTCCTAATACTTCCCTAAGTAGATGAGTAGTTGGGAGCTGAGAGCCTCTGCTTCACCCCCTTGGCCATGTGAAGCTAATCTAAGACTGGTGCCATTCCTGACCACTAGCTGCAGAAATGCTTTAAGGGTTGCATGCACTGGTAGACTAAAAGCACAGGGAAGGAAAATGGATTAAATATCCATTTCATTCCAGGACAGTTATATGTGTCTAGTTACAGAAAATGCCCTGGAGCCGCCAAGGGTTAGTTTTTATTCCTCATCTCCTTGGGGAGGATAAACTAGAAATTTTTTGAAAAAAATACTGTCGACATTGTTAAATTCTAAACCTCCCTCTGCTCATACCAGCAACTTTCCAATAGCTAAATATGAGCAATTTAGGCATAGGTTCATAAGACAAAGTGAATCCACTAATATACAGTTGTCCATTTTCCCAGCTGTTAAGGTGCAGATTTCCAGGAACTAAATTAAAATTGAAGATTGCCAGAAACTATTTCCAACCAACTGTGTCTTGGTGCTTGAGTTTAGCGAGGATGTGGCTGAAGAACTGTAAGAATATTTGTTATCCTAGTAGAGGAATGCCTCTTTAGAGACATAGATGAAATACTTTATTGCTTTTAATTACCTTACTTTTTATTATTTTAATAACATTTTATTCAATAAAAAATGGAGTTATTTTAGACCTACACAAAATGATCTGGCTTTTATAACACATAAAAGCCTAAGAAAGAGAATGAAAGTTACTTGTAATTCCACCATTCAAGGGTAACTACTGGTAGAATTCTCTGGTATATCCATCTAGTTATTAGTAAGTGAATGTGTGTGTGTGTGTGTGTGTGTATGTGTGTGAGTTTGTGAAATCAAGACCATACTATTTTTAAAAATGCCTGTTTTCACTCAGCCATATATTATGAACTATGAGCCATATATTTTGATTTTTCCTACATCACTGTTATTCTATGGCATTATTTTAAGTGGTTTCATAAATTTACTCAATTTATAAATGGTTTTACATTTTTTTGAAATATAAACAACATGCTATTAATATCTACATATATAGATATAAAAGAAAATGTATCTGATTAATTTTCTTGGAGGAGCTTCTGATTAAAGTACATTTTAAAGGCTTTAGATCCATATTCTCCCCTCCTAGAAGGTAGGAACCATTTTCACTTTTTACCCATAGCAAATTAAAGCCCCATTTCCTTGCATCCCGATCAGAACTTCTTGTTTCAGTCATTGCTAATTTGGTAAGCCAAACATGGTATTTCATTATTTAAATTTATCTATTATTAGGAAGGATAATAATTCATTTGTTATTCAGTCATTTCTTCATGAGTTGTCTGTTTATTATACTGAGCATATTTTTTGTCTTTATTTTTGTCGTGTCTGTTGCTGACTTCTAAGAGCTGTATAATTAAAGAACTTAACTCTCTTTCCATCATTAGTTTCTTTTTCATTATTCTTTTTGTGAATGCATGTGAAATTTTGTGAATGCATGTGAAAATTGTTTTAAATTTTATTGATGGCACTTCTAACTTTCAGAAGTTATGCTTTTTAGGTAGTCAGATTTAATAATTTTTATAAGTTAATTTTGTCTTTAAATGGTTGCTTACTCAGAATATCCTTCCTCCAAGATCATAAAAGTGTTCATAATATTTTCTACCAGTTTTAAAAAATGTGCTATTGTTATATTTAGTTCTTGAGTATGTCTGGAATTTGATTTGGTGTACATTATGAGGGAGGAAGTTAACATTCTCCCTTGTATTTAGCCTATCACCTAAATAATATACTAGTCTTCAAATGATTTTACATAAACCTATCACAAACCATATTTTACATGCACTTGCATTAGTTTAGAACTTTATATTTTGTTCTATTGATCTGTTTATTCTTAGACTTCTACTACAGTATTTCAATTGTTGTTGTTTTATAATATGGCTTAATGACTTTAATGAATTCCCTCTGCTTGTTATTACTTTTATCACTCTTATTATTTAAAACTTTTTTCTTGGATACTTTTATAGTTCATTCTCGCAGGAAAATTTCAGAATATTTTGTTAAACATTTTTGAAAAAATATCTCATTGGTATATTATAACTGCATTTAATATATTACATGAATCTTGGGTAATCTGAGTTCTTTTCAGTATTTAGTCTTCTTATTCAGATGTACTTTTTACTTGTGAAGTAGCTTTATTCTCTGCAGACATTTTCTGAGGTTATAATCGTTATGTCTTTTTTATTAAATTTTTTTATTTCCATAGGTTATTGGGGAACAGGTAGTGTTTGGTTACATGAGTAAGTTCCTTAGTGGTGATCTGTGAGATTTCGGTGCATATCACCTGAGCAGTATACACTGCACCCAAATTGTAGTCTTTTATACCTCACCCTCTTCCCACCCTTTCCCTCGAGTCCCTAAAGCCATTGTTTCATTCTTATGCCTTTGCATCCTCATAGCTTAGCTCCCACTTATGAGTAAGAAGATACGGTGTTTGGTTTTCCATTCCTGAATTACTTCGCTTAGATGCTCTCCAATTCCATCCAGGTTGCTGTGAATGCCATTAATTCGTTCCTCTTTATGGCTGAGTAGTATTCCCTTGTGTGTGTGTGTGTGTGTGTGTGTGTATTTATATATATATGTGTATATATATGTATATATGTGTATATAGATGTATATATATGTGTATATCTGTATACGTGTATACACATATGTATATCACAGTTTCTTTATCCACTCATTGATTGATGGGCATTTGGGTTGGTTCCACATTTTTTGCATTTGCGAATTGTGCTGCTATAAACATGCATGTGCAACTAATTCTCCACAGGGTGAAGATGTAAAATGTTCTATATTTATCAATGACTTTTTTACTATAGTAAATATATTTGTTGCTCTTACTGCCAATTAATCATGGACTCATCATCCAGTAAGATAAATGTTTAAAGGGTGCTTGGGAGTGGGGGTTGCATAAAGCATTAATAAAAGAAGTAATCTGTGGCTTCACTGATCTATGTTGATCTTCACTTTAGTTTTACTATGGCTATTATATACATGGATTTATACATAATATACTATGAGTATTTTCTAAATTAATTTCTGCCACAATAATTTTTATCTTGTGGTAAACTACTGTTTAGAAAATAGGTATTAATTTCTCCTGTTACTTGGTGGAAATTATAAATACAAGATTTCTCCCTTTAATCCATCCCTTTGCCATCTGAAACCTCACATTTCTGTAGCCCCTTGTTTTCTTCTTTCCTGGCACTGAATTGCCCTCTAAAGGGATATTCAGAACATAATGTTGTGTGCCCTGTACTGTCCATAAGTCATTCTCTCCTGAATGATTTGCTTGGATGAAAGGTGCAACTGTTATGTTACCACCTGGCTTCTTAAAGGGGAAGGGACCTTTATCCTTTCAATAATTGCAAATACTTCTAACAAAATAAACAGGTAACAAAGTGAAACTTGCTTTTCATGTATTCTCTAGGATTTCAGAAAAATATAACATTAACAAAGTTTAGAGGGTAACAGATTTCTCCCTGAACAAGAATCTGTTAAAAGTAGTACTGCATTTTCATGTCTCTCTAGCAGTGTCCCGACAGATGTTTAAGCCTGTGAAGGAGGGTGGAAATGGCAGAGAAGCCACAGGAAGTATAGTGAGTCATGCCACTCCAATTGTGAGCCCTCCATAGAATCCTAAATAAATATAGTTCGGATACTTTGCACACTAATCACCTTTAGTAGTGATATGACTCTTGGATATTTTTAGAACCCTTTTTCTAGGGCATGTTGCACCTGGGCACAGTAGAGCCAGCATTACCTGGCTATATGCCTTGTCCTGTTCGGAAGACAGCCTGTGCGGGCGGCTAACAAAAGAACCTATGTCTCTTGGCCTTTTCCATGGGTCCTTGCCCAGGGCTACCTGTTACTGGTATTTGAGTAATTTTGAACAGTGCACGATATCAGGACTTTTCCTGAATGGTCTCAAAAATTGACTTATTGCCTGCCTTTCTCAGTTATTCTGGAAAATTGGGATGGATGGGAAGATTTGGAAAATACAGTCCTTGTTTTCTGCCTAGAAATAGTCCTAAAACTGTCTTACTGTTATCAAATTAGCCACCCGGTCACTTTTATCTAGAGGACAGGATCACTGAAGGTGAAGAGTTGAGCTAAAACTGTATAAAAGTTGCTGGTATTTTTTCCATAGTGCTACAGTGATTATGAGAAAAATCATGTATTTTATCTTTAGGGGAGCCCACGTGAATTTGAGCATCTCAGATTTGATTTTCTGCTCTGATACTGTATTCTAGAGTCATTCCTTGCCCTTAAGAAGATGATTTCAAGGCCAGCAACCACACAGATAAGAATAACCAGTCTCATGAATCAATTCCATTAAAGTGTTTGTTTACATTCTTTGCTTCTAGAAATACAAACCAATTAGTTGTTTGAGAAAAGTTCTGAGAAAAACGAGAATCATGGGGACATGAGGGGAGAAGGATGTGGTGACAGATTGGTCTCTGCTCCTTTTTCTACTCTGTTTGGCATAGACTATACTTTTTGAAGTTCATGATATGATAAATCACTTAAATGTTTTTTGTGTGTTTATCCTCTGCACAGTGTTTCTGCTAGTTGGATTGGAGTCTGCTTTTGTGAAGAGCTGATTGTGGGGTAAGAGTCTGCTCAACATTTGTAGGATAAGTTCACTGGAGGAGATGCAGGGTGGAGGACACTTTTCTCCATCATAGCCAGGGAACCAGAATCGAATGAACACTTTTAGCTCACTGTCCTTCTGGGCTAGTGTCTTATCTTTGCCTTTTTGAGGTGTATAGAAGAATCATTGTTTGATTTTCTGAGCTATGACCAGCTCTCAAAAACAGGGATTTATATTTTTGGTCTCTGCAATGTCCTCATTACAGCATGAAAAAAGAAAAGGTCAGGAGACATGGAAAATGTGTTTCTCTGGGAAATTCTGGATATGAAATGAGAAGTCCTAGATCAGGAGTTTTTAAATCTTCTTGAACAAAACATAACTTAGATATCAGAGGCAAAATAATATGGTTCAAGCCCAGTCCTACTTCCATCTGTCCTGTGTATGTGGAGCATTCAGAAACTTTATGAATTTCTGCTGGAGAAAAGAAATCATAGATATGAAATTAACAATGGTAAAAAGGATAGATATGTGCAAAATAGACAAAAAAATGTTACAGAACATGCAGAAGCAGGATCCATTCATTCTAATTGTAGGGAGTAAGGAAGCACTCTAGAGAGGAGGTGGTATTTCAGTAAGATTCAAAATATTTCAACAGGTTGAGAATTTGAGGAGGGGAAGTATTTCAAATGGAGGCAATGCTTAAGCCCAAAAGCATGAAAGACCTTATTGCTGAGAATATTCACTTCCCAGAGGCATTAAATACAAGTGGAATAAGTCCAGAGTTTCTTTCTCAGACCTGACCTAACAGCAAAATATGTGATCTGCATCAAGTCAGTTTCCTCTGTGCAAAATCAGATGCAGATTGCTGTCTCAGGATGACACCTCAAAGTCCTCAGACATCACAAGACATATGCAGTGACCAAAAATGAACAGAGCCCTGGGAGGGAGAAAAGGCTTCTGTCAGATTTTGTCCTATTATATAGATAGATTTTTCAGATTACTTAGAATCTTGGAGTTACTTTTTTTTTTTATTCTGAGTATCATTTGTAGAGCTTGAAAACGTTTCTTAGAACCTATTCCGTATGGAAAGAAGCATCCTTTTGTGATTATTAGTGATCCTGATTAGTGATTATTGACTACTACTCTGAATTTTCAACAGTGGGTATACTAAACTTTCAGTACTTGTTAACATTTCAGTTAAAGCAGGCTAGGCAGAGACCTAGAGAGGACAGAGTTGCTCTGGAGTATAGATGGCTTTTTAAAAGCATCTCTTGCTTTATGCTTCCATAACAGAAAAACCAGGAGACAGTTTTTACCAGAAAATGAGATATCCGCCTTATGGTATCCAGATGTCATTCTTATTTTACGTGAAGTATGTGAGCAAGATTTTTGTTTCCCTCTGTTTTGTGTGTGTGTATATTCATCATCTGGCTGTTATCTTTGTAGAGGCACAGTCTCCTTAAAGGTTTTCCAAAAATAACACAAGAATCAAGGGAAGAGGAGGAGGATTAGAAAAGTTTTCTGGGTTAACCACTCAGCTATATCAACACTTGAATACTACATTCTGGATCAGGGAGAAATACTGAAAGCGTAAGCAAAGAAGCAAAATGGCACATGGAAAATGTGTGCCCACACACTTGTGAATGCAAAGAAGTGACTACCTGCCACAGGTGATAGTCAGTGGAGGAAAAAGTCCAGCTGAAAAGCCAGTAAAAATGCCTATCTATCTACCTGTTTGGATTCCTTTCTTCACTAGAGATGAGTGGCTCCAACGAAATCCTAGGGTTCTCATGCAGTAAGGGATCTTTGGGTTAACTAAGTTCCCATATCAAGTAATGACTAGTTCTGAAAGAGTTGAATACACCAAGTACATTTGTCACAATAACAAAAGTTGTTCCTCTTTTATCTTTATTTGGTGATTCAAAAGCAATTTAGTTGGATGATATTTTGTATTGCCATGGAGTCATCATTAGGAATATTAAGACAGTTTTTAAAAATGAATGCAAATTTTTATGCAAAGGAGGTTTAGTTTTATTGCCATAAAATGTCAGAACAACTTGAATTTGGTAAATGCCTGCTTTTTATAAAATTTAAATTTTACCAGTCCATCACTGCTTAGTGTCTTAGGGAAGAAGACGTATTATCTCACCAACTCAGGGGTGAAAATATTTAAAATGTCTCTTCAATTGGTGTGCAACAAAGCTAAATAAAAAGAAGGGAAGATTTGGGTTGTTTACATCTTGATTCAGAGAACTAACCACAAAAATGCATTGGCTTTGACAAAATCTGGCATTAAATTTGTGCATCCCCTTATAGAGTACAAAATGCTGTCATTCATGTTTATGATTTTGTATATCAACTGTCTGTGCTGCATTTCATATATATATAAGTCTTGAGGAGATTAATGATGGAGCCAAAACTAAGCAGCTATTAAATGGCCGTGATGTGACTTGAAACAGTTACTCTCACTGTAGGTACCATACTTTTTCTGCTAAACCTGATGCTTTAACTTCAAGTTTTCAGCAGAGATTTGCAAATTTTAAGAGGTTATCATCATGGCATCATCATATCTCATCATCAAGCTTAGCTTACACATGGGGCAGAGGTTGTGATGATGAGGGAGTAATCATTCCATGCCACCTCCTTTCTTCTTCATTTGAGTTAAATTTATCTAGTTATTATTGGTAAAGAAGAAGAAAAATATACCTCTTGTATTCTTTCTCTCTCTCTCTCAAAGAATCTTCTTTCTTTGGTTATTTACATTATCCTTTATATCTTCCCCACTTTATCAACTCTCCCCCAAATATCTAACCACAGAAATGCCATAGCAGCTGTTTTCTGGGACAAAATGATCCTCTGCCTTTCTGTTTGGGCACCACCCTTGCATACCAGAGATAGACAGGCTGTTCTGATCTCCCTTTGCCTAAGAATCCAGTTAACCACCTTCACAGGCTTCATTCCACAGGCCACACATCAGTCCATGGCTTCAGTAATATGGAAAGATGTAGTTGTTAAATTTCAGTGCAGAAGCAGAAACCAGTATATTTTGCCCATAATGGCAGTAAATCTAACCCTCTACCACCACACACACAAAATCACTCTCAGCTGTATCAACAAACAGAGCTTTAATTTAAAATCCAAACTCTGAGATCACAGTTTCTCAACTTTAGGAAGTCTTCTCCTAAACCGAGCAATATCAGGCTAGAAGGAGCAAGGTGGGTGGGGATTCTCTCTGGATATGGAAATATATTCTCCCACAGATATGGGATTGCCCTTCAGATCCATTCTAAACAGCACCAATGATCCATGTAAAAAGATAGACATGATAGACATAATTTAGGGAGTAGAAATTCAAATCTTCCAGAGAGTCACAGGCAAGCTGAAAATAGTAGCAAGAACAGAAACAAATGATAGTTTAGGTTAACTTTGGTATTAATGTACATCAGCTGCTGTGGCTATGTAGTCATTGGCCAGTCTCAAGGAGAGGTTCAGAATCTCTGAAACTGTGGCATGGAAGTGGTGGTGATCCACTCAAGTCCCATGTCAAGAAGGAGGTACTCATTCCTACATCTGTGGGAGTGTGGCAGTGGATGGCTCCCAGTTGATTCTCCTCCAAGAACTGGCCTCGGCCATCGGTGCTGCCTTGCCCAAGGTCATGTCCCATCCCCAAGGTCTTCCCACACGAAATGGCTGTCTTGCGTGCATCAAGGCAGCACAACTCTGGGGGCCACCACAGCCCCAGGGCTTCCTGTAGGATGGCTGGGGCCCCTGCTGTGCATGCATCATAGTCCAACCTCTCTTGGCCCAATCCTAAAAGCAGTTCTTCATAAAGCTTTTACATGCAATCTCAGAGCCTCAGAGTCTGTCCCCTGGGGATCCTGATTTACCACATATTCTTTCAAAACAGTTAAAGTGTCTGTTCATATTCTGCACCCACTCATTGATGGGGTTGTTTGTTTTTTTCTTGTAAATTTGTTTGAGTTCTTTTTAGATTCTGGATATTAGCCCTTTGTCAGATGAGTAGATTGCAAAATTTTTCTCCCATTCTGTAGGTTGCCTGCTCACTCTGATGGTAATTTATTTTGCCGTGCAGAAGCTCTTTAGTTTAATTAGATCCCATTTGTCAATTTTGGCTTCTGTTGCCATTGCTTTTGGTGTTTTAGACATGAAGTCCTTGCCCATGCCTATGTCCTGAATGGTATTGCGTAGGTTTTCTTCTAGGGTTTTTGTGGTTTTAGGTCTAACATTTAAGTCCTTAATCCATCTTGAATTAATTTTTGTATAAGGTGTAAGGAAGGGATCCAGTTTCAGCTTTCTACATATGGCTAGCCAGTTTTCCCACCCCCATTTGTTAAATAGGGAATCCTTTCCCCATTTCTTGTTTTTGTCAGGTTTGTCAGAGATCAGATAGTTGTAGATGTGTGGTATTATTTCTGAAGGCTCTGTTCTGTTCCATTGGTCTGAATCTCTGTTTTGGTACCTGTACCATGCTGTTTTGGTTACTGTAGCCTTGTAGTATAGTTTGAAGTCAGGTAGCATGATACCATCTCACACCAGTTAGAATGGTGATCGTTAAAAAGTCAGGAAACAACAGGTTCTGGAGAAGATGTGGAGAAATAGGAACACTTTTGCACTGTTGGTGGGACTGTAAACTAGTTCAACCATTGTGGAGGACAGTGTGGGGATTCCTCAGAGATCTAGAACTAGAAATACCATTTGACCCAGCCATCCCATTACTGGGTATATACCCAAAGGATTGTAAATCATAGTACTATAAAGACACATGCACACGTATGTTTATTGCAGCACTATTCACAATAGCAAAGACTTGGAACCAACCCAAATGTCCAACAATAATAGACTGGATTAAGAAAACGTGGCACATATACACCATGGAATACTATGGAGCCATAAAAAATGATGAGTTCATGTCCCTTGTAGGGACATGGATGAAGCTGGAAACCATCATTCTCAGCAAACTATTGCAAGGACAAAAAAACAAACACTGCATGTTCTCACGCATAGGTGGGAATTGAACAATGAGAACACTTGGACGCAGGAAGTGGAACATCACATACCGGGGCCTGTTGTGGGGTGAGGGGGGCTGGGAGGGATAGCATTAGGAAATATACCTAATGTAAATGACGAGTTAATGGGTGCAGCACACCAACATGGCACATGTATACATATGTAACAAACCTGCACGTTGTGCACATGTACCCTAGAACTTAAAGTATAATTAAAAAAAAAAAAGTTAAAGTATGTTAGAACATGCTGGAGAAAACAACCCCTGGATATCTGCCACAGCTATTCTCCATATTCCAGGGAATAAAACAAAACCACCTCACCAAGAATCCTTAGAATGCTCCTTGCTATGAAAGAAACGAATTTTATCTCTAAACAACCCACAGAGGTGAGATGTCAATGGCTCCACCAGCTACACCAGTAGTATGTGTCATTTCCCACTTATCATTACCAGTTCCTTTAAATGAAGAACATTTTGAGCAACAGGTTTTTTAAAGGAGTTGGAGAGTATTCTCACATTAATATCTATAGAATGATAATTAGAAAAGATAAAAGGATACTTTTATCATATGGATTAAGAATGATTTTCTTATCTAAATATGACTACAAATGTGTTCACATTTTTGTTCCATCTGTCCTGATCCCTGAGTCCTTAGCACATTGGCAACAATGATTGGCTCAATTCTTTCACAAAGTTTATTTTGACTAATTGGTTAAATTTTTAATAATTCGGATATAGTTTTTTTTTTTTTTTTTTTTTTTTTTTAAACAGAGTCTCGTTCTGTCACCCGGGCTGCAGTTGCGATGGCACGATCTCAGCTCACTGCAACCTCTGCCTCCTGGGTTCAAGTGACTCTTGTGCCTCAACCTTCCAAGTAGCTGAGATTACAGGCACACGCCACCACACCTGGCTAATTTTTGTATCTTTAGTAGAGACGGGTTTTACCATGTTGGTGAGGCTGGTCTCGAACTCCTGACCTCAGGTGATCCACCCGCCTCACCCTCCCAAAGTGTTGGGATTACAGGCGTGAGCCACTGTGCCTGGGCATATTTACAGTTTTAAAATCCCTTTTAGTCACTGTGCAGCCCCCATGATCCCATGTTCTATAGCTGACTAGAGGTTTATGAACTTTTTTAAACGTAAGTTAGGATGGCTATTAGTGGGTAAACCTTCTCTTCCAAACTCTGTGGGTGCTGCTCATAAACATGATACTTGTTCCTCAAATAAATGCTCAATTTGTTAATTTGCAATTTGGGATTTTCAAATTTATGGCTTCCAAGTTCTACATCAGATACTAAAATCAGGTTATCAGATAGGCAGGTAGTTTAGCAAAGTACATATGCTTATTTTCTTAGGTTCTAGAAAATCTGGTCTAAATCTAAACCTGGTCATTCTTTTATGCTTGGAAAATCCTCCTACTTCAGGAGTTGGGGGATGACCATAGTCAAGAACTGAAAAGAATGTTCAGAGTTGGGAGCTGAGCTGAACTTGTGGTAACGAATCTATGCCTCCCTTTCTTCAGTAGCTTTGAAGGGAAGTCACAGTCAATGAAATGAAGAAAAAAAAAGGAAGAATGTGGGGTTTGAGGCGTATTTTTATTGAAGTTTATTAAATTACATTACCTAAATGTAATTATAGTAAAATGCACATTTCTCAAATTTTGATGATCCCAGTTACACAGAACATTTACACAGAACTTTACATCACCCTAGAAAATTCCCTCGCGCTTTTTCCCAGTCAGTTCCCCACTCCCTCCCAAAAAAGTTAATCTCTGTTTCGATATCCTGACAAATTAGCTTTGCCTGTTTGCCTATTCTTTTTATTTACATATTGTTAACTTTTTAATTTCTAAAATTTTTGTGGGTACATAGTATGTATTTATGAGGGGCATGAGATGTTTTGATACAGTCTTTGCCTGTTCTTGAAATTGACATAAATGGACTCTTGTGTCTGGCTTCCCCATTGCACCTCTGCCCTCAACGTATTATCTTTGAGATTCATCCAAGTTATCACATGTATCGGTAGTTAATTCATTTTTTCTGCTTTGGTTGACTCATTTTGCATTGTATAAATATACCACAATTTGTTTATCCATTTTCCTTTTAATGGACATCATGTTGCTTTTAGTTTTTGGCTATTGTGAATAAAGCTGCAAAGAACAATCTTGTACAAGTTACTTGGTGGACATATGTTTTCATTTCTTTTGGGTGAACACCAAGGAGAGGAATTGCAAGATCGTAAGTAACATTTGGCATTTTTAGGCTTTTTAATTTTAACCATTCTAGTGGGTGTATAGTGGTATCTCATTGTAGCTTTAACTTTTATTTTCCTGATTACTCACATGTTGAGCATTCTTATATCTTCTTTTGTGAAATGTCTGTCCAAATCTTTTGCCCATTTTTATTGGGTTATTTGTTTTGTTTAAAAACTACTTAATTGCAAGAATTCTTTATATTGCCCAAATACATATCGTTTGTGAAACATATGTATTTTTAGTGTTCTATTTTTTTTTTTTGAGACGGAGTCTTGCTCTGTTGCCCAGGCTGGAGTGCAGTGGTGCGATCTTGGCTCACTGCAAGCTCCGCCTCCCGGGTTCATGCCATTCTCCTGCCTCAGCCTCCTGAGTAGCTGGGACTATAGGCGCCTGCCATCACGCCCGGCTACTTTTTTTTTTTTTGTATTTTTAGTAGAGACGGGGTTTCACCGTGTTAGCCAGGATGGTCCGGATCTCCTGACCTCGTGATCCTCGCGCCTCGGCCTAGTATTCTATTTTATATCGTTCCTTGACTTTTTATTTTTACCCTTTGCTTTATTCTTCAGTAGTTGATCCTAGGGATCCATCTATCTATCTATCTATCTATCTATCTATCTATCTATCTATCTATGTATCTATCCATCCATCCATCCATCCATCTGATATGGTTTGGCTGTGTCCTTACCGAAATGTCATCTTGAATTGTAATCCCCATAATCCCTATGTGTCTAGGGAGAGATCTGGTGGGGGTTGATTGGATCATGGGGGTAGTTTCCCCATGCTGTTCTCATGATAGTGAATGAGTTCTCACGAGATCTGATGGTTTTATAAAGGGCTCTTCCTTCTTCGCTCATCACTATTCTCTCTCCTGCCGCCCTGTGAAGAAGGTCCTTGCTTCTGCTTTGCCTTCTCACATGATCGTAAGTTTCCTGAGGTCTCTCCAGCCATGTGCAACTATGAGTTAATCAAACCTCTTTCCTTCGTATATTACCCAGTCTCAGGATATTTCTTTATAGCAGTGTGAAAACAGACTAATACACTATTTATCTGTATTAATTTGTTCTCACACTGCTATAAAGAAATACCTGAGCCTGGGTAATTTATAAAGAGGTTTAATTGGCCCCCAGTTCTGCAGGGTGTATAGGAAGCAAGGCAGTGTCTGCTTCTGGGGAGGCTTCAGGGAGCTTTGACTCATGGCAGAAGGCAAAGCAGGAGCAGGTGTATTACATGGCAGGAGAAGGACCAAGGTGGGGGGTGCCACACACTTGTAAACAACCAGATCTCACGAGAACTCACTATCATAAGAACATTGCCAAGGGGTATGGTGTTAAACTATTCATGAGAAACTGCCTCCATGATCCAATCATCTCCCACCAGGCCCTACCTCCAACATTGGGGATTACAATTCAACATGAGAATTGGGTAGGGACACAGATCCAAACTATATCACTGTCTATATATCTCTTAGTATAGTATGTCTTGAACTTTATGTGTAATGTAAGAGGCTTACAACAGTATAATACCATTTGCCTTCCCAGTCTTTTTTGCTATTACTGTCGTATAATTTGCTGCTATATAGATTACAAACCCCTAATTACAAGGCTTTTATTTTAACTTTAAATCTGTTTTTTCAAAGATATTAGGAAAAAATAGTATTACGTATTTATCTACTTCTTTACCATTTCAGGTACTTTTTAAGCTTTCCTGTAGAACTAAGTTATCAAGTTTCAGACTAGTATGATTTCAGCATGAAAACCTGTTTTTTTTTTTTTTTTTTTAGCATTTCTCACAACGTAGGTCTACTGGCAAAGGATTCTTCTCAGCTTTAGTTGATATGAATATGTCTTCATTTCATCTTTGCTTTGAAGGATATTATTACTAGATATATGTTCTTTTTCTGGATATAGAGAACTCTAGGTTGACAGACCTTGTGTGTGTGTGTTTTGAAATGAGGCTGCACTGTTTTCCTGAAAATCAGCCATTTTTTTTTATTATTGTACTTCTACATATTGTTTATTTGTCTGTTTTTAGGATATTCTTTCTTTTCAGAATGTGTTGTTATGTGCTTACAATGTGTGGCCGTTATTCCCACAGACTTTTGATTTTTTTTTCCTATCACTTTCTTCTGAGACCGAGTACAGAGTCCAATGACAGCTTGCTGTTTTCTCATAGGCCTCTAGTGCTCTGCTCAGTATTTTCTTCAGTCATTTTTTTTTTTGCTTCATTTTGGATTGTTTCTTCCTGTGCTAAATTCAACATTAGGGCCTGCTCCAAGACAGTTTCTGTTGACTGATATTTTTCCTGAATATAGGTCATACCATCTTATTTCTTTGCCTATCTCATGATATTTTGTTGAAAACCAGTCATTTTAGCAAATAGATGATGTCAAAATTCTGGATTCTTACTTTCCCCCCAAAGGTTGTTGTCATTTTGTTGTTGCTGCTGCTCTTGCTGTTTTAGTAAGTTGCCTAGACTTATTCTGCAGAACTTGTTTCCCCACTGATGTCAGGCAGCTATTTTTTTCTTTTTTTTTTTTAATTCTTATTTTCATTTTACTAGCCTGGGTTCCCACGGGATTCCCCTGCATCTTGTAGTTTAGTGGTCACCCAAAGACTGGTCAGATGTTGTGCTCAAACACCTCAAGCCAGCAGAGCTTCCACCTTCTGCTGATGTGGTAACAGGAGCATGTTCCAAGTTCAGACAGTTTTCAAGTCTTCCCTGGGTTTTACTTTCAACTGGGCCCTTCTGGGTGTCCCATGAGCATGTGTGTAGCATCCCATCCCCGTCTGCCTGGGGTCTTATCTAGGCTTTCTGCAGTGCTCTCATTTCTAGGATCTCTTTGCTAAATGTCTGGCTAGTCTGCCAGCCTGAAATGCCCCCGATCTGTGAGAGCAACCTCAGACTATGAGGCATGTGTGTTACTAGCCTTATTATTTTACTGACAGTCCCACTAGACACGAGTGAGCCCTGCTAGGAGTGAAGCTGCTGGTTTTCATGACCAGCCCTGCCCTGGTAGAACTACCAAGACCCTTGAGCTGGAGAGATGATGGGAGCAGCCCCAGGCAAGAATACCATGGAGGCCCAAAGTCTATCTGTCTTTTATTTAATGGGTAAATCCTTCTCAGTTGGTTTGTTTGCTTATTTTCTTGTCTTTGCTTAGTTTTCAAAGGCCTAAAATTGTTATTTTTGACAATGTTATCCAATTTTACAGTCATTTCTTGGGGAGATTTACTGATTATCATGGTGAGAAATCTTTCTCTGACAGATATATTTTGACAAAGGAGAGGCAGAAAAAGACAAAGGCTATGATAGCATGAGAAAGCTACTAGGAACAGTTTTCCCTGTGATTTGTAAACCTGTAACTAAACCTCCAGGCTTTTGGTTCAAGGAGCTGTAAGGATTAAACATCCCCGAATACAGTTATTTTAACCAAATGACTCGACGATGAAACAGGTTTAATAATATGCATAATTATTGTGTCATGGGAATTAAATACTAGGATAAAGAATTTACAGAAAATATATCATATTTTATACATATTTATATGTATCTTTTTGTAATACACATGATATATACTACAAAAATTATAATTACTACCATATCTAGCTCAGAAAATCTTTAGATTTTTTTAAAATTATGAGAATGATTAAGGATCCTAGAAGACTATCAATATCAGCATTTTTCCTTGATGCTTCACTTAATGGAAATTGGTGCCATCCTAAATTAAATGTTAAATAGTAAGTGTTGTATTCCTTGCTCTTTGTTTCTGTCAGATATTAGGGACAGAGACAAGTTATCAGCCCCTCCATCTCTGCTCCAACTCTCTGAAACCTTTATGAGGACCTCATGTTCCCTTAACTGGAGGCAAAGCCCTTTCCTTCCAGCAGCAGCGAGGAGAGGCGGTGAACACGCAGGGTGATGGCCTCTCAACCCCCTGCCATGTGGCTGGCTCACAGCCTTCTCAGCTTGCATGTGAAAAAGGAGTTTATGGGCCACCTGATGGCCCTGGCTCTGAAGAGATGGAAGAAACAAGGGGTCTTCTAAGCGTCAGGAAGCTGATGCTGTCTGTTGAGAGGCTTCTCTGACATCACTCCCTCACCTTCTACCACCCTGCTCACCTGCCTCCAGGCTCTAGCAACTGGGCTACTTGCCGCGGGCCTCTAGGCCAGCATGGAAATCCCCACAGCAGAGGGAAATCCCAGCAGAGGCCTAGGGTCCCCAAGGATAGCATGCAGGCCTGGAGGGGCTGGGGAGAGGGGCAGGAGGGCCAGCTGCTTCCCACTGCTGCCTCAGGAAAATGAGGCAGAACTAGACTATCCTAAAGACCTTACTGATTTTCACTGAACTTCTGTTCAGCTTTTGTTGGCCCTTATCTTCTGGTCTCCTGTAAGATTTTTTTCTGGGCATCAAGGATTGGACTAACCAAGCTTCACCTTTTGTTTTTGTTACTTGTGTGTTTCGTCTCTTTTCCTCAAATATCAGGTTAGGGTGTGTGGCGGTGACATTACTTCTTCAGCTATTTATCTTTCTATAATATTTCCATAGTCCTCTCCCTATTTCTCTGCAGTTTCAGCCTTTTTTGTTTGTTGTTTGTTTTTGAGACAGGGTCTCATTCTGTCACCCAAACTGGAGTACAGTGGCACGATCATAGCTCACTGCAACCTTTGCCTCTGGAGGTTCAAGCCATTCTCCCACCTTAGCCTCCTGAGTAGCTGGGACTACAGGTGCATATCACCATGCCTGGCTAATTTTTGTATTTTTAATAGAGATGAAGTTTCACCATGTAGCCTAGGCTGGTCTTGAACCCCTGGGTTCAAGCGATCTGCCTGACTCAGCCTCCCAACGTGGTAAGATTACAGGCATGAGCCACTGCATCTGGCCTCTGCAGGTTCAGCTTTTAATATTTTGCACGAGTTCATCAGGTCAAATTTTAGTTGTGTTCCAAATAGAATACAAAACATTCTGGTAATTGACGAGTACAGTGTTTCTCAATCATAGCTGCTTATTAGAATCACTAGGTGGACGAGGCTATTTGAAAATCCTGGTACCCAGGCTGTACACTCTGGTCCAGTGAGACCAGAATCTCTGGTTGTGCAATCCAGGTAGTCTGTACTAAGAAACAGTGCTCTCATGGCAAGTAATACCTTTATGTGGCACACTAATATTTGTCTTTGCTGTTTTATCTTAAACCAACATTTACCACATCCTCAAAGGATACATTAGAATATTAATTGGCAAAGAGTATAGCCATGCAGAAACTGAATTATATCATGGTCTCCATTGCAGTCTGTAAATACTTCTGAGGTCGTGTTGGCAGAATGCCTTTCAGTGTCCTTGTATTTGCTAGCTGCTTTGGTGGCTGACAGCCTAAAAGAGACTTGCCTCAGGAGAGCAAATAAGAAAAAACAAATAAAACTGTAGATATGGATGTCGTCACATTTCAAAGACTGCTGGCCCATTATGTAAAATGCAATGACACATTATTACAAATATTTACCTTAATTTTTCCCCCCTGTAGTCTTTGTTCTCATTTAAACACTGAATGGCCATTGACTTCTTTTGAAAAAGAAAAAGAAAAATGGTAAGTCTTTCACTACCTTTCTCTTCAGACTTGACTTAGATTTCCTAGTCCCGCTGTTTGAGATGACTTGATTGCCTCTGTTTCAAGCTCTGTGGTTCATTTCTTCAGCCTCTAAGCTGTTTCAGCTTCCTTTAGGCCATGGATAGAAAGCTGGTGAAAATCGGCAAATATTTTGCATAAATAGTTGTTGGACCCCAAACCTCCACAAACCAACTTTTGAGTTTTTTTCTTTTTAAGGAGAAATGGGTAGAGAAGTGAGAACCAGTTTTATGGATCTGGTGCCTAGCAAGGTGCCTGGCAGGCAGTCTGAGAGCCCCAGATATTTGTTGAGAACCTGAAACACAGTGCTCGATGGAGTTCTCCTCTATTTCTAATCGCGGATGGTATTCGGGGGTTAGCAAGCAGAAAGAATTTCCCGGCATGAGAGAGGTAAAAGGGAAGAATGTCTCATCCAGAATTTTGGCAATTCCATTTTAGAATTTTCTTTTAATTGGAGGGGCATATTGTTTGTTTGCTTTTTAAAGAAAAGAATCACAGTTATTTTAGGATGTGTGATCCTGGAAGATATTATATTCAGATCTATTTAAAAGAAAAACATTTAACTTTTTTCCAAGACTCAGTCCCTGCTCTAAGTTTTCTCATAGTGCGTAAGTTTGTCAGGCATGTTTCTATATTCATTGGAAAGAATAAATGACAGTTGGAAATAGAAGGATTGGGGCAGCTGCAAATGACAGGCAGGCTGCACACTGGAAATGCCATGGGGTAGAATTCCTGAGACTGCAGTACAAGCAGTATTCCCTAGACCTGTGAACTTCAGTGGTCCTGAGAAGGAGACTGGACCTTCTTCATGCCAGTAATGACAGTGAAGAATCACAGTTGTCATTTCCACCTCTGCTTACAATATTCGGTTGACTAGTGTTTAAGGGTATTCAGTAATTGTATTCTCAGATCTGGTCCATGCATTGCTACCTTAGTCCACTTTAGGGGTAATAGCATAGGCATAGGAAGAACATCTACTGACCTGGTAGAAAAGATGCTCTGATAACATATGCATCGTTTATTTGGACAATAATAACATTCCAAGGAGCAAAGGTCAGACTGTGCCTTTCATCATTTTCTCAGACAGTCTTCTTTTAGCCACAGCACCTCAGCTGGGGCAACCATGAAGTACAGCTAATTTTCCAGTAGAGGACAGAACTGTGGTTTGCTATGTAGAATAATCTCAGCCTGCTATAATTAATATTATTTTTCTCCCTGTTCTTCCTGTCATTCCCATCATGATATAATAGCTCACTACTACCCAAGAGTCACAGAAAACTAGATAACTAGATGGAATTGTTTGGCCTGGTCCTCTGGATAAACATCTCTTGCCATTGTCACACTGAGGGTCCCCTCTTAGCCCAGTCACCTGGTTTCTCCATATGATTCTGGAATCTGGTTGTCTGTTGGACTCTCATAGAAGTTCCTCTGGAGGAAAGACCGTCCACTCAGTCTACAGCCAAGCCAGGATAGGATAGGTATGAAGAGTGCTGGGTTTTCAGGAAGCAGGAGAAAGATCACCAGGCTGAGGGGCTTCCCCAGGTCCTTTCTGAAAACAGATTTGCTAGATCCTCATGACAGTTCAAACTGAGTGTTTAAGGACTTGTACTCATATACTGAATATTATGTCTCTATAATCAGGGGAGTGGACAAGGTATAGAACATAATGTCAGACATAAGTCTCCCCATTCTGGGAATTTATAGCCTGCTGAAAAAATTTCCATGAAATTATTAAACACCAGTGTCTTGGAGGATGTCCCCAGTGTATTTGGAATGACCAGGAAGATGCTGTGGAGGAAGCAGGATTTGAATTGGGCCTTGAAACCTGAACAGACTGTGCCTGGGTGGAGGGACGGGAAGAACTAACTGCATAGTAGTAGACTGCAATAGCTTGGACCAAACCTGAGGTTCAGAGCTCATGCTGGGAAAGTGGACCCACTATAGTGACTTGTACACATTTGTCCAGGGAGATAACGACTGTGCCTAGAGGACTGGCAAGGCTTTGGTCTTTCACTAGAATATGTCCTCGGACCCACTGTAAACCCATTCCAGCATGTTTTGCTAAGGGCAGGATGTCCTGGAGCATGTACAGCAACAGACAGAATGACAGAACAGGACATAGGGAGCTATCTATTACCACTCATACTAACAGCATCTTGCTTGCCATTTGGCTTGACTTAATTTCTTTTGAGCTCTGTGCCTATCTGTGGGTTGGAGACAATTTGTGTTGTTGCTCCTTTGTGGAGCTTCTCCTCCCCCCGAGGAAGAAAGCATCATTTATATCCAGGACAGCTCTCCAGATTATTCTGGAGACAGCTCAAAAAACCTGTCTCCTCAGGGAGAATGCCTGACAAGGTCCTCTTCAGGGAAGGGCTTCTCAAATTTTACCATGCATAGGACACACCTGGAGGTCTTGTTAAAAAGGTCTTAACTCATTAGGACTGAGATGTCACCCAACATCCTGCCTTTCTAATAGGCCCTCTGGTGATGCTGATGGTCCAAGGATGACACTTAGTAGTGAGGCTTGCGGCACTGTACAGATGCTTATGGCAACAGGGTGGCTCAGGAAGGTTGAGCGTGGGAAGGAGCAGGATAGAGCAGAAATACTTTTCATATGAGACTATAGCCGCCCAGGCTCCCACATAGACTTTACAATGAGTCATGGGCACTATCCACCCAGACTCACACTTCCCATTAGAAAGTGCTCCCCGAGGATGTGCCTACGCTGAAGTCTCAAGAAGATCATGCCTTTCCCATAAGAAGCCCGGGGAAGAAGCTTATGACTTTCCAGCAGGGAAAGGCAGCGGCAAGCTGAATGCTCAGGTGGTTTTGCCTTTTCTCCCCATCAATGGCAAGTTGGAAGGTGGAGCTGGTGGCTTGTTCCACTCTGTTCAGCTCAGCTGGTGTTTATTGCCTATCTGCTCTGGGCCCAACACTGCTAAGTATATGGATCTCTGGTGAAGGGTGAAAAGTGGTCTCTGCTGTCCAGGGGCTTACTGTATGATTGGGACAAATAAACTGAACACTTACAAGCAATGAAAGAAAAACATGAGAGAGTAGGGATATAATTATGTGCTAAATTGAATATAATCAAGTGCCAAACCCATGACAGAAGCAGTAAGTGCTGTGAAAAGTCAGGGAGGGTTTGAATGTTGGCTTAGCTCCCTGAATCCAGAGTTACAGTTTCTAAATTGAGGGTTCTATTGTTTGACTTGCATTGGGTTTTAAAGATCTTGTGGATAGAGAATTGGGAGCTACTGGGTGGGGTGGGGAGAAAAAGCAGAGTCCAGCACAGAAACACAAGCCACTTGTTTTAGGTACTAAGAGCCCCACAGTGAATGCAAATCATACCCCCACCCACCACCCCAGACCTCCCCATCTCTCCAGTGAATGAAACATTTCTTTAAATGAAACCACCACTAGATAATGATATCAATGCTACACTGTGCTGGGTTTGACTGGACACTCTCATAGCTTGTAGGGGATTCAGCCTAAAGTGAGTTCTTTCCATAGAAGGTGAATAATAATGAGGCTTAAAGGGAAAGGCCATCTCAGGATCTCAGGGCAGATACTTTTTAGTTTGTGGATGAGACAGACAAAAGAAGAAGGGGCTGGGAAGGGCCCTCGAAGGCAGAGAGGGAATTCTTATCTTTCATTTTGTCCATGAAAGCCCTGTGGAAGAACAATGCCATTCAGCACTTATACAGCACTGTAAACTCTTTCGTAAACATCAGGCGGCAAAGTCACATGCTCCTCCTGGACAATGAATGTACATTGGTCTCCTCCTGTTTCTGAGAATGATGATGGGCACACTAGCAGGAAACACTGGTGCATCCCTTGCCCTGCCCAACTGGGAGTACAGGCTAATCTCAGCATGGCCAAATCTATCAGGCAGCTCAGCTGTCTCATGTGTGAACCAAGCACCAGTCCTCCACAGCCCCCAGCGGAAGAAACATATATGAAATTTTCTAATGTTTCCCATGGGAAATCCCTCTCCCAACTAGGATTGAAGGAAAGGGTGGCACCTCACCTCCTTCCTGCTGGTGGGATCAGGATACTCACTCTCAGCTCCCTTCAAAGAGGTCCTCATATACCCTCTTCTTTTGCACCGTGACTGAATATCCTTTTCTGGACTAGTGGCCCTGAAATCATGGGACCCCTTGTTGAACAGCTCCTTTGTGGAGTATGTTTCATGCTCATGTTGGTATCTGAGACTGATTGTGGGGTTGCCTCAGGCTAGACAGAGGCAGGAGGAGTGCTCCTGAAGCATTGGCTCACACCAGCAGCTGTTTTCCATAGATGGAAAAACGCTGATAGGAAACTGCCAAAATCCACCTGCAGGCTGTGCTTGAAAGAAATCCTTTGCATTTGCTGATCTCACTTTTTCTATCAGTAGCATGTGGAGCCCCAGCAGTCCCCAGGTGGGATTCCTGGGCCAATTTTAGCCCACACAGGCATTTTCTTTAGCTGGCCTTGTGGCTTGTAAAAATCTGAATTACTTCTTCACATTTTTAAATGACTGTAGTTCCCTGTAAAAATCTGGGTTTCTGGTTTCTCTTGAAAAACTGTGAGGGATCTGGCAACCCAGGCCATGCTCCTGCTTGGGCCAGTTGATCTGAAACAGAGGTACCCCTGCACGCTGCTTGTTCCTGCACCCATGTGCTCTCCCAGCCCAGCCTCTGTGAGCATTTGGCTCTTTGACCTTGAAGAGTCACAAGAACAGCCTGCATTTACTTCATCTTGATTTGATGGATGATGTTCCTCAGGTAGGCAAGGAGTCAAGGTAGGGTGGGGCAGGGGTAATTTGGGAAAAGTAGAATCCTGATTTTAGGATAGCTTAGAAATGATCTAAAGGCAGATAAATAATGTATGTGCTTCTCAGATCATCTGTGGAGAAGGAGCAGTTTGTTAGTTGCTTTCCAATCCATCCCAGATCTGTGCTTTTGTAAAATGCAATATGCACTAATTCCTACAAAAAAGGGATAGAAGACATATGACATAGAAGGCAGATTTTATTATTAGATTTTATAGACACAAAATTCATTTTAACAAACATGATCAGAATAAGCATAGGAAAAAGAAAATATTTAAAAACATGGTGCATTTGATGTATACAAATATAATGTAACTATAGAGGATCACTTTCGTACTAATAGCCCTTTTTCTCTCTGCAATTATAAACTAAGGAAACTATGAGTAAAATAGGAATATATCATGTTAAATACCCATAGACATACTTTTAATGAACACAATGTATATCAATATTTAAGGTTCTTTTTTTAAAATTATACTTTAAGTTCTAGGGTACATGTGCACAATGTGCAGGTTTGTTACCTATGTATACATGTGCCATGTTGGTGTGCTGTACCCATTAACTCGTCATTGGCATTAGGTATATCTCCTAATGCTATCCCTCCCCCTTCCCCTCACCCAGTGACAGGCCCCGGTGTGTCATGTTCCCCTTCCTGTGTCCAGGTGTTCTCGTTGTTCATTTCCCACCTATGAGTGAGAACATGCGGCGTTTGGTTTTTTGTCCTTGCGATAGTTTGCTGAGAATGATGGTTTCCAGCTTCATCCATGTCCCTACAAAGCACGTGAACTCATCATTTTTTATGACTGCATAGTATTCCATGGTGTATATGTGCCACATTTTCTTAATCCAGTCTATCACTGATGGACATTTGGGTTGGTTCCAAGTCTTTGCTATTGTGAATAGTGGCGCAATAAACATACGTGTGCATGTGTCTTTATAGCAGTATGATTTATAATCCTTTGGGTATATACCCAGTAATGGGATGGTTGGGTCAAATGGTATTTCTAGTTCTAGATCTTCGAGGAATCGCCACACTGTCTACCACAATGGTTGAACCAATGCAATGTATAAGCATGCTTCTCGCTTGTCGGTTGTTGTAGCATAGCTGGAGTGGCAATGACACCACTCATTTCCTGTTTCTGTTTCGTTCAGTAACATTTAGAGTAGCTTGAGTACAGTCTCACAGAGTTACCTTGATATGAAAGAGAATAAATACCAAAGTAACTTCAGTAAACTCAGGATATTCATTTTTAACTTTTTGTAGAAATGAAGCAAGTGATTCAGTATTTGCAAAACTCACCTTTGATCCTTCACCAGTAGCATATTTGAACAATTTATCCTTTAAAGTTAAAATTAACTTTACTTTTAATGAAAGAAAGGGATTTTGGATTTATGAATTTCCTATTTGTAAAATATTCTTATGATGAAAAGTTAAATTTAAAACTTTCTACAAAATTTCTAAGGTATAGGGCAATATCCTGGCAGATGTAAAATATTCTTATGATGGAAAGTTGCATTTAAAACTTTCTACAGAATTTCTAAGATATAGGGCAATATCCTGGCAGATGTAAAATATTCTTATAATGGAAAGTTAAATTTAAAACTGTTTACAAAATTTCTAAGGTATAGGGAAATATCCTGGCAGGTATATAATTTCAAGATCATCACCTACTTCATTATTATTTATTATTAACTTACGGGACTTTCAGCACTCTTTAGAAACTCTGTTTGTCCAGGCTTCTAGCTTTTTGCACTTTAATCTTATCTGCCATTGAAAACATGTCACATTCTTTATTTGCATGGAAGTATTAAGATCTTTAAAAAAGATCAACGTTACCAAAGAAATAAGCATGACAGACTGTCTAATTCATATCTTTGGAATGTTGGGGCTTGTTTCTTATCTTGTCTGGAACACAATAGGGTTGTTGAATAGTTCATATATTACTGATAAAACCTTTCTCCTTGATAACTCATATCCCAGTAGTTGTGTATAAGCAGCTTCCATATCATTACAAATAAAAAGAGTAATATCAAATTTAGTGCATTAGCTTGTAGGTAATTTACAATTGCACTAAATACACCTTTTAGTCCTGCTAACATTTTTGTTTTGTAACAAGACTTTCTTGATAAGGAAGCAATTCATTGATTTATATTGTGGTGTAGCAATTCCAGAATGCTTTTCTGCTATTGTAGCTATGCCATCTGAACATAATCCCAAAATTTAAACTCTAGGTCACATTCGTTGATTATTCCATCATGGTTCTATGTAATTTAGACCTGGTTGTGTTGTTGGAAATGAAACTTAGAAAACAAATTCTTTATGTTACTGTCATGTTCAGTTTGCACATATGTTAAAGGGATTGACATTTTAGCAATACTTATGCACCTGTCTAGTTGCCATGAAAATTACATTGTTAGCTGTATTTTTAAAAACTATTTGCTTGTTATTATTGGCCTGCATAACATTGTGCTATGGTGTCACTGGAAAATGGCAGTTGTGCTACCTTGCCTCGTGAGATTCTTTTAGTGTTTCCAATCCAGCATCTTTGATTCAGTCCTTTATTAATATTTCAACAAATGTATGTGGGTCTTTAGATTTAGCAATTCAAAGTGTTCTTTTGTAGGAAGCCCACTAAGCACATTTGTTTCTGGTGGCGTTTTAATGCAATACTCTTTATTTTCTAAATGATTCTTTTGGTTTTGAATTACTTTTATAATTTGGAGGTCAACATGCCTTAGGTTTTAATGTTTTCATTGATTCATTAGTAAATGCATCTCTTCAAATAACACACTGTTATTTTAGCACGTAAGTACCAAATATGGCTACAAAACTGCATTCAGTGCATGAAAGATCATACTTCTTAGGTACTAAGAGCCCCACAATGAATGCAAATCATACCCCCACCCACCACCCCAGACCTCCCCATCCCTCCAGTGAATGAAACATTTCTTTAAATGGAAGCACCACTAGATAATGATAACATTGCTACGCTATGCTGGGATTGACTGGACACCCTTATAGCTTGAAGGGATTCAGCCTAGAGTGAGTTCTTTGTGGGGCTTTTAGTACCTAAGTAAAACTAGTACAGCTTCATAGTTTCCATTTTTTTAGAATCTTGTCTATTGTTATCGTTTAATTAACAAGAACAATCAGTATAGGCCGGTCTTTTCTTAACAAAATAGTTTAGTGAAGCTTGTTTTCTATCTGTAAGTTGGGATTACCATTAATAATATGAATTTCAGTTCTCTAATATAGCTAATGACAATAAAAGTAGATTTCAGACAGACTTGATTAAAATTAAAATTAGTGTAAGCAAAAAGTTACATATCTCATATACATTTATACTTTTTCTGATTTTTAAACACTTTTGGGTAACAGCTGACAAAAGTATCCTTAAAAGTCACACTTCATGCAATCCTATTGTACATGACTAGTAGGCAGCTTGCATTACATGTGACTCACTAGGAAAGGGTGACAACTCACGCTGTTTCAGCGATAAGTGTGAAATTGCTATAAAAGCATCTAAACGCTTACTGTCAAATTTCATAATTATCTTGTCACAGACCCACAACAAATAGCTTGTGGATTGTCACTGGTCCATGAATGACATTTTGCATAGCACTAAAATAAATTCCTCCCCAAAGGCCCTTATGAAACCATTATAAATTATCTAATATCTCCTGAGAGATGCTGGACTGATAAACTGCTCTCTCAGACGCTAAGATTACGGATTAGATTTGGCCATGATTGTCAAAATAAAGCAAAATAATGCCATTTACACAAGAGAGCAGTTCTTTTCTCACATGAAAGGAGTCTGAATTGGAGGTGGGAAAGGTAGTCAGTGATTCTTTGCATCAGGGATCCAGGGTTCTTCTGTCTTGTTGTTTCACTGGACATGGCTTTCTTACTCAAAGAACTTCATCATCCAAAATGGCTACAGGAACTCCAGCCATCAGATCCACATTCCAGCTAGCTGGAAGGAGGCAGGTGGGTTGGTAAAGCAACTCCTCTTTTTAAGGAACTTCTTGGAAGTTGCATTCACTGTTATGCGTACGTTTCATTGGCAGAAGCTTTAGTTGCTAAGCCATACCAAATTATAAGAGATGCATTCAGTTGTCTATTTGTCTATTGTTACCATTTAGTTAACAGATGCATTCAATTTAAAATATTATAATCAACTTGCTTTTTTTTTGCATAAGAACATACTTTTTATGTGAAGGTTTCCAGTCCAGGTGCTAGACTGGAAAGTTTTCCAGACAAAAGCATGAATAACTTTGGAAAATGGCTGTTAGGAACACTCATGACCTAGGCTGAAAACCTTCAAGGGGAGACTGCCTATGCGAGGTGCCAGGGATATGGCAGTGGACAAGGCAAGGGCTGTCATCGAAGAGGTTGCAGTCTAGTAGAGGGGTCACAGGCAAACAGGGAATGGCAACATGGTAGGAAATGGGCTTTGAAGGATACTGCTGGAGTGATTTCACAGGAAAATACAAGATTTCAAATTGGAATCAGATGCAGGCCATTCTTTTGAAAGTGATATGTCCTGCGGAAGTCCTGCTGATTAGCTAAAAATATATTTGAAGACAGACAGATTGACATTATATTTGTTAACATAAAACTGCCAGTTTGTTTCCCTAAATGCAGGTCAAGCCTAGGTAGGAACACCCATGATTAGAGAAATCCCAGGTCTTAGATATCCTAGAAAGAAGGCTCTCTGTAGCAGCACATTATTAACAGGAGTTTATATCCCTCCACATAAGAAAACATAAACTAGGAAAAGGGGCTTTTTGTTCTTTAATCATAGATGAATGTGGTTTTATCAGTAGAAGTTATTCACCTATTAAAAAATGTCCACTTGTTCAGATTAATAAATTAGAATCAAGGGACTTCTAAAATGCTTGCACGTTGGTAAATATGTGAGTATAGACATAGATATGTAGATATTTTGTCAATTATATATGTATATATATACACATACATATATGTATATATACACACACACATATGTATATATATACACACACATGTGTGTGTATGTGTGTGTGTGTATATATGTATATATGTATATATACATATATATATATACTTAAATTCTAGGGTACATGTGCACAACGTTCAGGTTTGTTACATAGGTATACATGTGCCATGTTGGTTTGCTGCACCCATCAACTTGTCATTTACATTAGGTATTTGTCCTGATGCTATCCCTCCCCAAGTCCCCCAACTCCCGACAGGTCCCAGTGTGTGATGTTCCCCGCCCTGTGTCCAAGTGTTCTCATTTTTTAAATTCCCACCAATGAGTGAGAACATGAGGTGTGTGGTTTTCTGTCCTTGTGATAGTTTGCCAAGAATGATGGTTTCCAGCTTCATCTATGTCCCTGCAAAGGACACCAACTCATCCTTTTTTATGGCTGCATAGTATTCCATGGTGTATATGTGCCACATTTTCTTAATCCATTCTGTCATTGATGGGTATTTGGGTTGGTTCCATTTCTTTGCTATTGTGAATACTGCTGCAGTAAACATACGTGTGCATGTGTCTTTATAGCAGCATGATTTAAAATCCTTTAGGTATATACCCAGTAATGGGATGGCTGGGTCAAATGGTATTTCTAGTTCTGGATCCTTGAGAAATCACCACACTGTCTTCCACAATGGTTGAACTGATTTACACTCCCACCAACAGTGTAAAAGCGTTCCTATTTCTCCACATCCTCTCCAGCATCTGTGGTTTCCTGACTAATGATCGCCATTCTAACTGGCACGAGATGGTATCTCATTGTGGTTTTGATTTGCATTTCTCTGATGACAGTGATGATGAGCATTTTTTCATGTGTCTGTTGGCTGCATAAATGTCTTCTTTTGAGAAATGTCTGTCATATCCTTTGCCCACTTTTTGATGGGGTTGTAAATCTGTTTAAGTTCTTTGTAGATTCTGGATATTAGCCCTTTGTCAGATGGGTAGTTTGCAAAAATGTTCTCCCATTCTGTAGGTTGCCTGTTCATTCTGATGATAGTTTCTTTTGCCGTGCAGAAGGTCTTTAGTTTAATTAGATCCCATTTGTCAATTTTGGCTTTTGTTGCATTGCTTTTGGTGTTTTAGACATGAAGTCCTTGCCCATGCCTATGTCCTGAATGGTATTGCCTAGGTTGTCTTCTAAGGTTTTTATGGTTTTAGGTCTAACATTTAAGTCTTTAATCCATCTTGAATTAATTTTTGTATAAGGTATAAGGAAGGGATGCAGTTTCAGCTTTCTACATATGGCTAGCCAGTTTTCCCAGCATCATTTATTAAATAGGGAATCCTTTCCCTATTGCTTGTTTTTGGGAGGTTTGTCAAAGATCACATGGTTGTAGTTGTGTGGTGTTATTTCTGAGGCCTCTGTTCTGTTCCATTGGTCTATATATCTGTTTTGGTACCAGTACCATGCTGTTTGTTTTGGTTACTGTATCCTTGTAGTATAGTTTGAAGTCAGGTAACATGAAGCCTCCAGCTTTGTTATTTTTGCTTAGGATTGTCTTGGCAATGCAGGCTGTTTATTGGTTCCATATGAACTTTAAAGTAGTTTCTTCTAATTCTGTGAAGAAAGTCATTGCTAGCTTGATGGGGATGGCACTGAATCTATGAATTACCTTGGGCAGTATGGCCATTTTCACAACATTGATTCTTTCTATCCAAGAGCATGGAATGTTCTTCCATTTGTTTGTGTCCTCTTTTATTTCGTTGAGCAGTGGTTTGTAGTTCTCCTTGAAGATGTCCTTCACATCCCTTGTAACTTGGATTCCTAGGTATTTTATTCTCTTTGTAGCAGTTGTGAGTGGGAGTTCACTCATGATTTGGCTCTCTGTCTGTTATTGGTGTATAAGAATGCTTGTGATTTTTGCACATTGATTTTGTATCCTGAGACTTTGCTGAAGTTGCTTATCAGCTTAAGGAGATTTTGGACTGAGACGATGGGGTTTTCCAAATGTATAATCATGTCATTTGCAAACAGGCACAATTTGACTTCCTCTTTTCCTAACTGAATACCCTTTATTTCTTTCTCTTGCCTGATTATCCTGGCCAGAACTTCCAACACTCTGTTGAATAGGAGTGGTGAGAGAGGGTATCCTTGTCTTGTGCTGGTTTTCCATGGGAATGCTTCCAGTTTTTGCCCATTCAGTGTGATATTCGCTGTGGGTTTGTCGTAAATAGCTCTTATTATTTTGAGATACATACTGTCAATTTTTGTTTAGACTTATTTCTTTGTGGATAAGACCTTGCTGCTGCGGTCTGTGAACCAGACATTTATAATAAATCAGAAAGCAGCTACCTTCACATATATCCAATTATTGAGTTCTCTCAAAGAGGGATTTTTTTCTAGTATTTTAAAGCTTTGTTTTTCATAGATCTTATCTTGTTTTCTTTCAGAGGTTTCATTCCATTCCCCTATTGTTAAATTCTTCCAGATTGCTATTTTTGAAATCTGCCTCAGAAGAAAGCTATTATGGAGTCTCATATTTGTGGGATTTTCTAATATTTCCTTTACATAGCCTTTCTCAATAATTTTAAATCAAATTCATTAGTTTTCCTTTGGCAGTCTCAGGGCAATTGTTTTTCACATCTCTCTTGGAACTCCTATCAGGTCAGGTGTTAAAGTTCTGCAAGGGCAGCATTGGTTTCCACTCCCCAACCCACCTCTAGATTGAAACATTTTTGAGAAAATCAGTGTCTCATTTATATTCTCTCCTTTATCATCTATTGTGAACTGGATTGTGCCCTCTCCCATTCATATTTGGGACCCTAACCCCCATTGTGACTGTATATACAGACAGCAGCTTTAAGAAGGTGATTAAGGTTAAATGAGGTTATAAGAGTAGGGCTTAATATGATAGGAATGATGTCTTTATAAGAAGAGGAAGGGGCACCAGTAAACTGTCTCTCTCTCTCTCCCCTCCCCCTTCTTCTCTCCTCTCCTTCTCTCTCTCTCTCTCTCTCTCTCTGTCTCTGCATACAAAGAGAAAAGTTCATGTGAGGACACAGAGAGGAGGCAGGTGTCTGTCAGCCTCAATATAGACACCAAATTTTCCAGTACCTTGATCTTGGACTTCTAGCATCCAGAACTGTGAAAAAATAAATTTAAGTTGTTTAAGCTACCCAGTGTGTGATATTTTATAACAATAGCCTTAGCAGCTGAATACATTATTCAGCATATAATTCCTAGTCAATAGGTATTTGCTTGTCTACTATTGACTATAACTCATTTATTATGGGGAAAAATTTGGTTTATAATTATCTTACATTCTTGTCACAAAAAGCATCTCTAAGAGCCAATTTAAATGCTTTTCCCCAACTGCTTCCCATAAACACACACACACACACAGGCACGCACACATGCACACACCAGGCATTAGCCATTTTGAGTTTAAAGAATGGCCAGTAAATTTCTTTTCATAATCATGGAAATTTCCTAATTGCACCCTTTGGATAGGAGAGACATGTTTCTCAAGAATCCTGTTCCTTGGAAGATATGTCATTCTTTTATGTTTGTTTTTGATGTCTGATTCCATAACTCTTTGCTCAGTTGTTTGTCATTGGAGGGATCCCTGCACCTGTCCACACAGGAAGGTGGAACAAAGGGGAAGGGTATATTTTAAGCAGCATGGATTCATTTATTCATTCATTTAATTATTCAGAACACTTTTATAATATCTACTCTTTTCCAATCACTGTTCTGGGAGCTATAACTACAAGGCTGAAAAGACAACATGTCCCTACTTTCAAGTTTACAATCTAGTGGTGGATGAGGCAGGCAATATACATATGAACAAACAGATAAACAAGGTAGGTGTAGATAGTGATAAGTTCTCCAGAATTCTAAGGACAGCTCTCCTCCACCTTCCAGAAACTAGTAGGGCCCACCAGGTTAGGAGCCATAGATCCTGAGGGGACCCAATAGTCTGTGAGTTGCCCCCAGGATCTTATATGTGGCTGACACATACAATTTTTCAGTTTTAATATTTTATCGTCTTGGTTAAATACCTATCTCATTTAAGTGACAAGTGCCTGGGGTGCTACTTTTAGCAAGTTTGTAAAGAGGAAATGTCAACTCATTCTATGTAGAGGAGAGATCTTTTTTTATTTTGTTTTATTTTATTTTATTTTATTTTATTTTATTTTATTTTATTTTATTTTATTATACTTTAAGTTTTAGGGTACATGTGCACAATGTGCAGGTTAGTTACATATGTATACATGTGCCATACTGGTGCGCTGCACCCACCAACTCGTCATCTAGCATTAGGTATATCTCCCAATGCTATCCCTCCCCCCTCCCACCACCCCACAACAGTCCCCAGAGTGTGATGTTCCCCTTCCTGTGTCCATGTGTTCTCATTGTTCAATTCCCACCTGTGAGTGAGAATATGCAGTGTTTGGTGTTTTGTTCTTGTGATAGTTTACTGAGAATGATGATTTCCAATTTCATCCATGTCTCTACAAAGGACATGAACTCATCATTTTTTATGGCTGCATAGTATTCCATGGTGTATATGTGCCACATTTTCTTAATCCAGTTTATCATTGTTGGACATTTCGGTTGGTTCCAAATCTTTGCTATTGTGAATAGTGCCGCAATAAACATACATGTGCATGTGTCTTTATAGCAGCATGATTTATAATCCTTTGGGTATACACCCGGTAATGGGATGGCTGGGTCAAATGGTATTTCTAGTTCTAGATCCCTGAGGAATCGCCACACTGACTTCCACAATGGTTGAACTAGTTTACAGTCCCACCAACAGTGTAAAAGTGTTCCTATTTCTCCACATCCTCTCCAACACCTGTTGTTTCCTGACTTTTTAATGATCGCCATTCTAACTGGTGTGAGATGGTATCTCATTGTGGTTTTGATTTGCATTTCTCTGATGGCCAGTGATGATGAGCATTTTTTCATGTGTTTTTTGGGTGAATAAATGTCTTCTTTTGAGAAGTGTCTGTTCATGTCCTTCACACACTTTTTGATGGGGTTGTTTGTTTTTTTCTTGTAAATTTGTTTGAGTTCATTGTCGATTCTGGATATTAGCCCTTTGTCAGATGAGTAGGTTGCGAAAATTTTCTCCCATTTTGTAGGTTGCCTATTCACTGTGATGGTAGTTTCTTTTGCTGTGCAGAAGCTCTTTAGTTTAATTAGATCCCATTTGTCAATTTTGGCTTTTGTTTGCCATTGCTTTTAGTGTTTTAGACATGAAGTCCTTGCCCATGCCTATGTCCTGAATGGTAATGCCTAGGTTTTCTTCTAGGGTTTTTATGGTTTGAGGTCTAACATTTAAGTCTTTAATCCATCTTGAATTAATTTTTGTATAAAGTGTAAGGAAGGGATCCAGTTTCAGCTTTCTACATATGGCTAGCCAGTTTTCCCAGCACCATTTATTTAAATAGGGAATCCTTTCCCCATTGCTTGTTTTTCTCAGGTTTATCAAAGATCAGATATTTGTAGATATGCGGCGTTATTTCTGAGGGCTCTGTTCTGTTCCATTGATCTATATATCTGTTTTGGTACCAGTACCAGGCTGTTTTGGTTACTGTAGCCTTGTAGTATAGTTTGAAGTCAGGTAGCGTGATGCCTCCAGCTTTGTTCTTTTGGCTTAGGATTGACTTGGCGATGCAGGCTCTTTTTTGGTTCCATAAGAACTTTAAAGTAGATTTTTCCAATTCTGTGAAGAAAGTCATTGGTAGCTTGATGGGGATGGCATTGAATCTATAAATTACGTTGGGCAGTATGGCCATTTTCACGATATTGATTCTTCCTACCCATGAGCATGGAATGTTCTTCCATTTGTTTGTATCCTCTTTTATTTCCTTGAGCAGTGGTTTGTAGTTCTCCTTGAAGAGGTCCTTTACGTCCCTTGTAAGTTGGATTCCTAGGTATTTTATTCTCTTTGAAGCAATTGTGAATGGGAGTTCACTCATGATTTTGCTCTGTGTTTGTCTGTTATTGGTGTATAAGAATGCTTGTGATTGTTGTACATTTATTTTGTATCCTGAGACTTTGCTGAAGTTGCTTATCAGCTTAAGGAGATTTTGGGCTGAGACAATGGGGTTTTCTAGATATACAATCATGTCATCTGCAAATAGGGACAATTTGACTTCCTCTTTTCCTAATTGAATACCCTTTATTTCCTTCTCCTGCCTGATTGCCCGGGCCAGAACTTCCAACACTATGCTGAATAGGAGTGGTGAGAGAGGGCATCCCTGTCGTGTGCCAGTTTTCAAAGGGAATGCTTCCAGTTTTTGCCCATTCAGTATGATATTGGCTGTGGGTTTGTCATAGATAGCTCTTATTATTTTGAGATACGTCCCATCAATACCTAATTTATCGAGAGTTTTTAGCATGAAGCGTTGTTGAATTTTGTCAAAGGCCTTTTCTGCATCTATTGAGATAATCATGTGGTTTTTGTCTTTGGTTCTGTTTATATGCTGGATTACATTTATTGATTTGCATATATTGAAGCAGCCTTGCATCCCAGGGATGAAGCCCACTTGATCATGATGGATAAGCTTTTTGATGTGCTGCTGGATTGGGTTTGCCAGTATTTTATTGAGGATTTTTGCATCAATGTTCATCAAGGATACTGGTCTAAAATTCTCTTTTTTGGTTGTGTCTCTGCTAGGCTTCGGTATCAGGATCTTCGAATAAGTTTTATTTATTTAGGAAAGGAGGTGCATGTTCTTGAACAGAAAATTCTCTGGGCAGCTAGATAGATGATTACACAATTACACAGATAATCCTCATCTTAGAACATTATTATAAATTATTTTAAAAATGAAAAATTGCTACATCTGTGGAAGGTGAGATTTTGGGGTCACATGATAGAGTAATAGATAAATTCATAGGTGGAATACCAGTGCAATAATTGGAAATATAACCTCAAGGCACCTTTTTTTTTTTTGCAGTAAGGGTATATATCTCTGTGTTTGTCATTACTTGTGAAAAATAATTAAAATTTGAACTGCTTTTAATTACACTTGGTAGACTGGTTCTCTTTTTATGCAATTTTATACTTAGAGGTAATTACATGGAGGTTTTCCTTTTAGGGTTACGTATGACTTTCCACCATTCTATGCTACTCTCTAGAAAAGAGTTCTGGACACGCAGAGTATTTTAAATTCAGGGTTTGTGGAAGATTATATTCTTATACACGACGATTGAAAGACAGACATCTCCAAATTTTCTCATTAACCACAGATCAGTTATATACCAGAAAAAAATGGTATGCCTTAAAGTTCAATTTTGTCAGTATTTTTCACTGGATTCATGAAAAAGTTAGATACTAAAAATTTTTGGTAGAATGCGTGGGGACAATAGGTTAAAGACAATCTAAGATTGTGAATTTAGTAGTTACATTTGAGTTCATTGTGTGTTTAATAATTCATTTTTAATAATTAAATGCTCAATAACTCAACTTATTGAATATAATAATAAGCTCATTGGCATCATATTGCCTTACCTTTCAAGCCTCAGCCTACTAATCGATTGTTCAGGAAGCATAATGCACATTATCCTGTCCTGATTCTATTACTCAAGAACCACACACAGAGGAGGGAAAGAGGGACAGCATTGGGATAAATAGCTAATGCATGCAGGGCTTGATACCTAGGTGAGAGGTTGATAGATGCGAAGCACCGTGGCACACGTTTACCCGTGTAACAAACTTGCACATCCTGCACATGTCCCTTGGAACTTATAAAAATAAAGAATTCAACAATTATTCACGGTTTAAGAAATATGCTTTCTTCAGTATTTGGTATTTTTTCTATTTCCCCACTCTCTGCCAAAAGTACATTCAGGCACCTCAGAAGCAACCAAGTCGCATCTTTTTTCTCTCTAAATTATCAAGGCAGAGGTCTCATTTCTCTACTTCCTTTGCCTGAGTAGAAAGGGTAACTCAGTGAAAGTGCTGTGTGTGACGTGTCTGGGAAAGCTACATGGGGGAAGCAAACACACCTGTTATGGAAACATCTGTGAGTTTTCCCAAGGAGAGCAAGAAGCACTTGTGTGTCCGCAACAGATGGTGCTCCTCCCGCTAACCGCAGAGTCATGCCCATCTGTCCATCTGTCCAATATAGTACAGTTGCACCGCCTGAATTTGCTCACTTTTGATTCCCTGATCCTGTTGGAATAGCAGGCTATGGCATTCCTGTGGGAAAATGTACTGTGTACCACAGTGGTTCGAATTATGTACTGGAATTTAGTAAGTAAAACCCTGGAATAACCAACTTTCCTCATCGTATGTCCTAATGACCCCTTTGAATCTCACATACTCTTCTTGTAAAATGGTCCAAATGGCATTCCTGGAGGGGGTCCATAGATTATATAGTGTATTAGTCTGCTGAAGTTGCCTTAACAAAATACTGAGTAGCTTAAATGACATAAATCTATTTCTCATTGTTCTGGAGGCTGGAAGTCCAACATCAGGATTCCAGCATGATCAGATTCTAGGGAGGGCCCTCTTACTGGCTCCCAGATTACTTCCTTTTACTGTGTCCTTACCTGACAGAGAGAGGCAGAGAGAGAGAGAGAATCAGTCCCTTCTTTTAATAAACCCACGAGTCCTATTGGATTAGGGTCTCACCCTAATGACAATGACCTCATTTAACCTTAATTAGGTTCAATGTTCCATCTCTAAATAAAAGCCCTATCTCCAAATACAGTTACATTGTGGGGAAGTGGTTAGGGCTTCAAATATGAATTTTGGGGAGCACAATTCAGTCCATAGCATATAGATATGTGAGGATTAAGTGATTAAAAGGTCAATTTTTTTTGAATGCCTATTTAAGAAAAGTCATTTAGGGGTTTCATTTTCTTTAACACAAATCACAAGTTTAAAATGTGACTTTAACCCAAGTCACATTTTCTTTAACTCAAAACTCTTTAAAAGTTCTTGGTCAAGTATTATCATTCATTGAATGATGTTTTCCTTGGTTTGAAAACTAGTGAAGGGTGATGGGAACTTGTGGCGAGTTAGGGAGGAGAAGGGGCGCAATCTTAGCGAGGAAGAGGGAGGAGCATAATGGGAAGAACATTTGGTGCAATATTCGCTGAGTTCTAGCTCAGATTTAATCTAAGTTTTATCAGTCAAATGGAGACCTTGATAATTACTTTTTAAAAAAAAGTTTTATTGTAATTGACAAATAATTTTGTATATTTATGGGGTACAATGTGACTTTTTGATACATGTATATACACTGTGGAATGAGCAAATCAGGCTAATTAGCATATTTATTTTCTGAAACAATTATTTCGTTGCGGTAAGAACATTAAAATTCTCTTTGTTTAGCTATTTTGAAATATATAATACATTACTATTAACTATAGACACTGTGCTGTGCAATAGAACACCAGAATTATTCCTCCTAACTGAAACTTTGTATCCGTAGAGCAATGTGGACATTTTCCCTGTCTAACTCCCCACAGCCAATTCCGGGTTTATACCCAAAGATATTTAAATCAGTATTTCAAAGGGATGTTTGAGCTCCTGTGTTCATTGCAGCATTATTCACAAGAGCCAAGATAAGGAATCAACCTAAGTGTCCGTCAGCTGATGAACAGATTTTTTAAAATGTGCTGAATATACAAAATAGGATACTATTTAGCCTTAAAAAAAAAAACAGGCAATTCTGCCATTTTCAAACAGGGATGAACCTAAGGACATTATGTTAAGTAAGATAAGTCAGGCACAGAGCGACAAATACCATATGATCTCACTTATATGTGGAATCTAAAAAGGTAGAAATTGTAGAATTAGAGAGTGGAATATTGATGACTACTTCTTAATGTGTATTTGGAGTTTGAATGACTAAATATACATAAAGCGCTTATATTTGAACATATAAGATGTTACAGATATTTTTTCTGTCCCTTGCCCCATCTTTCCTAGTATAATAAAGTTATGCTACAAGTTAGTCACTTACGAATTCCAATTTGAGGATTCAGTTTGTGACTTTTGCTGGTTCTGAGAAATCAAGAAATACTGAGCCATTGCATGAACAGTGTCACTAAGTATAAGAACCTGAGAAGTTCAACTTCAACAATTCTTAAAGTCTCCCTTGAGTAGAAGGTGAATGAACTGTCATAATTGGGCAAGAAGTGAGTTTATTCTGATTGCAACAGTAGGCAGCTATTAAGAGACGAGTGTAACTCTGGATAGAAGTTTCTATGGTTTCTGCCTTCAGCCTTGTCATGTTCAACATTCTAATCAAGACCTAGATCAAAGGAGAAGTTGATGAGCTTAGTATTCAGCTGAGAGAGATGGGCTATGTTGGCTAGAAATTAAGCAATGAGCTCAATCTAGAAGATACAAGTTCTGAAGTTGGACTCTTAGAAGCAACTGAGGCTCAAGCACTTCTGTAGGCACTACATTCTGGGTAATTTAAAAAATGTGTATACTTATTCTCACATCCTTTAAGCTCAGCTGAAATCTACTCTGCAAAGTCATGCTTGAACCCTTGCTTTGAGCTAAGTGTTCTGTCAATTCCAACATATACACCTGTAATAAAACTGCTGAAATAATGTTAAAGACTCTTTAAAGCCAGGATCTTTACCATATTAATTTTCGTACTCCCAATGTCTAGCGTAGTGCCCAGCACATAAGGAATTTCCAATAAATTATCGGCTGTTGCTAGAATAAAAATTCAAAAGTAGGCAGTGTTGAGTTGGCAACTTAATTTTCTAAAAAGTATTAATTGCCTGCCTATATGGACAATAGAAACAACAACAACAAGAATATCCTGCCAATAAATCAGGCTTTTTGGCTGGTGCCTTGTAGTGCCTTGTAAATATTAGTAAGCATGTTTCCTATTCTAAAGTAGGTTTAAAAAAAAAAAAACTTAAATTCAGTAACTTCGTTTCACCTTCTTGAAGAACCTGCATTTCCTTTACATTTATAACCATTAGAGTGAGGCATGTTAAATAATTCAAATGAGAAATCCTAGTTTCCACCTTTATGTATCTCTCGGGTTTTCCTTTGTTCACCCAGTCTCCTGCAAAAATCATCAAATGTTCAAATTTATAGTTTGTGACTTGGTCACCCTGAACCTCTTGGTGACCCGGAATGAACATGAGATGCTGTTATTTAGCACTTGGAGCTCAGTTAGATATTAGTTTTCCTATAGTGAAATACTCTGATGCCAGTGAGGAAGGAAATCAGAAACAGGAATCAGACGATTCTGGCCAATCCTCCCAATACGAGGAGAGTGTCACTGACGGAAATGGGTCTGGATACTGGGTTTCTCTCTCCTAAATCCTTTGATGCCAGTTATTAAAATGGGTTACTTCTTACAGCCATGACATTGAACACTTCAATGAAATGATGCAAGATTTGGACTCCAAAATGTCCCCTCTCTCCCCTGTCAGCAGCATGAGCCTGAGCACGGCAAGAGTCAGCCAATATAGTGCACACACGCTTTGTTGAACTCATGTTCTTCCACCCAGGAGACTGAGGTTTCTGTGCAAAGAGTAATGTCAATCCGCTGGAAATCACTGGGTTGTCTGTTTCTTTGTTTATGACTTCTCCATATAGTTGGTTCTGCTCCAACTTATTTGAAAGGGACATCTGTTGGATGATTTGATGTGATGTCTGTTCCCTGAAAGTCATTTCTGACAGGGCGATGTAAAGGAACCTGAGAGGGAGCTCCGTCATGTGATGAGTGGCTCTTAAGTGCAGGAACAGATTTGAGAGGATTATCCAAGACAGTAACTTCAAGATCAAACTAGGCCATGGAGTTAGCCATAAGGCTCTGCAAATTCTTTGCGGCTCAGCCCTCTGGGGTCTCCTGCCACCGTGCTTGCCAGTAATGAATTTCACTTCCATGTGGGATCTTTCAGGTCTTCTTGACACACTGAAGCCATATGTGTTTCAGCCACTTCAGACATCATCCTGCTCTTTAACTTGAAGAACAGTCTAAGTCAGTGAGGTTTGCCATGGCATCAAATCTCCTTTTAAACCCACACCGCTTGAATAATAACTATGATTCTGGATAGTTGACTCATGAATATTTCCTGCGAAGGAACAATGAGGGTATTCTGAGGAAATTAAATCCATACAAGTAATTCCCAAACTTTATTCATGTTTGAATACTTTCTAACTTCAAATGTTTTTACCAGACTGGTAACACATAGCAAAATCAACTGATAAGATTGTCCTTTTTTCTTTCTTCCTCTTCCTCTACCTAACACTTCTCTAGTGTGGTACTAACTGGAGAAGGCACAAAGAGTAAGTAGATAGAAAGGGAAATGAAAAGTCAAAGAGCCCTACACTTTTTTTTCCCCCCTCTCTCCTGGTAGTCCTACTTCAAAGGCAGTGTAGCTTTCTCAGAAAGGCCAACCCACACTCAGAGGGTGAAGTTGGAAAACCCCAGCAACCCTATGATACACAATAAACCCATGTAAGGAGGTGGTCCCTTACAAACAGTTGGCTATGAATATCTTCTTTCAAATAGTCTGACACTCGTGGCATAATTATTTTTGTAAGAGTCCTCAGGAAAGTCTGTTTTGAAATACTGCATAGCTTAAGACTACAATAGTACCTTGCATAGTTCAATGTAAACATATCCAGGTGGCTTGTGAAGAAGAGAGGAAGCCAGAGGTGATGCTTCTCTATAGGAAAATGACACTGCAGCCAGCCCCCCGAATCCTGAGAAGACCCTAAATACACCACTCCCCCTCCCCGACAACTACCCAAGTGATATCCTGTGAGTGACTGGATTCTAATCTATCGAATAGTTTCTGTACATGAAAAAAAAATCAATTTTGGAATAAGAGTTGCCAGCAGAAAGATTTCCATTTATTAGGCACCTACCAGGTGCCTGATTCTATTGGGTACATTAAAGATATTCTTTCATTTAGTTCTCACCTGGAAACTCTCAAGGCTTGTTCACATTTTACTGATGAGAGAAATAAGGCACAAGAAGATTAAACAAACAATCCAGGCCAACTCAAGTGGAGGGATGTGTGGTTGAGTTCAGGTCTGCCTGTAAATCGCTTGAGGCCAGAAACTTTTCTCTATTTTGTTCACTGATGTGTCCCAAGTGCCCAGAAGAATGCCTGGCAAATTGTAGCTGCTTAGTAAATATTGAATGATTACCTTAATGAGAGAATCCAGCACGTGTACTCCTAAGTATTATTCTCTACAGTTTCTCCTCAGTCTCCTCACTCCAGTCTGTTACCTGCCCCTTTCTCCCATCCCATTTCAAAGGGAAATGGAGCCCAGAGCTGCAGTGGATGCTGTAGAAAGTTATATCTCTGTGTACATCCTGCTGAAGGAATGGAGCGATTGTCAGGGAGCTGTGTCATTGAGTCTGAGGCCTTACTTCCTTGCTCTCCCCCTTCTATTTCCTGCTTCCTCCCACAAAGATTTTCTGAGTCCTTGCTGTGTGCTGAGCACTGGAGACTCACTATGAACAAAGTTGGTATGGTCCCTGTCCTTATGCAAATTATTGAATAAATTATAGGTACGGTGAGTGTTTTGACAGAGAGGTAAGAATGTTATAGAAACATATAACAAGAGGACTCAGACCTATTCTTTGAGGTCAGGAAAGACATCTTTGCAAATTTTAACTTTAAGACAAGATATTAAGGATAATTAAGAGTTCCTAATGTATACCTTGGGTTTCCTGGATGTCTCTGCCTAAGACACTTTTAGGGAGGAGTTAAGACTGTTTTCCTATAATACTAAGAAGTCATTTGCCTTTTCATTCTTATTGCATTACAAGTGTACAATGGAGTTTTACAGAAGCTGCATAACATAGATTTCACAACAGATTGAATGCAGAAGCAGACATGAGAATCCATTTATCCTTTAGTAAGCCAGATATTGGTAAGATTTGCAAAAAATGCATAACAGCACTACTAGTCTCACTCATGTATTTTTGGTTTTGGAAAACGTGGCTATGTTTTCATAAAATGTTATTTATGTTAAGGTATAATCAGTTTACTATGTTGTTTTAAAATGAATTAAATATTTAAAAAAGAATTGGTTCTAATTTGCAACATGATATAATGATATAATCTACCTTTTTTAAAATGAAAAGGTCTTTGGGGTTCTTCAGAAGATTTGAGAGCACAAAGGGGCCGAGCCCCAAAAGTTTGCGAATGGCTGAGCTAAGAGAAGAGGAGGAGGGAGTGTTCCACAGTGAATAAACAGCCTGTGTAAAAGCCCTTCCCTGGTATACGACTTGTAGTTTTGAGGATATTAAAGAAGTCCAATGTGGTTGGAACATAGAAAGTGATGGAGAGAGAATATAATATGCAGAACAATGGGTAAGCAGTGCCATATTTGAGAGCAATGACTTAATCTTAGGTCAGTGGGAAGTCACTGAAGGGTTTTAAGCAGGTTGGAATTGATGAGATACATGTTGAGAGAGGAAGGAAAAGGAAAGAAGAAAGGAAAAGAATGGGGGGACACAGAGAAGGGAGGTCAGGAGGCTTTTGGGGAAAACTTAGTAAGCTATGAGGGAGGGACAGTAGGGCTGGATAGAAGAGGATAGATGTAAATAATATTATGGAGAATCTAGAGGACTTGGGTTTGATTGTCAGTAGAGAGTGACTTGTTTTGTAAAAGAAGGAATGAATTTTCTCATGGTTTTTTAGTCATACCACTTGATTTTAAATTCTAGCGCTAATTCTGTGACTGTGAGCAAATTATTTAAACTCCATAAGCTACAATTTTCTCATCTGTAAAAAAAACAGGAACAAGAGCCACAATTTCATATGGTTGTTGAAGTTATTTTAAAATGCACACATATCTAATATAACTGGATTATCGTAATTATTTATTTGTTTCCCTTACCTTCTCTTTAACTCTCTTTCTTACCATTTTAAGATGGAGGGGGGAAGTTGGCAGTGTTCTTCAGGAAACATAAATTCTTGGGAAGGGAGTTTGGACACCATATGCAAAATCTCCTCCTGTGATTCCTCTACACACTGGAGGTGTGCTTTCCTCAAGCACTTGAAGCAAATGTGTTCTCTAGTCTCTTCTCTCTCTCTCTTTTTTTCCCTGAAGACTACTCTGTCATTTAAGTTCAGTTATTTTTGTCTTACCTGCTCACTTTGGACTTGAAACTTTGTCCCGTTCTTCTTGTTCCATAGTCTGATTCCTACTATTTTTTTCCTTCACCTTTCTCTTCCCAAAGTCTTAGGCTAGCCTTCTCTATTTCTCAGCTTTGTCATGCCCTTGACTTTGCAAGATTCTCTTTCCTGGCAACCACCATCTACAGACAAAATATTAATAACTTTGGAGGAGTTAGGACAGAGGCATTAAAATTATTGTAAATAAAGCCAGATAGTCCTTTTGACTGGGTCCTGAACTACCTTCTGTTATTCCTACAAGTATCTTTTGAAAGGCTGTTCTCAAATGCGTTGACTTGAGAATTTAGAGAAATATTCTTTCGGGCTGAAGGGAAAAGAGACAGAGAACTACAAGGTCACAGGACCATGACAATATGTTGCCTTTTGCCAAGTGGCCCTTATTAAACAGCCTAGGAGGTGAGTGGAGGAGAGCATGGGTCTGGCAGTCTGCCCTGGGACAAGGAGCTTTGTCTGCACGCAGGTTCCCAGCTCACAGACGGTCCATATTTGAATAGAGCCCATTGTTTACCACTTGGGTGGAAAACAGAGGAAATAGGCAATGAGTCAGGCACCCACTTGTTTCAAAAGGAATTTTTAAAAGAGTTTCAGGGAAATCTAAGAGAAAAATAGAAGTTTGAAGGAAGATGAAGGAGACAAGGACAAACTGAGGGCTGCTGGATGCTAATGACATGCTTTTCTTTGCTGATAGCCTATCATTCTGGGTCTGTGGGTTCCAACCCTGAACCTGAATCCAACAGGAAAGGTACTTCTGGAGAAGAGCTTCCACTCTGGGGAGGCATTCTGACTAAGATCTAATCTGAAGTAGTTTGGAGTAAATTGATCTGCCTCTTTTCTCCATTTAAAGGACATTTGCTAAAAATGCCTTCTTCTTCAAAGGGCCCGCAGAACAGAGAGAGGGGATTACAGTGTGTATAATTTTTGAAATATGGTAACTGATCAGCAAATGGCATAAACTTAGATCTTATACAGGTCCTGTTTTCTGTGACATGATTTCCTGATCTGCAGATGCCCTGACTGACATTCCGCTTTCCTATGGCTCAATGCTTGGTGTAGAAATGGTCTTTCCATTTTGTCATCTCATTTGGGAAAAAATGCATGATAGTGGAATGAATGCCACAGAAAGGAAGGAAATGAGTTGGTGTCTATGGCAAAGACTCAACTATGTTCTGCTGAAAGCTCTGGTTTGCAGTCCAAACTTGATATATTATCTATTTTTTTTAATTTTCAGAAACCTTATTTTTTTCCCCAAATTTGGAAAGAAAGGAATAAAATTCAGATATTACAGAAAAAAATCTCAAGGAAGCAAGTAAAAACAACCTGTAATCTGATCCCCAGAGATAACCAACATAGTATAATGCTGTATATCTTTTAATATATAAAATAGTAAAATATGTGTATATATGTATATATAATTAATGGAATATTTTATACATTCTTGTTAGTAACCTAAATTTTTCATCTATAATCTGTATCACAATTTTTATGTTATGATATATCTTATTCTTCCTCAACATAATTTTGGAGGCTGTTAAAACATTATTAAATCGTTCTCTAGTTTTAGACACTTAGATTAGTTTCACGGTTTTACTATTAAAATCCTTCCTACTAAAGTTTCCTAACAAATGTTCATTCATTATTCAGCAAGTATTTCTTGAGCACCTACTATGTTCTAGATATGAAATTAGGCAGTTTGTTGGGGGCAAAATGGTAAGACACAGATAGTCTCCTCTTTCAAGGGGTTTACTGAAAAGGAATAAATCTTGCCTAAATAATCGTGACTATTTAGGAGATGAATTTCCTTTTCCTATGGGTTTCATGTCCCTTTATATTCTCTATAAGTCTGGTTCATAAAGCTAACTTTTGTGGCTGGTTTGTTAAAGATTTTGTTAACTTATAAGCTAAATATGTAAGTTAGACAGCACTGACAATATTATCACAGTGATTATGATTGATATAATTTTATAAAAATAGGAAGTGCACAGAGAAATAGCTGAAATTGGACTCCATTATAATCAGAAAATCAGCTTAATAATATTGGGCTCAGAAATTCTAGTCTGCACAGTATAACTGAAGTTGTGCTTTGACAGCAGCGACTCAGATGGTGGTCACAACCTTACTTTATTGGGACAATGAAATATTTTAGTGGAGTCATTGGCATCTCACTCTGCTTCTGAAATCAGGGCCACCTCTATTATTACTTTCCCAGTAGAGATGACTGGTTTGCTCATTTGGTCAGCATACACTTTCCTCTGAAGTCAAGACTGTGGGATTGATTCCATTTGGTTCAGTGATTCTCTGACTACTTCAGGACCACTTCAGCTTGCATTTCTCAATTCTAAACATCCCTGGTAGAAAATCATATCCTTGTTATAGACAAAAAGATGAAGAATGCAGAAATATTTGATCAAAAGTGCCAGAGTCATGGTTGTAAAAGGCGTAATTTTAAGATGACTTCCAAGGCCCCTGAACTTGATATTATGCCCATATTAGGGTGAAAGGGAAATTGTCCAGGTAGGCAAAACTAATCATGCTTTTAAAAGCAGAGATTTTTCTCTGGCTGGCAGCAGACGAGGGAGTCAGAGAGATTTGAAGCATAAGAATAATTCAAACTACCATTGCTGGCTTGAAGATGGAGAACCCACATGGAAAGGGTAAGAAGAAAATGAATTCTGCCAACAACCAATGAGCTTGGAAGAAGTCCCCAAGACTCAGATGGGAATGGCAGCTGGCTGATATCTTGAGTGTGAGACTCTGAGTGAAGAATTAGCTAAGCTTACCTGGAATTGTGTGCAATAATAAGTGGCTATCGTTTCAAGTTTGCCTTGTTTGCATAATTTGTTATTCAACAGCAGAAATATAATACAGCGGTCAGAACAAACCAGATTTTATGCCTTACTGATACCAAGTTTGCAACCTCTTTACCTACCGTCAACCAAGGGCACATTTCTTGACAAATTTAAATAGGTAAGAATGAATTTTATGAATCTCTAAACCACCACATAATAGAAGAACATGGTATCATCAAAGGTATAAAGCCCATAATATATGCACATTTATCGATATTAATGAAAAGCTTCTTATAATTTATAAAAAACAAACTCATGGTAGTTTAACAAATGACATAATAGAAATACATGCAGGCTGCTGTTAGGGTATAGAGGAGGCTCACCTAACCCTACCTGGGTGGAGCAGGAAGAGTTTTTCCTAGAGGAAATGGTGATTGTCAAAGGAATGTAGGAGGCGACAACTTATGTTTACAGACCCTGTTCATGTGTGTAAAAAAATTGGGGGAGATAGAAGTCTACTATGATGAACCAAGAGGAGGGGTAGGAGGTGGATAAGGCAACTTGGGATTTCATTTCCTTTCCTACTCCAAGTCTTAGAGTGATCATCTCAGAGGAATGCTCTTATCAAGACCCTCACTTAAAAGCTTGCCCTGGTAGTAGAAGGTACTTCAATGACAGGCTAAAGGCAGCTTTTCACTACTCATCTAAAGTTGGAAAGGCTTTACATGTGAGTTAAGTTTAATGGAAGGTATCCCTACTGTGGGGGTATCTAAACCACAGGCATCTGAGAAAACCTTAGGTGAGGGCTGAATGCAAATAACGACAGTGCTGAGAATTTACAACCTAGAAAGGCTGAAAATATTGCAGTAATTATTATTACTGCTGCTTCTTAAATTCCTCATTTACAAAATCAAAGTAGGACCAATTCCTGTCTAATTAAGCCAACGTGGTGACAAAGAAAAAAGTTATTCTGAATGTTTTTATTTCTTTAACATTATCTCATTTCTTTGAACTATATTCACTGAATATGTTTTAATTTGATGACTCAAGTCAGTTGAAAATGAATAGAAACCATGTGTATTATTACATGCATGGTTGGGGACCAAGAAGAGCCATCAATGCTGCATCACCAGATGAACTGGCTTACCTCACTGGCTCATGTGTGAAAGTAAACATAGTTCCACAGGACTTTCATACTTTCTGTCAATCTGGCCATATAAATTGACAACCAGAGCTTAGCAAGTTCCTCAGAGATTAGGCAGATCCAATCAAGTTTGTAGGTGAAAGGGTCAAAATGAAGGTTAGAAGATAATTCCTCTGGTATCCTCATGTATTTTGAGAAAGAAAAGGGTCTAGTAAATTACAAAGATCCTCTTGTAGAAAGAACATTATATGAAAATGTACAAATGGAGTCATTTCTTGGGGGAGGTGTCTTGGTGTCCTGGGAGGCTACCTCACTTCTAAAGTCCTTAGATGTCTTCTGTGCTTGCAGTGAGTTCACCTGTTGAAACAGGTGGAACAGGTGGATGACTGTGGGGAAAGCCAAGGTGTCTTTTGGAGGATCCCACTTCTATTAACTTCATGATTGATACCTAGGAGTTATGGGAGAGACAGAGGATTTGTACTAATGCCAAACAAAAGACCAGTGCATTCACGTGGGCATGAAGGGAGGCAAATATAATCGAGCTACATGTCACTCACTCTCATTGTGCCATCACCCTACAAGTGATTGAGAAAGTAACCCCTCCCACAGTCAGATGGCCCTGTCCATCAGGAATCATATTAATGGCTGGTGCCAACCCAAATGTTTGCCTTTATCTTGTGCCACCATTGACTATTTTTCAGAAATCAGGATGTTGTTTCCCACTCTGAGATGTCTGGTTGAGCGGGTTTCGGTGTGATCAAGGAAATATGGCTGCCCTCACTCTAACTATTCCAGCTGCCTTGGCAGCCTCCTGGCACATCCCGAATGAGGTCATATATTTAGTAAGGCAATGTCTTACCTGAGAGATCTGAGACAAATAGAGACGTTTCTATATCTGACATTCAGAAAAGCTATAGGGATGAAGCTTTAGGGTATAATGGAATATAGAGAGGATTTCAAGGGAAACAGACCTGGGGTTACTGACTGTGTAATCTTGAGAAAGCTACTTTATTTCTCTGATTTGTCAATTCCTCTAATTTATCAACAAAATTGCCATGCATATTGCTTGGCATAATGCATGACAGAGTATTAGCTCAAATAAATGTCAGTTCTTTTCCCTTCCTTCTTCATCCAGCTTTGGGGAAATTTGACATTTGGTATAAGTGTTCAAAAGAATTACAAAATTCCTGTGTCCTTTGAGACAAGAAACTTTGCATAATTCTTTCACCCTTAGATCAGAATCCTCATCTCCTGCCTTTTCCTTTCGGAGCTAGCAGTCACAGGAATGACAACTGGCAAGGGGGTGCTGCTTAAGCCTAAGACAGTGAGATGGATAGCTTAACCAGTATGTCAGAATGGAAGCTTCAAGTTATTCATCTTGAAAATCTGCATACTGTCTGAAATCAAGTGACTATTGTTTAAACCATTTTTGGAATTTTTCACTTCAGAGCTTTTACATAAACCTTTGGAAAAAACTTCTGTGGGCCAGGGTTCTAGGTATGATACTCCCTCTCTGATCTGTCCACCAAATAATATTTAGATAAATACAGCTCTACTTTCAAATAGTACGCCACCTGTTGTGGATCAAATGTTTGTGTACCCCCAAATTTATATGGCAAAATCCTAACGCCCAAGGTGATGGCATCAGGAGGTAGGGACTCTTGGCAGGAAAGTGACGAAGCCATGAAGATAGAGCCCTCATGATTGGAATTAGTGCTCTTATAAAAGAGACCCCAGAGAGCTCCTTCACCTTTCCGCCAAGTGTGGACACAGTTAGAAGACAGCCATCTATGAAAGAGGAAATAGGCCTTCACTGGACATGGAGTCTGCCTGTGCCTTGATCTTGGACTTTCTAGCCTCCATAACTGTGAGAAATAAATGTTTGTTGTTGAAGCCACCCAGTTTATTGTATTTTTGTTATAACAGCCCAAGTAGTCTAAGACACCATGTAACTGCCTACAGCAAGAGGAAAGGATACATGATTTTGGAGCCCAAGTACAAATAAAGTACACACATAGAAATTCATCTCCAAGAAGAAAAATGAAAAATGCATGTCTATGTGTGAAAGCTTCAACTGAGCTTTTGTGTATTGTCCTTCAAAAGGACTTATCAGCATTTTTGTTTGTTGGCTGTGTTTTGCTTTTTTCTTCTATATTATGTAATTTCTATAAAGAAGCCAAGACGTTCCCTCATTGGTTTCCTGAACAATGTAATCAAGGACCCCCATGGTGCCCCTGGTCTTGAGGATCCCATGGAGGATCAGGGAATGTGGTGGTGTTCTCCCTGTTAGCTTCTTCTGACTAGCAAAGGCATTTTTCAGATGGAGGGAAGGGCCTTTCCAAGTCTGATCTCAGACCTGGCTGTGTCCAGATTGTGTCACAGGCTGTGTCCAGATTGTGGTTTTGGGCACTTGTAATTACCAGCTTGGTTTTGGCTGGAGAAAGAAAAATTCCTATCATGAATACACCCAATTACCTCATGATTCAAAGATGGAGGCAGACATGCACAATCAACTTCATTCTTACCTGATTCACCTGCCTCTACTCAGGAACTGGAAACATTTCATTGCAGCTCTTTCATTCTTTCAGGAAGTTTATTTTTTCTTGCATATTTATAGGTGTTTAATGGAACTTCCATGAGGCTGTTTAACTTTGTTCGTGATCATCTAATGTTGTCACCATGTCTTAGGAAAATTTCTAGGCTCAAAAGTCTACCAATTTATGTGGTGTTCCAAATGCACAGCTACATTTGACCATTAGGAAGCCAATGGTTTTCCTAAAAGAGTTTGCAAAATTCTGCAGTGTTATAGATATTCTTGCTTTAAAAAACTTGTGACTTTGTCCTTGCGATAGTTTGCTGAGAATGATGATTTCCAGTTTCATCCATGTCTCTACAAAGGACATGAACTCATCATTTTTTATGGCTGCATAGTATACTGCATGTTCTCACTCATAGGTGGGAATTGAACAATGAGAACACATGGACACAGGAAGGGGTACATCACATTCCGGAGACTGTTGTGGGGTGGGGGGAGGGGGAGGGATAGCAATAGGAGATACACCTAATGCTAAATGATGAGTTAATGGGTGCAGTACACCAACATGGCACATGTATACATATGTAACAAACCTGCACATTGTGCACATGTACCCTAAAACTTAAAGTATAATAATAATAAAATAAAATAAAAAACAAAAAACAAACAAAAAACTTGTGACAACTTCTAAGCTAATAATAACAATGTTAACAATAACCATAACAACATCAACAATAAATGCTGCCTCTTGATGAGCCCTTATGTATTTTTAAGTACTATGCTAATGATTAACACGAATTACTTAATTTAATCCTTAACAAAGGCCTAGTGAGGTAAGTAATTTATTTTCTCCATTTTTCAGGTGAAGAAACTGAGGCTAAGAAAGACTTATTGACATATTCAAGGTCAGAGAACAGATAAATGGTAAAGATATATTTTTATAGGAAGGAGAATACTCCTATTATTCAGCTCTATAAAGGAAAATTCTGACACATGCTACAACATGGATGAATGTTGAAGACATTATGCTAAGTGAAATAAGACAGACATAAAGGACAAATACTGTATGATTCTACATATGTGAGGTACATAGGGTAGTCCAGTTTTATAGGAACAGAAAGTAGAATAAATGTTGGCAGGGGCTGGGAGCAGAGGGAAATGTGAAGTTATTGTTTAGTAGGCACAGGGTTTCAATTTAGAAAGATGAAAAGTTCTGGACATAGATAGTGGTGATGTTTATACAACAATGTAAATGTACTTAATTCTTCTGGACTGCATACTTTTAAGTGGCAAAAATGTAATTGTAATGTTATGCAATTCTATCACAATAAAAAATTACTAGAAAAAGATGAAAAAATTTTAAACAGTGAATACTGACCAATTAGTGTGCCTTCAAATGAAGGATTCATTGTATATTTTAACTGAAATCAATAAACTCTAAGTGTGTAAATGATGAATAAAAATAGACTACCTTGTAGGAGAAGAATCCTTCTCTCTTTTCAGTGGAAGCATTGTTTGACTGCTTTCCTCAGGGCTTTGGTCCTGTTCTCCTTGGGTCTGACAGGAGAGAGACAAAAACAAGCATGGTGTCTTATGTCTTCACTATTAGTTTTGCTTCCTCATCATCTCCTTTCAGCAAAACCATCTGAAGGTCCACTATCCATTGACTTCCATGGGGTGACGGTGTTACAAGCTTTTAACTTTCACTGGTCTGAAGAAGGTGGAGTTTTATTTTTTCTCTTGTTTCTATCGATCCCTCCTCCAGCACCCATAGAATTGGCCCCAGTCTAGGTGCCAACATGGCACTTGGTTTGGTTTTCATTGGCCCTCTATTCAGTCCCCACCACCTCACCTCCCTCTCACTCCCTTGGAGAGCATCTCACAGCCTTGGGATCTGACAGTTGGCATGTCGTTAAGGACAACAGCAACAACAAAATGACCTAAACTCTTCTCTGGGGGTCCACACAACATAGGTTGTAGCCTTAGTCTTCTACATTTAAAACAATGTAGTTAGCTCTTGCCTTTAACAAACCTAATTAAAGGTAATGTTTGAATGGGAAAAGCTGAAATTGAGATGTTTTGGCTTTACCAATAGCTAGACAAAGCTTGTGCCAAGGCATTCTAACAGATCTGGTTTTGTTAGGTTGTGGCTCTCATGCTAGATCACGGCAAACCCTTTCCTAAATAAATGGAAATCTAGACTACTGGGCCACACTTCATGTCCTGCTTCTACCCAGTGCAATTTTTAAAGACTGTAATGAATATGTGCACATTTTAAATTTATTTTTATATACATATTTGCCCATTTTGAGTCAGAATGAATTTGGGAAATTTTAATCTCCGAGACTAGGCAATGTTATTCATTTACTTAGGTAAAACAATTATTCAGTTCCTTGGAAAACATAACAGTTGCAATATTATTTTGCTCTAAGTCTGTTACTACAATCTGTATATGGTGAATGTGCTTTACTGAGAAACATTTGGGGAAATTGTGGCACAGGTGATTCTATCTCATCAGAACTCAACATTGTTAGTGGCTTTATCAACCATGAAAAACCGATGACTAATGTAGTAATAGTACATGTGGCTTTTTAAGGAATGTAGATGCATTGAGGAAGTGATTTATTCATGTGTATATTATAAATAAGCAGATAACCACATAAAACCTGTTGTAAAAATGTCAGTAAGGATAAGTACAGGAAAAAAAAACCACCCATATTAGATTCTTTTTTTTTTTTTAAATAAAGGACAAACATAGTCCACTGTGGAAGACTGCAGTTTATCTCACAGTGGCCATCTCATCTAGACATTCTTTGGCCTAGGCATGAATGTGTTAGGCTTTCAGTTCTGTGTTCATGAAGACATTTTTGACCACTCCAATAATATATCTAGAGATGTGTCTCTTTCTCTCACAAGTTTAATGAAAAACAACCTGTGTACTATCTGTGCTTGTTAGAATGGAGTTGTTACTACAACCTTTCCTCCCATGTGAAGGATTACAGGATTATCTATCTTGCTTACTCTTGCTCTGCCTCTTGTATTCCATGTCTAACATTCCTGTTTCAGATCTACCTTCTCATGCTTGGCTTTGCCTTTATTCCCCAGTCACATCTTCTTCAAGTTCAATGGTAGAAAAATAATGGAAGAACCAGTTATTAAGTACATTCCTAGAAGATCTCTGGAAGACCCTACCAAGAGATCTTGGGAATGGAAGGCAGATATATGTACAGGGATTAGGTCTGTGTAGTTTAGTGCAAAAGGCATGGCTCTCTTACAAGCTCAATCACCTTATCTTCTCCAAGACGTTTATTTTTAATCTACTTAATTGAGGGGGATAAGACTTCCTTGGAGGGTGTTTCTGTTAATTAAATAGACTGAAGTATGTACAATTGATTAGCATGGTATACACATATATTAGATGCTCAATAGCTTGTTTCTCATCCCCTGTGGCAAGATCTTTTCATGAGAAAAGAAACTTTATACTGATTGAAAGCTCTAAACTGCTCCCAGAATATCCCAGAACTCTTGATATGACAAGAATGTTCTTTCTATTCAGGAACAGAAAGTTTTGGGCCAAAGGTAGAGGATGTCTATTTAGACATAGCTCAGCAGGTGGAAAAGAGGAGATGATGCTCAGGCATGAGCACCCGCAGGCTGCATTCTTCTCTGTAGCTTCAATCCAAGGAGGCAGAGTTACAGTGAGAGGAAAGCTTCAAGAAAATTTGATGTTTTCTTCTTTATCAAATGTCTCATCTTGCAAGGGTTTCATTTTTCACTGCATATTTCGAAGAGCCTGGGTTTCCTGATGCCATTTGGAGTCTTGGCTTTTAAGACCTTTCTCAGTCTTAATCTCAGAGGAACTTTCTTATCCTGCAATCAAGAAAAATGAAAAGAATTGGAGTCCGTTTTACATTTACGAGGGTGTTGACATTTGACGAGACGAAGAATCCAGATGTCATGGGCCTCAGTGGGGCTGCTTTCTCTGGCTCAGCCTTGGTGGGCAGTATAACCAGGGGATGCAGCTCCGGATCTCTCTGCCCTGTGCATAGGAGAGGGGAGAATGCCATTAAGAAGCAGACTGGAATGACATATTGCTTCTGCTGCTCTACTGACTTTCCCCCCATACCTATTTGGTTAGTTGTTTGCCATAATGACTTGGAAAATGATGCCAGTTTTAAGACAACTTCTTTTCATGGCATAAGAACTTATTAATCAAAAATTTACAAAATACACAATAAAATTAGTATTTCTAATTTTATTTTATTAGTATAACTATTATTTTTATTTTTAATTTATTAATAAAAATAATTATTTTATTAGTATAACTAATAAAATAAAATTAGTTAAGAAAGACACACTCAACACAGTAGTTTCTAATCAGAGAATATCACATGGAACAAATTTGAATTGCATACCACATAACCAAATGTTCTATGTTGCCTGTGTACACTAAGTGAGAAAGATGAAGAGGTAAACTCTTTTAAGATATTTTGATCTGTTGTTTACATGTACTGTTTCCACACATTTTGAAGTACTTTTGTATTTTTCTAATACTATAACTATTTTGAAGGCATTTTGGATACAACATGACTAAAAGCCCTTGCAAACATTGAAAAACTAGAGAAGAAAATGATACAGGAGAAAAAATATGCCTTCCACAAAAATGACTTTTCCTTCACCATCAAGTCTCTCTATCTCTCTCATTCTTTCTCTTCTTGCTCTCTCTGTATGTGTGTGTTATTTGGTGAGCATAATAAACCTACATGCTATTACATTTTATTCACAAACTTCTTTTATTTACTTCTAAATAATTGTTTATTAGTTATATAAATCTTCAAACATTCTTCAGTTGATCTATTTTTCTATCTGTGATACTTATTTGGAAATATTATGTTGAGATGGACCATATTATTTTTTCTGTCAAATAGAAGATTTTATTTAATGAATTTTTAATTAGTTACCAAGTTTTCAGTAATGAATTAAAGGTTTTAAGCAAGGAATAGAGGAATAGGTGTATTTATTACAGAACCCTGTCTGATTATCCTTTCTATGCTCAATATTATATTCCCAACTGTGCTTTTGGTTTAATAAGTGCTATAAATTCACTGATTAAATGAATGATTCTCAGTTTATATGAAGAAGAAAAGAAGTATAAGGTCAGATGTTTTCTGACCTAGACAGATAGTAAGCCGGGAAGTTGGATGGGACTTCGTACTAGTCTGTTTTCAAACTGCTATGAAGAACTGCCTGAGACTGGGTAATTTATAAAGGAAAGAGGTTTAATTGATTCACAGTTCAGCATGACTGGGGAGGCCTCAGGAAACTTACAGTCATGGAAGAGCCCCTTATAAAACCATCAGATCTTGTGAGAACTCAATCACTATCACAAGAACAGCATGGGGGAAACTGCCCCCATAATCCAACTGTCTCTACCTGGTCTCTCCCTTGACATGTAGGGATTATAGGGAATATAATTCAAGATGAGATTTGGGTGGGGACACAAAGCCTAACCATATCAGACTTCAAGAAGTTACAGAATTCATGTTTCTACATTCATTCAGGAATTAAAGTATATAACATAAAAACTATAATTTACTGAGTTGTGATTTAGGCTTTGTTCTAGGCACTTTATAGATGCATTTGAATTCACAAGAGTTCTGTAATATGTATATTATTTTGTTGATTTGGGGAAACTGAAGCTCAGAAATCTTACTCATTCATTTGTTTAATTTGTCTCTCCCTTTCCTCTACCACACTACAAAATAATTTAAACCAATGTTCAAAAAGAATGACTTCCCCAAGGTCACCCAACTAAAAGTGCTGAGTCAGTTTTCAATCAAGGTCTTTAGAACTCCAAACTCTATTTATACCCACCCCTCTCACTGATGTGTTACAGAGTTGAGGGGAATACTCTCCCAGTTCTTTAGGACTCTGAAAATTCTACTAGTACTTCAATGCAGTTTCTTATCAGCCAGGGAACAAATGGTAACTCAATGGCAGGATGACAGGCCTCCTGGGGTCCTATTGGGATAGTGCAGTCTCCCTTAACCCTGTAAGGAGCCTGAGGGATATGTAGAGCCCTGGAAATGGCTGAGTTGAGCTTTTCTGTCCTTGATATTCTTAAAAATGTTGGAGGCACTTCCTGAGCTAAATTAGACATTCCAGGAAAGCTAAGCCAACCTAAAGCTCAAAAACAATTTTTAAATAACTCTCTCCTCATGTGTGTCTCATTTTATTAAGGCAGCTAGAAAGACCCTTTTTTGTTAACTGTATTGGGACTATGAAGTAGATTAAAGCAGAGTCCATTTGTGGGGAGGAAGTAGTTCCTGAGTGCTGGCCTATTCTTGGGGGAGATACTACCACACCAGGTAAACCTCATGTGCAAGGGGCCTAGCCAATAATGACTTTGAGGGAGTGGCTTTGTGTCATTGCTGGAGAGCATTAGGAAGTGTCCTGGTCTGGGGTAAATTAGAAGTCATGCGTTCCATCTAGGGATGATGGGCTGCTACTTCCTTTTGTTGGATCTCCTGATTTTTTTTCAAAGTCATAAATCTAGATGTTTAAAATAAACATTTTAAATGTTTGTATTAGTCCATTCTCACACTGCTATAAAGAACTACCTGAGACTGGGTACTTTATGAAAAAAAGAGGTTTAATTGACTCACAGTTCCACAGGCTGTACAGGAAGCATGGCTGGGGAGTCCTCAGGAAACTTTTAGACATGGCAGAAGGCGAAGGGGAAGCAAGCACCTTCTTCACATAGTGGAGTGGCAGAGAGAGAGGGTAAAGGAAGTACTACACACTTTCAAGCAACCAAATTTCGTAAGAACTCACTCACTATCATGAGAACAGCAAGGGGGAAATCTGCTCCCATGATCTAGTCACCTCCCACAAGGCCCCTTCCTCAACGTTGGGAACTACAACTGGACATGAGATTTGGGTGGGGTCACAGAGCCAAACCATATCAATGTTGGATCTATTTTTTAAGAACTATATTGATCAAGACAGGCTTGGGCTGAATTGGGCTCTGAAGCGTAAAGAAACTTGTCAAATACATGATAAGTATCTCTTAGTCATCTTTGTAAAAGACAGTTCACTTTTACAAAGTGAACTGACCTGACTCTGTGTCTCAGAATGATTCAGTCCTTACACTGACCAGGAATGGATTAAAAAAAAAAAAAAAAAGAAGTTTCACTTTGAATTGTTTAGGAAAGCTAGAATGCATGTGTGAAAAGGCTGGATTTCAAGGGATGGAGTAGAAACCCAGCTTTTCCTTCCATAATCAAATTGCATAATGTCGTTAAATCATGTCTGCTTTAAGTTCTAAAATGTTCTCCTGTCTGTTGGGCAGAAAGGCCACAGAAGCAAATCCTCTTTTTCTTATTGTCCTTGAAGGACCTGGGGGGTTCTTTCTGCAGAGGAAGAGCATTGAGAATATTTAAAAAGAGCTTCCCAAGCAGCCCTCCTAATTGTCCAAGATCTTAGGATATAACAAGATATACATTTAAATATGTGTTTCAGCATTTTTTACATGTCCTGAAAGCCCTAAGGAATTCACAGTTATCAGACAACCTGACCACCATCAAAATACAATATTTAAACACCAGCAAAATATCTCTTATCCTAGGACTTGTAAGAGGCTCATATTAATGGTATGGATTCCAGTCATCAGAATCAAAGTTTTCTCCAAAGGTAGAATGCACATGCTGATTTAATGGTTCATTAATTTCTCTGCTATCATTGATGGAGGTTTTAGGCTGCCATTATTTATCAGTGATGCTGGGGACCACTGGTACAGCTCATATAAAAGTCATCTTTGAATTCAGTTTGCTTCACATAGTATAATTTCTCTCCATCCAATTGTCTTCTTAATTGCATTTCCACAAGCTGAATGGTAACATTAGTACTCATATTCTTAGCATATCAGTTGTGGGGTATGAGTCTCAGTCTACAGGATCAGGTGTGCAAAAGAATAACACACGTACTTATTTTCTAAAAATCAACCTAATTTCACATCTGATTCTTTTTGTCTGGCTAAATTGATGGGAATCTGGTAGTAGATTGAATCCTCTTTACCTCAGTCATGTTTGGTGTCACCTCTGTCAAAAGTAATAAAACCCAGGCACTAGTTGAAGCGGTAAGGACAGATTTTAATCAGTAATAACTATTAAAATAAGGAAGAGCGCCCAGTGTGAACTAAGCTCAACTTTGATTCTTGTAGAGGTGATTGGGTTTTTTTTTTTTTAGCTTCTAATTATTTTAATTTTTAATTTTTGTGGGTACACAGGTGTATATATTTATGGGATACATAAGCTATTTCGATATAGGAATACAATGCATAATAATCACATCAGGGTAAGTAAGGGTCTCCATCACCTTAAGCATTTATTCTTTCTTTGTGTTACAAACAATACTCTTTTAGTTTTTTTTATTTTTTATTTTTATTATGCTTTAAGTTATGGGGTACATGTGCAGAATGTGCAGGTTTGTTACATAGGTATACATGTGCCATGGTGGTTTGCTGCACGTATCAACCCATCATCTACATTAGGTATTTCTCCTAATGCTATCCCTCCCCTTGCCTCCCACCCCCTGACAGGCCCCAGTGTGTGATGTTCCGCTCCCTGTGCCCATATGTTCTCATTGTTCACCTCCACTTACGAGTGAGAACATGCGGTATTTGGTTTTCTGTTCCTGTGTTAGTTTGCTGAGAACAATGGTTTCCAGCTTCATCCATGTCCCTGCAAAGGACCTGAACTCATTCTTTTTTATGGCTGCATAGTATTCCATGGTGTGTATGTGCCACATTTTCTTTATCCAGTCTAACATTGATGGGCATTGGGGTGGTTCCAAGTCTTTGCTATTGTGAACAGTGCTGCAATAAACATACATGTGCATGTGTCTTTATAGTAGGATGATTTATAATCCTTTGGGTATATACCCAGTAATGGGATTGGGTGTGGTGTTCTTAAGGGGAGAATGAGAAAGTAGGACACGGGAACAGTGGGGACTTGAGTAGAATCAGGGAAGTGGAAATTCTCAAAAAGCAGGAAGGCAAATCTGTCAATGCTATTAGGTCATTTGGCTTTCTTAACTGGCACTTAGGGAAATTAGGCTCCTAACCTCCTACAGGGACTGGGAGATGGGGAGACAACACCAGCACATCTTCAGGTGTTGGAGAAGCAGTCAGTTCTTTTGGCAGCCTTGAGCTTTCCCAGGCAGGAATTTAAAGAAGGTAGAGCTGTCATTCTAGGGACATGAGCTTGAGTTGTTAGAAACTATGCTAGCCAGTGTCAGTGTGTGTGTGTGTGTGTGTGTGTGTGTGTGTGTGTGTGTGTGCGCGCACCAGGGGCTGTGGACAAAATCATTTATATGGAGAGTAGTTTTTGTAGTTTCTGTAGTTTTTATAGGCTGAAGTTGAGGTCTAGTGGAGAAGAGGGCTCAGAGGGGCCTGACTAGAGTTTGGTAAAGGAGAGAGTCTTTGTCACCACTCTGACGGATGGCATGCCAATGCTGCAGAATCGCCCATGGCCAAGCATCAGGCATCAGGGTGCTGGTTATGCTCTGTGCACTCTCCCGGCTACTCTGTTCTGTGGTCCCCATCAACATCACGTTTCAGGCCTGGGGATCTCCACTGCTCCTGCCACTCTCAACACACAGGAATGTTCTTGAAGGCAGGAACTCTCAGTGGCCATTGACTCATCCCCCAGAGACAGCTGGGGATCAATTCTGGGAATATGCCACACCAAGAAGAGGCCTGAGTCCTGCAACCCTGCCTCTGGCAGGAGATTCCTCTCTGTTAGTTGAAGGGCAAAACTCCTCTCTCTCATCTGCTTTTTTCAAACCTCCATGCTATTTTCTCCAAACTCTCTCTTCCTTAATGATCTTAGGCTTTTGAAGATATAATTCAGGAAGTTTTGCAGGCTACTTTTATTTCTGCTCAGTCACATCTCTCCCTGAGGCACTGAAACACAAAGCCTGCTGTTAGACTGATTAAGGGGGAAGGGGAAATTCAGAGAGAAAAATAAAAACTAATATCTTAGAATATTTTCCACTCACACGTACTTGTTGGCACAGAAAGATGAGAACCTAGATTTAGAAGTTCACCCTGCATAAACGGTAGCATATAAGAGGGGCTCAGTTTTGCATCACTGATAATTTGCTTAAGTGAATGTTGTAGGAAGCCCACTGGTCAGGGTTATAAGGTGGGTGTTCTGGTTTCTCTCTTGCCCACTGTCCCCTTACTGCCAGACCTTACCTGTAATCTCTCTTCCAACAATCACATTTTTAAACTTACAGCAGTAACTAATCCTCATGATACTAAATGTACAAGAAGGTACAAGTAGCATATATATTATTAGATTGATTGGCACCTAAGCAATGCTTTTAGGCTTTTATAGACAGAACTCAGGAAGTTCTGAGGCTACTTTTATTTCTGCCCAGTGCCATCTCTCACTGATTGTCACATATCTAAGGAGCTGTTTACCTGATGCCCAATACTGTCCTGCATGGTCATCTCAATCTCAGAAAAAGTCTGCCAAACCAGTTACTCATGTCAAAGGCTACCCTTTTCCAATTGAATTTTTGGCTGTTATTGCACAGTACAAATATTTCATTCTCCGACATAAATGGGACATCACCTTGCCTCTGGCAATTGTCATTTGCCCCCATAACTTCTCTCCCTTTTCTTCTGGAACCAATTTCCAGGATGACAATAATTTTCTTCTTTTAGAAGTATAATTTTTTAAAGCAAGACTGACCTACAATGTCTGTTAATATACTGACCTACTTTTTTTTTTCTTTTTTACAAAGTGGCCTGGCCAGTGCCTTGGAAAAAGATAATTAAGCAGGCATGGTGGCTCAGGCCTATAATCTCAGTGCTTTGGGAGGGCAAAGCAGGAAGATCACTTGAGGCCAGGAGTTTGAGATCAGCCTGCACAAGTTATCAAGGCTCCATCTCTACAGAATTTTTTTAAAAAACTAGTCTGGCATGGTGGCACACACCTGTAGTCCCAGCTACTCAGGAGGCTGAGACGGGATGATGTCTTGAGTCTAGAAGTTTGAGGCTGCAGTGAGCTGTGATTGTGCCACTGGACTCCACCCTGGGTATTGGAACAAAACCTTGTTTCTGTTAATAATAAAATTTAAAAACATATACCTAATCAATACAGTTTCCATTTTTAATGGAAACATTAAAATCCATCTTATAGGTAAAAAGACTTAAGCCCAAAGAAGTGCTTTGAAACACCATTTGAATATGCATTTGGAGGTCTGTTGGCAGGTCTCTCCCAATGTCTCCTCCCAGCATGGTTTCCTCCCTCTCTTTGTTATGTAACAAGAACAGTCTAAAATGTCTTCCATTGCAGTCAACATTTCATTCATTTTACATGCTTTTCCCTTTTTCTCACTTGGCACTTGGCTGTATTGCTTTCCCGAAGCTGTTGATCATGTAGAAGGTGAATGTGTTCCATGGGCCTATTCCTGTCTTTTCCCTCTGAGTTGCATGTGCTCAGTTGCATCTGATGTGATTTGTCATACGTGGATGGATGTCAGTGTCCCATGCTGCCTTCCTTCTCTCCTTTTCCTTCCCTCGTGGTTCCCTTGCCAGGAACAATGTATGTGTTTTGTGGAGTCTGTCTTACCCAAGGCCAGATGCCCTTGGCTGAACTCCAGGATGCATCCTGATCCTGTTTACAGGCGAGGAAGGACCAAGTCTGGGGCCCTGGAGAGATTGTGGGAGCATGAGAGTTAATCATCGCAGGCACATGTCACATCAAAACAAGCACATCCTTAGCCGGCTTCCTCTGGAGTTTGATGTCATGATCAGTGTGTTGTTTCCTGATGCTGAAGCCACGACAGATCTATATTATGCTGGTTTCCATCTTCTGAATTAAAATTGCCTCCTGCAAGGAAACAATGAATACTGAGAAGGCTGAACACGTTACTGGCCACATGTTCTTTCTCATCTCTGCATACTTCTAAAATGGAAACGGACCAATTTTTCTCCAGTGCTATTCTGTCTCCTGAACTACCTCTTTGTAAACATTTCCTAAGGGCTTTCATTTAATCAGGAGCCTATTTCCCAGGGATTTCAAGTGTGTACCTGACCTGGGTTTGTGAGCAAGGGAACCCAAACAGGATCAAAAATATTTTTTAAAAATGAATACATAAGAGCTTGGATTTGAGAGCCGCACTTTCTTTAAAACATAAATGATGATAAATGTGTTTTCATTTTATTTGAGAATTGGCTTTTCTCAAACTTAATAACAGTAAAATGGCTTTAGAATGAGAGAAAAATAGATACAGGGCTGAATCCTTCAGGTTTCAATCCTTCATTTATTCATTTATCATCTAATCAGAGAATATTGCTTGAATATTTGCTATGCGCCAGTCATTGTGCTAGATGCTGGGGAGGGTCAGTGCTGCCAAGCAATATATAGGCAACATAATTTGTTTAATTTGGCATTTCACAGCTCTTCACTGAGATTTTTAAAAAATACTTTAATAAAACGTAATAAACAGCTGTTGGGAAAAATAAAGATAGAAAATTATATGAAGTAAAAAGTAAAAGTGTCTCCTCCCCAATTTCCCTAGATTTAGATTTACTGGTAATTTGAATAACATTTTTTGTCTCCATATACTTTCTATATATTTACAATATTCCAGAATTTTTTTACACAAATGGATTAATATTATACAAAATTGCCTGGAAACATTTTTATTTACCAATGTTTTATGGGCTGTTTGTACTACCGGAGTGTGATTTTCTTTATTATTTTTAATGCTAGGAAATATGCCATTGGGTGAATGTACTGAAATTTATTAAACCTGTCCCCTATTGGAGACAACGTAGGTTTATTTTAACCCTGTTGCTGCTGTTCTTTTCTTTTTTTTTTGGTTTCTTTCAACTTGCAAACAATACCACAGTGAACTTCCTTGCACACTTATCTTTATATACATTCCTAAAATTGTGGAATTGTTGGGTCACACATGTTTTTTAAAGTTTGACAAAAACTGTCCTCCAAAAATTTGCATTGATATTATTGGTGTATGAAAATTCTTATTTTTCTGTAGGCTCTCCAATATAATTTTATATTGCTAATTAACAATTTGATATTTGCCAACTAATATGCAGTTTTAAAATCTTTGCCATTGTCTTAGTCCATTTCGCTACTATAATAGAGTATCTGAGATTGAGGAATTTATAAATAAAAGAAATTTATTTCTTGCAATTCTGGAGGCTAGGAAGTCCAAGATCTATGTACCAGCAGGTTTGGTGTCTGGTGAAGGCCCATCCCTCACAGATGGTGCTGTCCATATATCCTGGGATGGCAGAAGGGACTGGAGGGCAAAAGGGCTAGGTCATTTTTACCTCCCTGTACCTCTTTAGTTCATCTCCCTGAAAGCTATTCCATTTAAACATCATTGACACATCATTCTAAGAAAATAAGCACTTATCTCTATTTCTTGATTTATTCATTTTTAATATCCATTCTAGTTACAGAAGAGTAAGAATTTAAATCATTTATGTGCCCTTTTCCTCCCCACATTCCCATTGTTAATTTTTTAAAAATTAATTTATTAATTTAATCAAGTAATTCAATATTTTGTTAACTTTTATTTCTTAAGCTATTTATATTAGATACTATCTTTTAATTCCCAATATGTAGGAAGAAGTAATTAACACCCCTCTAAATTCATCAATCTAGCAACACTTTTATTCTCTCAAAGTCCTTTTTGTACCTAAGGGTTCTGTGCTTTCCCTTACATGGATCTTGAAAATTGAAAGCCAATAAATAGAAGTTGTAATGTTTTAATTTCAAACTATTGTTCAAAATGAGCTAATTAAACCTGCAGATTTGGGAATGTAATACCATGTTGTAAACCTATGCCACACAAATGAGAATGTTACAAGCCTCAACTTTTAAAAATTCTCTTTTTGTTCATTTTACTTGTGTAACCTTGAAGTGCAGCTTCTTTTTTTCTTCCTCCTAGAGTTTCTAATTGCCTTTCTTTTGTCTGATTAACTAATAGCTTATAATTATATTTTTCTTACCACCTTCTCCACTGTTCTCTTCCTGAAATTTATCAACGGAGAATTGTGGTATATTCAGGTTTTCTACATCTTCTATAGTCTTTCTTGATAAATTAAAATTTTTTTTTTTTTTTTTTTTTTTTTTTTTTTTTTTTTTTTGAGACGGAGTCTCGCTCTGTCGCCCAGGCCGGACTGCGGACTGCAGTGGCGCAATCTCGGCTCACTGCAAGCTCCGCTTCCCGGGTTCACGCCATTCTCCTGCCTCAGCCTCCCGAGTAGCTGGGACTACAGGCGCCCGCCACCGCGCCCGGCTAATTTTTTGTATTTTTAGTAGAGACGGGGTTTCACCTTGTTAGCCAGGATGGTCTCGATCTCCTGACCTCATGATCCACCCGCCTCGGCCTCCCAAAGTGCTGGGATTACAGGCGTGAGCCACCGCGCCCGGCCGATAAATTAAATTTTAAAAATTATTTCACCCGTATCTTCAATTTATGTGAGTAGAGTAATTCCTTATATATCCTCTGTGTCTTTGATTATGCTGTCTTTCACAATTTTACTTTTGTGTAATTATTTGATTTTTTTCTTGAGCAAACTCGTATTTATTATTCATGTCCTGAATTTATTTTTCCACTCTCCTTGTTCCTATTTTCTCATTCCTTAATTTCTGGTTTTGTCTTTATTGTCTCTTTCATTTTTCTTGAGATCTTACTGTTGTTACGTTTCTAACTTCTGGAGTTAATATGAAGTTTTCTACATATAATTAGTATCTGTGATATTGTGATATAATAAGAAATATATATTTGGTCTCTGCCCCTACTATCTGGCACAGTATTCTTAAAACTCTTATAATTTCCTGAGTGATAGGGGTGCTAGGTGCATCTTTGGTTCTAATATTTGATCTTTGACCCTGGTTCCTGACATAGAGCTCCTAATCCCTTGGAATTTCCTGGGTGATAGGAGTGTCTCTTGTTTCAGTGAGGCAATTTTTGGTGGTCTTTGGGGTGAGAGCTGGTCACCAGAAAGACCAAGCCATGACCAGAAGTTTCACCCCCACCCACCATCCTCCATGAAGGGGAGAGAGGCTGGAGGTTGAATTAATAATTGATCATGCCTACGTAATGAAGCTGCCACAGAAATCTCTGAACTACAGGGTTTGGCAAACTCCCAGGTTGCTGAACACAAGGAGGTGCTGGGCAAATGGTGTGTCCTGGAGCAGGCATGGAAGCTCCATGCCCCTTCCCCCATACCTTGCCCTGTGTATCTCTTCCATCTGACTGTTCATCTGTATCCTTTGCAATATCCTTTATAATAAAAGTAGAAATGTTTTTCCTTGAGTTCTGGTGAGCCACCCTAGCAAATTATAAAACCCAAGGAGTGGGTCGTGGGAACCCTGAATTATAGTTGGCTGGCCAGAAGCACAGGTCACAACCTGGGGCTGGCTGTTGGCCTCTGAGGTGGGAGCAGTTTTGTGAGACTTGTGGGACTGAGCCCACAAATCTGAGCCCACTTGTGGGACTGTGAGACTTGTGAGTCTGTTCTCATGCTGCTGATAAAGCCATACCTGAGACTGGGTAATTTATAAGTGAAAGAGGTTTCACTGACTCACAGTTCAGCATGGCTGGGGAAGCCTCAGGAAGGTTACAGTCATTGCAGAAGGGGAAGCAAACATGTCCTTCCTTACATGGAGGCAGCAAGGAGAAGTGCTGAGCAAAAGGGGAGAAAGCCCCTTATAAAACAGTCAGATCTCAGGAGAACTCACTCACTATCATGAGAACAGCAGCATGGGGGTAAACTATTTATTCCTATTTTCTCATTCCTACCCAGTGCCTCCCATGACACTTGGGGATTATGGGAACTACATTCAAGATGAGATTTGGGTGGGGACACAGCCAAACCATATCACCTGTGGAATCTAATGCCAGGTAAATAGCATCGGAGTTGAGTTAAATTGTAGGACACCCAGCTGGAGTCCAGCTGGAGAGTTGCTTGGTGTGTGGGGAAACTCCCTGCTCTCCTAGTATGACACCTGTTGTTAGAAGTGTTCTATGTTGAAAGGTGTGCTTTCTGATATTGGAAACGTGAGTGTGAGAGTGGGAAAAACAGTTTGGTTTTTCCTATCTCTTGGCAGTATCCAAGATTGATCTCCAGACCTATGAGAAAAAACAAAAATACCTAGGGAATCCTATGTAGCATGATAAATAGTTTATTTTTATAACATCAGTTTTTAAGTTTTTTGTTTTTTTTTTTTTTGAGACAGGATCTCACTCTGTCACCTGGGCTGAAATGCAGTGGCACCATCATAGTTCTCCATAACCTCGAATTCCTAGGCTCAAGCAATTCTCCCACATCAGCCTCCTGAATAGCTGAGACTGCAGGTGCATGCCACCATTCCCAGCTGATTTTTAATTTTTTCTTGTAGAGACAGGATCTCACTAAGTTGCCCAGGCTGGTTCAGCAGGAAACATTAATCATTTATGGGTACAACAAATACCAATGTCTTTTGCACCCCAAACACCTTTCGCATTGGAACAGGAGGGATATTGAGAGGATCACATTTGGGAACTCTCCCTCTGCAACATGCTGTCTTATACGCTAAGCCTGCCTTTCTCCTGCTCTCACCCTTCTGATTTGCTTCCTGTGATTTGAAAGTGGATTATTATAATTGTTTATTATTTTTCTTCATGAGAGCAACCCCAAAATATTATTTTGGAAATTATTCATGGCTTTGGATTAAGCCTTAATCTCTTATCAACTCTATCAATTAGGATTCTATCAAGAAACGTACAGGATAGTAAAAATAGGCAATACAAAGAGAATTTGATAAAGGGAGTTATTTACAAAGGTATGGGTAGCATGTCAAAAAATGACAAAGAATAGTTCAGAAGGTTAAGCAAATGGTAGTACTGCTACTATCTCCAGGCCGCAAGGGGTGAGGCAAGGCAAAGGTTACTAGGACCTGAGGCAGAGAGTACTGTGTGGAGAGGGCCAGCTGACAGGAATTGTGTTCTCAGATTCGAGGGATCAGCCAGCCAGGCTTGGCCCTGCAGGGAAGGAACCAGTGGAATAAATACTCTAATTTACTCTCCTCTTCAGACTTCTGTCACTACTTCCCATGGTCTGACACTGATGAAAAGCAAGAGGGCAATAGTGCTGTTGACATAACCTATGATTACATTTTATTATTTTTTGGGATGGAGTCTCGCCTTTTTGCCCAGGCTGGAGTTCAATGGTGCAATCTCGACTCACTGCAACCTCCACCTCCCGGGTTCAAACAATTCTCCTGCCTCAGCCTCTCAAGTAGCTGGGATTACAGGCACCTGCCACCATGCCCAGCTAATTTTTGTATTTTTAATAGAGATGGGGTTTCACCATGTTGGCCAGGCTGGTCTCGAACTCCTGACCTCATGATCTGCCCGCCTCGCCCTCCCAAAGTGATGAATAAAATCTTATGGGGCAGAGAACAAGTTGGAGAAAGAAAGGGCAAATGACAGATACTCAATACACTCACCTTGCCAGGGACCACTCATTTTAATCCTGCTCAGTTTCCAAAATTCATCCACTCAACTTGTCTGCAATAACCTTGTGGAGTTCTCTTACCATTTAAATTCTAATAATTACCTTCATTGTAAAAAAAATTTTGGTGACAAGTTCAATTTTTTTAATAGGTATACAGCTATTCAGATTTTCTATTTCTTCTTTTGTCTGCTTGGTTAAGTTGTTTTCAAGGAACTTATCGGTTTCATCTAAGTCATCCAACTTATTCCACAGGGTTGTTTATAACATCTATTTATTATACTTTTTATTATGTGCAGGATCTGCAGTGATACATTCTCTTTCATTTCTGATATTGGAAAGGCATGCTTTTTTCTTTCACCTTGATCAGTCTTGCTAGATGTTTGTCAATTTGATTAATAGCATTGAAGAACCAACTGTTGGTTTTAGTATTATTATTATTATTATATTTTAAGTTTTAGGGTACATGTGCACAATGTGCAGGTTAGTTACATATGTATACATGTGCCATGCTGGTGTGCTGCACCCATTAACTTGTCATTTAGCATTAGGTATATCTCCTAATGCTATCCCTCCCCACTCCCCACACCCCACAACAGTCCCCAGAGTGTGATGTTCCCCTTCCTGTGTCCATGTGTTCTCATTGTTCAATTCCCATCTATGAGTCAGAACGTGTGGTGTTTGGTTTTTTGTCCTTGCGATAGTTTACTGAGAATGATGATTTCCAATTTCATCCATGTCTCTACAAAGGACATGAACTCATCATTTTTTATGACTGCATAGTATTCCATGGTGTATATGTGCCACATTTTCTTAATCCAGTCTATCATTGTTAGACATTTGGGTTGGTTCTAAGTCTCTGCTATTGTGAATAGTGCCACAATAAACATACGTGTGCATGTGTCTTTATAGCAGCATGATTTATAGTCCTTTGGGTATATACCCGGTAATGGGATGGCTGGGTCAAATGGTATTTCTAGTTCTAGATCCCTGAGGAATCGCCACACTGACTTCCACAATGGTTGAACTAGTTTACAGTCCCACCAACAGTGTAAAAGTGTTCCTATTTCTCCACATCCTCTCCAGCACCTGTTGTTTCCTGACTTTTTAATGATTGCCATTCTAACTGGTGTGAGATGGTATCTCATTGTGGTTTTGATTTGCACTTCTCTGACGGCCAGTGATGATGAGCATTTTTTCATGTGTCTTTTGGCTGCATAAATGTCTTCTTTTGAGAAGTGTCTGTTCATATCCTTCGCCCACTTTTTGATGGGGTTGTTTGTTTTTTTCTTGTAAATTTGTTTGAGTTCATTGTCGATTCTGGATAGTAGACCTTTGTCAGATGAGCAGGTTGCGAAAATTTTCTCCCATTTTGTAGGTTGCCTGTTCACTCTGATGGTAGTTTCTTTTGCTGTGCAGAAGCTCTTTAGTTTAATTAGATCCCATTTGTCAATTTTGGCTTTTGTTGCCATTGCTTTTGGTGTTTTAGACATGAAGTCCTTGCCCATGCCTATGTCCTGAATGGTAATGTCTAGGTTTTCTTCTAGGGTATTTATGGTTCGAGGTCTAACGTTTAAGTCTTTAATCCATCTTGAATTAATTTTTGTATAAGGTGTAAAGAAGGGATCCAGTTTCAGCTTTCTACATATGGCTAGCCAGTTTTCCCAGCACCATTTATTAAATAGGGAATCCTTTCCCCATTGCTTGTTTTTCTCAGGTTTGTCAAAGATCAGATAGTTGTAGATATGCGGCATTATTTCTGAGGGCTCTGTTCTGTTCCATTGATCTATATCTCTGTTTTGGTACCAGTACCATGCTGTTTTGGTTACTGTAGCCTTGTAGTATAGTTTGAAGTCAGGCAGCGTGATGCCTCCAGCTTTGTTCTTTTGGCTTAGGATTGACTTGGCGATGCGAGCTCTTTTTTGGTTCCATATGAACTTTAAAGTAGTTTTTCCAAATCTGTGAAGAAAGTCATTGGTAGCTTGATGGGGATGGCATTGAATGTATAAATTACCTTGGGCAGTATGGCCATTTTCACGATATTGATTCTTCCTCATGAGCATGGAATGTTCTTCCATTTGTTTGTATCCTCTTTTATTTCCTTGAGCAGTGGTTTGTAGTTCTCCTTGAAGAGGTCCTTCATGTCCCTTGTAAGTTGGATTCCTAAGTATTTTATTCTCTTTGAAGCAATTGTGAATGGGAGTTCACTCATGATTTGGCTCTCTGTTTGTCTGTTATTGTTGCATAAGAATGCTTGTGATTTTTGCACATTGATTTTGTATCCTGAGACTTTTCTGAAGTTGCTTATCAGCTTAAGGAGATTTTGGGCTGAGACAATGGGGTTTTCTAGATATACAATCATGTCGTCTGCAAACAGGGACAATTTGACTTCCTCTTTTCCCAATTGAATACCCTTTATTTCCTTCTCCTGCCGGATTGCCCTGGCCAGAATTTCCAACACTATGTTGAATAGGAGTGGTGAGAGAGGGCATCCTTGTCGTGTGCCAGTTTTCAAAGGGAATGCTTCCAGTTTTTGCCCATTCAGTATGATATTGGCTGTGGGTTTGTCATAGATAGCTCTTATTATTTTGAGATACGTCCCATCAATACCTAATTTATCGAGAGTTTTTAGCATGAAGGGTTGTTGAATTTTGTCAAAGACCTTTTCTGCATCTATTGAGATAATCATATGGTTTTTGTCTTTTGGTTCTGTTTATATGCTGGATTAGATTTATTGATTTGCGTATATTGAACCAGCCTTGCATCCCAGGGATGAAGCCCACTTGTTCATGGTGGATAAGCTTTTTGATGTGCTGCTGGATTGGGTTTGCCAGTATTTTATTGAGGATTTTTGCATCAATGTTCATCAAGGATATTGGTCTAAAATTCTTTTTTGGTTGTGTCTCTGCCTGGCTTTGGTATCAGGATGATGCTGGCCTCATAAAATGAGTTAGGGAGGATTCCCTCTTTTTCTGTCGATTGGAATGGTTTCTGAAGGAATGGTACCAATTCCTCTTTGTACCTCTGGTAGAATTCGGCTGTGAATCCATCTGGTCCTGGACTCTTTTGGTTGGTAAGCTATTGATTATTGCCACAATTTCAGATCCTGTTATTGGTCTATTCAGAGATTCAACTTCTTCCTGGTTTAGTCTTGGGAGGGTGTATGTGTCTAGGAATTTATCCATTTCTTCTAGATTTTCTAGTTTATTTGCGTAGAGGTGTTTGTAGTATTCTCTGATGGTAGTTTGTATTTCTGTGGGATCGGTGGTGACATCCCCTTTATCATTTTTTGTTGCGTCTATTTGATTCTTGTCTCTTTTTTTCTTTATTAGTCTTGCTAGCAGTCTATCAATTTTGTTGATCCTTTCAAAAAACCAGCTCCTGGATTCATTAATTTTTGAAGGGTTTTTTGTGTCTGTATTTCCCTCAGTTCTGCTCTGATTTTAGTTATTTCTTGCCTTCTGCTAGCTTTTGAATGTGTTTGCTCTTGCTTTTCTAGTTCTTTTAATTGTGATGTTAGGGTGTCAATTTTGGATCTTTCCTGCTTTCTCTTGTGGGCATTTAGTGCTATAAATTTCCCGCTACACACTGCTTTGAATGTGTCCCAGAGATTCTGGTATGTTGTGTCTTTGTTCTCGTTGGTTTCAAAGAACATCTTTATTTCTGCCTTCATTTTGTTATGTACCCAGTAGTCATTCAGGAGCAGGTTGTTCAGTTTCCATGTAGTTGAGCGGTTTTGAGTGAATTTCTTAATCCTGAGTTCTAGTTTGATTGCACTGTGGTCTGAGAGACAGTTTGTTATAATTTCTGTTCTTTTACATTTGCTGAGGAGAGCTTTACTTCCAACTGTGTGGTCAGTTTTGGAATAGGTTGGTTTTATTGATTTTCTCTATCATTTGTTTTCTATTTCATCAATATCTTTACTATTTCCTTTTTTCTACTTAATGTGCTCTGCTTTATCTAGCTTCTAAATGTGGGAACTTAGATCATTACTTAAAAACCTTTCTTATTTTCTAATATAAACATTTAAAAGCTGTAAATTTCCCTCTAACCGTTGGCTGCATAACACACATTTTTATGTATTGTATTTTCACTGCCTTTTAGTTTGAAATATTTTCTAATTTGTCTTGTGATTTCTTTTTTGGCTTATGGGTTAGCTAGAAATGTATTGTTTGATTTCCAAATCTTTGGGGATTCAGTAGGAATCTAATTTATATTGATTTCTGATTTGATTTTCAAGATTTCAATTATTTGAAATTTATTGAACATTATATTTTAATGGGGCAGCATTTTTTATCTTGGTAAATGTTACATATATTCTTGAGAAGACTATTCTTCTCTGTTAAGTGTGATATTCTATACACATCAATTAGATAAAGGAGATTGATAGTATTGTTAACAACTTCTATATCTTTACTGATTTTTTTGTCAACTTGTCCTATAAATCATTAATGGGTGTCCTATAAATCAATAAGTGGGGGGTGAAAATGTCTAAATATAATTGTGGGTTTATCTAATTATTCCTTTAGTTGTGTTTGTTTTTACATTATTTCTTTTGAAGCTCTTTTATTAGGTACATGAACAATTAAGATTGTTGTTTTCTTGATTGACTCCATTATCATTATGTTTCCCTCTTCTTTATTGCAATACTAAGTACTGTAGCTACACTATCATTCTTATACTTATTGTTTGCATGTTATAACCTTCCTTCATCCTGCTACGTTCAAGCTATCTGTATCTTTATGTATGAAACTAAGCAGTTGTAGAGAGCCTATGTTGAGTCTCATTTTTTAAATCCAATCTAACAATCTCTACCTTTTAACTGAAGTGTGCTTCATTTTCATTTTATATGATTATTGACATGGTTGTGTTTAAGTCTAACAGCTTGCTATTTTTTTTATATTTTTCTCATGTTTTTGTTGTTCTGTTCTTCCTTTCATTTTTAGGGAGACTTTTAGGGCCTAACGAAATAGGTATTTTAGTATCCCATCCTATCTCCTCTGTTGACTTTTTAGCTAAAACTTCTTGCATTTGTTTATTTAGTGATTACACTAGGGTTTAAAATATGCATGCTTAACTTATTCCTTTCTACTTAGAGATACTGTTGTAATACTTCAAATAAACATGAGAAAGTTATATATAATTTAACTTTAGGATTGAAAGTTAATTTCATCCTTTAGTTAATGTTATCATGTATTTGCTTTTAAGTACATTGTAACTCTCCAATTAAAATGTTTCTTTTTTTTTGCTTTAAGGAATCAATTTTCTTTCAAAATAATCAAGAGAAAGAAGTATTTCATATTTATAATTTCTGGGTTTTTTTAACCTTTTTGTAAATTTGGATTTTTTAAAAAAAATTGTTTAAAATAATTTTTGTGGGTACATATTAGGTATATATATTTTTAGGGTACATGAGATACTTTGATAGAGATAAGCAATAAGTAATAATAGCATTGTGGAAAATGGGGTATCCATCCCCTCAAGCATTTATCCTTTGTGTTACAAACAATACAATTATACTCTTTTAGTTATTTTAAGATGGATGATTAAATTATTACTGACTGTAGTCACCCTGTTGTGCTATCAAATACTAGATCTTATTCATTCTTTCTAACCATATATTTTTTGGTACTGATTAACTATCTCCACTCCTCCCTCTTCCCCCAGCTACCCTTCCCAGCCTCTGGTAACCATCCTTCTACTGTCTATCTGCATGAGTTCAATTGTTTTGAGTTTTAGCAACCACAAATAAGTGAGAACATGTGAAGTTTGTCTTTCTGTGCTTGACTTATTTCACTTAACATAATGATCTCCAGTTCCATCCATATTATTGCAAATGACTGGATCTCATTCTTTATGGCTGAATAGTACTCCATTGTGTATATGTACCACATTTTCTTTATCCAGTCATCTGTTGGTGGACATTGAGATTGCTTGCAAATTTTGGCTATTCTGAACAGTGCTGCAACAAACTTGGGGGTGCAGATATCTCTTTGATATACCAATTTCCTTTCTTTTGGTTATATACCTAGCAGTGGGATTGCTGAATCATATTGGTAGCCCTATTTTTAGTTTTTTGAGGAAGCCCTAATCTGTTCTGTATAGTGGTTGTACTAATTTACATTCTCACCAACAGTGTGCAAGGGTTCTGTTTTCTCCATAACCTCGCTAGCATTTATTGCCTGTCTTTTGAATAAAAACCGTTTTAGTTGGGCTGAGATTGTGTGTCTTTGTAGTTTTTATTTGCTTTTCTCTGATAATCATCAGTGATGCCAAGCACCTTTTTATATCCCTGTTTGCCATTCGTGTGTCTTCTTTTGAGAAATGTCTATTCAAATCTTTTGCCCATGTTTAATTTGGATTATTAGATTTTTTCCTGTAAAGTTGTTGGAGCTCTTTATATATTCTCATTATTAATCTGTTGTCAGATGGGTAATTTGCAAATATTTTCTTCCATTCTGTGGGTTGTCTCTTCACTTTGTTGATTGTTTCCTTCACTGTGCACAAGCTTTTTAACTTGATATGATCCCACTTGTCCATTTTTGCTTTGGTTGCTTGTGCTTGTGGGATATTACTCAAGACATTTTTGCCCAGACCAACATTCTGGAAGGTATCCCTGACTTTTTCTTGTAGTAGTTTCGTAGTCTGAGGTCTTAGATTTAAGTCTTTAATCCATTTTGATTTGACTTTTGTATATAGTGAGAGATAGCCATCAAGTTTCATTCCTCTGAATTTGGATATCCAGTTTTCCCAGGATCATTTGTTGAAGAAGCCATCATTTCTCCAATGTATGTTGCTGGCACTTCTGTTGAAAATGAGTTCTGCATTACATTGTAGGTATATAGATTTGTTTCTGGGTTCTCTATTCTGTTCCTTTGGTCTGTATGTCTGTTCTTATGCCAGTACCATGCTTTGGTTAGTATAGCTCTGTAGTATAATTTGAAGTCAGGTAATGTGATTCTTCCAGTTTTGTTCTTTTTTCCCTCCGGATAGTTTTGGCGATCCTCATTTTTTTGTGGTTTCATATAAATTTCAAGATTGTTTTTTCTATTTCTGTGAAGAATGTCATGGGTATTTTGATAGGGAATGCATTGCATCTGTAGATTGCTTTGGGTAGTATGGACATTTTAACAACATTGATTCTTCCAATCCATGAACATGGAATATCTTTCCATTTTTTGGTATCCCCCTCAATTTCTTTCATCAGTGCTTCATGTTTTCAGTGTATAGACCTTTTACTTCCTTGGCTATGTTAATTCCTAGACATTTAGTTTTATTTATAGCTATTATAAATGAGATTATGTTTTTGAGTTGTTTTTCACATTGTTAACTGTTGGCATATAGAAATGCTGCTGATTTTCGTATGTTGATTTTATATCTGCAACTTTACTGAATTTGTTTCTCAGTTCTAATAGTTTTCTGGGGGAGTCTAAGTTTTTCCATATGTAAGATCGTGTCATCTGCAAACAAGGATAATTTGACTTCTTCCTTTCCAAAGTGGATGCCCTTTATACGTTTCTCTTGTCTGATTGCTCTAGCTAGGACTTCCAGAACTCTGTTGAATAGGATTGGTGAGATACTGCATCCTTATCTCATGCTGGTTTTCAAGGGGAATGCTTCCAGCTTTTGCCCATTCAGTATGATGTTGGACACGGGTTTTTCATAGATGGCTCTTATTATCTTGAAGTATGTCTCTACAATGCCTAGTTTGCTGAGAGTTTTCAACATGAAGTGATGTTGAATTTTATCAAGTCTTTTCTGTACTCATTGAGGTGATCATGTGGCTTTTGTTTTTAGTTCTGTTTAAGTAATGAGTCACATTTGTTGATTTGCATATATTGAATCAACCTTGCATCCCAGGGAGAAATCCTGTTTGGTTGTGGTGGATGAGCTTTTTGATGTGCTGCTGGATTCAGTTTGCTAGTATGTTACGAAGGATTTTTGCATCTATGTTCGTCAAGAATATTGGCCTGAATTTTCCTTTATTTTGCTGTGTCTAAACTGATTAATTAAAAATAAATGGATTAATAGCAGTGTTTTAAGACAAAACTGTAACCTATATGACTAAAATTTTATGTTTACTTAGTATTTCTCTTACATGTAGTTTAGATTTTTCATTTCTTAATAACGGAATTGCATGATTTTTCCCAAAAATCAGTTTTCATTTTGATTGATATCTATATTGTATATTTACTTTATTTACTTTGTATTATTTATGTCTTAAGGAACAGCAAATTTCTTAAAACTTAGATTATAAACTTCTGTGACCTCTTCTCCTTTTGTTCATTTCTTTACAGCACCATTTCTTTACAGCAAATATCTATGTAGTAAGGGAAGTGTGATAGTGCAGGACATCAACATTTTGGTGCTAAATTAAGATTGTCTGGATTTGGATCTCACTTCTGGCGCTCAACAACTGTGAAATCTTGATCAATTTTTCTATTTTCTTTAAGCCTCATCCATAAAATAAGGATAATCATTATGCTATCTCCTAGTAGATGTTTTAAAAGATGGTTTTAATCCATACAAAAGCACTCGACTTAATGTCTGGTATGTAGAATGTGTTAATAATATCCAGTCCTTAAAATACAATATTGATTTATTATGTAAAAAATGAAACATGAAGAGGCAGCATAGGAGAATGGAAAAGAGACAGAAAGTATCTGTTTTGCTTCTAACTCTGCCTCTTATTATTTGTGTGATCTCAGCTAAACCCTTTAAACTTTCCAGTATGCACTATCTTGTAAAATGAGCAGAAAAGGTCATCCTTGCCTGCTTCACAGTTTTGTGCAAGAATCAATCAGGCTAGCATTTTATAGCTTATATAACAATAATAAAAACAAAACTTTATGCAAAAAGGGAAATACAAACAATTTCATGAGACAGTGGGGCTGGGCATGGTGGCTCATGCCTGTAATCCCAGTACTTTGGGAGGCCAAGGCGGGTGGATCACCTGAGGTCGAAAGTTCGAGACCAGCCTGACCAACATAAAGAAACCCTGTCTCTACTAAAAATACAAAATTAGCCGGTCGTGGTGGCGCATACCTGTAATCCCAGCTACTCGGGAGGCTGAGGCAGGAGAATCGCTTGAACCCAGGAGGCAGAGATTGTGGTGAGCTGAGATTGCGCCATTGCACTCCAGCCTGGGAAACAAGAGGGAAACTCCATCTCAAAAATAATGATGATAATAATAAGACAATGATTTGATAAATTAAATGGGTCAATCCTAATATTTCTCTACCAGAATCACTCTACTATAAAAAAAAAAAAACATAAAAAAAAATAAAAAGTTTATTTCCTCAGCTTTGTCCTGGGATGATTCCCTTGTGAGCTGCCAGTTTCTTCTAGGTGAACCACTGCTTTGTGAGGAAAGATATGCTTAGTCTTATCTGAAATTTAATGAAGATTTACATATTTCATTAGAAAAATTATAAAAAAAGAATAAGTTGCACATTTCAAATATGGATACAACATGTATGCTTCATATGCACGTGGCACACGTGTGAGCATAAATGTGTGTTTCTGTTTAATGAAGAACATACTTGAAGAAGCAAACTGTAGTTATAAAGCCCAAATTGTGGAAATTTAAAGTAAGGGCTGGACTCCGATGACATTCTTAATTGCTCAAAAAGCTCTTTCGGGATATTGCCAGATGTTATGACCTCTTGCCAAAAGCATCTTGAGTTTTCCAGACATGTGTATATGATGTAGATATTTTATCCCATTTTCTAGGAAGAAGCGTTCTTGGGATAATAGTTCCAGAGGGAGGACTGGGGCACCTCTCAGTACCTGCTCTGCTGTGTGGAATCCAGTCAGGTGGTAGAACCCATACTAGTAATTTGAAGAAGGAAATTTAATATAAAGAGTTCTCAACTAGGTAAACAGTTGAGTTCAAAAAGGAATATAGAGATTTCTGTGGTTTAGTTGGGGTAGCAGCTATAGAAAGTAATCACTATCCTTAGGGTTTAGGGAAAAATAAACAAGGGAGGCAGAAAGGGTGGGTGAAATTTTAAAAGGGTAAACAGACTGCTGTTTTTAGCAGAGGAGTTTTTCTGTATGGCAATTGCTGTGAAATATGACATTCCTGAGGCCATTTTATGTCTGGGAGTTTCTGGAATACCACCTGAAATTACTACTTTAGGAGGAAAGAAGATATTTTCCCTCAAAATGTTTTGTTTTTTTTTTCTAAATCTAAGCAATGAAAACAATTGACAGAACCACAAACTGTGTGCCACAGAGTTTCACTTACCACATAATGAATTCATGGATTCCCCACTCCCCAATATTCACTGACTTGAATGTAGAAAGTTCTAGGCTTTGTCCTCTGGGAGATATAATGATGTGAATTCCTTTAACTTGGTATCTCTGAGGGGAAAGAAAAATACTTAAAAGTCACTGTAATACAAAGTAGAATGTGGTTAAGAGTTACATAAAGATAGTAGATACATGCAGAAGAAAAGTTATAATAAGAATTTCTATTTGTCTATGGGCTTTACCGTCTTCGTGGCACTTTTCGTACGGTTCATCTCATTGGGGTTATCAAAATAACTATGAATAGGCTAGATATTATTATCCCTATTTTACACATGAGGAATGCGAGGTTTAAAAGTGACCTCCTCCCAAATCTCACAAGTAATAATTGGCAGAGTAGGGATTTAAGCCATACCTCTTGAAACCCAATCACTTGGTCTTCCTAAAGCAACTCAATACTCTCAGAAAAGTGTTAAACTACTTATCATGAGTAGGACTCCATTTTGATATTGGAAGACGCAATCCATTTTCTCATTCAGAGGCCCCACACTTCAAAAGTTAAATGGGGTAGAGGAACATGTTAACTAATAGAGAACCTGCACAGAAAAGCAAGTAAAGTCCCCATCGAGGTGAAACAGTAGGAAACTTTTTGAACGGCTGAAAATGATCCCTGCAGAAGAAGTGAATAAAACTCTCAGGCTGAGGTGGGCACAGCTGGATCTCCCTTGCTAACTGCATGATTTCTGGCCTCCTTCCTAGAAACTCCCTGACATGTTTCTGGAAGCTCAGTCACAAAGTCAGGGGAAGGTTATCTGAGACAGAGCCGTTCTGATGTACTTGAAAAGATCTTCTCTTCCCCAGCCAATAGCCTGTCTCACAGCGGGCGTCACAAGTGCTGAGTCACTTGCTGAGCGAATAGCTCAAAGACAAGCTCCCATTGATCAGGCTGCCCAGAACAAAACCATTCCGGTCCCTCAAGAATTTAAGCCACTTGTAAGCTGCATTCTTTACATTCAGCTCATAACATAGCTCTGCATAGGTCCCCTTGCTCCACATAACACTTTAAATTTCTGGTCATGGGCATACACGACCTTCCGCATTCTTTTCCCTTGAATAGATGCTTTTACTCTGAAGAGTTTAAGCATGTTCTTATCTAGTTCATAGTGTTACCTGCATGCAGCCAAGTCTTGCTCCTTTTAGGGAGTGGTGTTTTTTCACCTTGAACAGTTAGCCTTTTCTTTTAGTGGCGCATCTCCCCAGAGCACAAGAAGAGCCCTCAAGGAGAGGGGCTTCGGGAAATCCATGGCTGTGCATTACCTCTTTTTTGTTCATCTCTCTCTCCTTCATCACATCTCACAGGTCATTTGTCCTGTTGGACCAAAACATCGCCATGGTAAGGAACCTTTCAGCCAGGGACATGTTGGCTAAAGACAGTTGTAAGTAACTGTTACTGGCCCATGTTTTATTTCAAAGCTGTTTGGGTCGGACTTATTTCACCCATCTCAAAAAGTTATTCCTTCTAATCCCATTAATGAATATGCTAGAGTAGAAGGCAAAATTCAGAGCAGGCAACAAAATGTAATGTAGTGGGCACAAATTAAATACTTATTCAACTGGGTTTAGATTCAATTAAGTTATCAATTTTGAAATAGAGATTTTCCACTAATATGGAAAATATTTTCAATTATAAATTCTTAATGAAGATATTCACTTTAACATTTCTTTTTTTTTTTTTTTTTGAGGCAGAGTCTCGCTCTGTTGCCCAGGCTGGAGTGCAGTGGTGCAATCTCGGCTCACTGCAATCTCCACCTCCCGGACTCAAGCGATTTCTCCTGCCTCAGCCTCCCAAGTAGCTGGGACTACAGGCACGCATCACCACACCTGGCTAATTTTTGTACTTTTAGTAGAGATGGGGTTTTGCCATGTTGCCCAGGCTGGTCTTGAATGCCTGAGGTCAAGTGATCCCCCTGCTTTGGCCTCCCTAAGTGCTGGGATTACAGGCATGAGCTACTGCGCCCAGACACTTTAACATTTTTTTAAATTGCATCATAGGGCTTAGAGATCTTTGCATATAGTAGATAATTACTATGTACCCATTATACATGAATGAATGGATGAACTAATGATGAATGTAAATTCCCACACTTGAATCTGAATAAACTTATAGACATAGGATAGAGAAATGCCTTGATAGGAGCATTTCTTTTATTTACTGTATTCTTAAAATACAATTTATATTTTAACTGAATACATTAAAAGTGCAGATATATTAGGTCAATACTTACAATACACAAATTCTTACTGTGTGTCTTACAATATGTAAAACATTGTAATAGGTTCTGTGGGGACCTCAAAGATTAAACAGACACTGAAATTACTGTAAAGGGACTTAGATACAAATCGCATAATGAAAAGGGAAGATGATCAATGATTTAAGGGGTCTGTGAAGCATCTCCTGCAGGAATTGGACATCTCTTCTGATCTCCCAAAGCTTTGGGATTCCTGTACCCATCACAGGCAATAGCGGCAAAGCAGTTCATTTCTTCCCTCTCCAATCACAGAAACGTCTGTTGTTAAGTAAGCTGTCATTCTCCTCAAAAAAAAACAACAACAACAACAAAAAAAACAAAACAAAACCAAAAAACCTCTTCCGCTGTGTCTATGAGAGAACTCACACTGCCCGGCCGTCTTCCTGAAAAGTTGTTCTTATTGCCTCATTAAATGATATGATATCCCCTTTTCTGTGTAAAGTTATTTGTCCTCTCAAGAGATGTATTTGTCTACTGTCTCCCAGTCCAGGATAATGAATTTATTTTGCACTTTCAGCTTCAATGCAGTGTAAGCAGATTAGGGTCCATCCTCACACCTAAACAGTATGATGTAAAGCAGAGCTTTCTGTTTTCTCTTCCACCACATATCACATGCTTTGTTAGCTCTTTGTCAATGTGATTAGGAAACCACACCGCTAATCTAGTGGGAGTGCAGGTGTTTTTTTTTGATGCAATGCCAATTGATTGATGGCTAAATATTACTAAATATCCCTGGGAAAACATTACCTCATACGAGGAACAAAGTTATAACCATTGCTGTATTTAACACACAAATTCCACAAGAAACCTCTTTGTTCTTCCTGACAGCTCTTGACTAATTTCATTTTCATTTTTTCAGAATAAAAACTGCATATCAGTGTTGGTTATGTTGGCTCACCACCTCCATGATATGGAAACATTCAGAACATTTATTTAAGAAAATAGGTTGTGTATTTTCACACTACCTACACACTATGGAACAGATATCTAAAACTGGTGCTGTCAGAATTCAAAAACTATGGCTGGTAGACCTGGTTGCTCAGTGTAATATGAGTAGGCACATGTATTAATTGTTCCCTAGAACAATTGTTAATGGAGTCTACAATTTATGTCACCTTATTCCTGCAATGGTTTTTAAATAAAAGGAATGAGCAGCAAGAGTATAAATATACTTGCATATTGTTTGCCAGAAAAGCTTTCATCCTTAGGTGATCTCCCATCTAGAGTCATTCTCAATGTCAGTGTTATTCTGCTTTCTCTTCTTTGATCCTTTTGTCTTTTCCTAATTGAGTCTTGTATGTCAGAAATATCCAGCAATCTGGGATATCAGAAAAAAAATTTTTAGACTACTATGACCCTTGGACCAAATTTTGAAAAAAAAAATTATTGTCATGTTAATCCCAAATATGCCAAAGCCTTCTCTTATATTTAAAGGGACCTTCCAACTTTCTATTAGATATTTTTCACTTTGAGTTTTTATTTTCTATTGCTATTATGTTAAAAAAAAAAGTCAAAGAATCAGTTTCTTTCCATAGGAAGTTATTCATATATTGTTTCAAATCCTGTTATGTGGTTTTTCGCAGCTAACATGATTTTTCATTGCTAGAGGTCAGAGGAATATACGCTAAAAATTATTACTTTGATTTAAAGTGACTCTAGAAAAATGGTCAATGGTTTATGGTGTTTCCCTGTGTGTGGAATGATGATAGGCCTGGGAATTGTATGAGAGAAGTTCAGGTAGGGGAATTGAGAGACTGAAAAGATGGAAGTTGCTAGAGGGACGGGGAGGGAGGTGAACTTCACTTTTATAATGGGGTGGAGCTGTCTATGTGCTGAATACAGTAATGCTATTACAATTCATGATTAGCATCTCCTGAGAAACTGGTTTGGATGGTCCTCTACACCCAACTGAACTGCAGAATTACAGATGCAGGAGCATATTTTCTATAAATTGTAGCCCAAGGTCTACTTAAGTGAACTTTGACATTCAATTCAAATTGGTTTTTTAGACTGACACCTCTGTCTCAAAGAGTACAATTCTGGTCTTGACACCTTCCATGTATATGTATACGTATACGTATATGTATATGTATATGTATGTGTATAGTGTGTGTCAAATCTTTGAATGCAGGGCCAAGAAGTTAGGTGAGTTTTTCTTACCAGGATTTTCTTCAAAGGCTTAAAAAATTATCAAACCCATAAATATGACTGAGCTGCCACATTTGTAGGAGAAATCATATAACCATGACTCAGTAACTTCAACTTTGATATTTATGATGCTCAGCCATGAAATCTCTTTGCCTCCTGATTCCTATGACATATGTTCTCTACTTCAACTATCATGAGCCGCATCTAAGAGCTCCTCATTTTATTGAGGCTCTAGACTCATTTAAGATCTGATAATAAGCTTCTTAACTATTTCATAGTCTCCCATTCCTAATGTAACTGTGTTTTCTGACCTCAAAATATATTGAGCACCTACTCTACACCAGGCCCTCTTCTAAGTACTGCGAGCATAGTGATGGACTTAGAACTAGTGTCCCTTTTATGACAGAGCTCAGAGTCCAGTGGGAGGAGCAGACAAGTCAGTATTTTATCTATAGTGTTACTTATATATAACCCACACACATATATGAAAATATATATGTGTATATATAAAGATGTATATAAGGATATATATGTATATATACACATATTTTTATATATGTGTGTTATTATATCCTTATATATACACACACACACACACACACACATATAAGGATATAAAGATAACACACATATATAAAAATATGTGTACTTATATGTGTATGTATATATCCTTTTATACATCCATATATACATATCCTATGTACATTTTTATATATATATGGATATATATCATATATGTGTGTGTATGTACATACGCACATATATTCACATACACATACATACATACATATATACATATCCCCCCTGGGTTTCCCTCTGTATATATTCTTAAGAGTTTCTGTAGGGAGGCCCAGGTAGTCAGAAGGAAACATATGAAGGGCTTGGTGGGGTGGTAAGAAAAGCAAGGCTCCCTAGAGGAGGCAATAACTAAGTCCCAGTCCAAGAGCAGGAGAAGTCCAATGTCCCAGCTCAAGCAGTCAGGCAGAGAGAACAAATTCTCCCTTCCTCCACTTTTTTGTTCTATCCAGACCCTCAAGGATTGAATTATTCCCAACCACATTGGGAGGACAATCTGCTTAACTCAGTCTACTGATTCAAAAGCTAAGACCTAGATGAGGAAGAGAAAGAATCACAGGTAGGGGGTTGGCAAGAAGTTGTTCTACGCAGAGGATTTTTCATTTCCTGATCCAGAGTCTGATACTTCACCAATCACCATGCACTCACAAGGCCCTGCAGTTTGCACTACAGGAATCTCATGGCACTGTAACAGAATAAAAATTGTAAATTCTGACACTCACAGGCTAGTGGGAAATCTTGCTTATCTGTTTCAACTACTGCTAAGATAGAGTTCAGAGACACGGTGGGATCTATTTGGAAAGTGATCCAGCTTGCAATATTAATTACAGACACTATTGTCTTAGTAGAGCCCTTCCTCTTCTGGGAGAATACTAATCACAGTGATGCTAACTCACACTTATTATTTATTGCTAAGGCTTTATATATGTATTTTTTTCTTTTAGCTTCAGAACAGGTCTGGATAGTAGATTTTATTGTTGTTACTATTTTACAAGTGAGAAAATCTGAAGCTTATGGAAGTTAAGTCAATAGCTAATAAATGGCTAATAAATACAAGAATTAATATTTACAACCAGTCACCCCACTGGCCTGCACTCTTACCTACTAGATTCTGCAGTAAGGAGTGGTTGGGTACATTTTATCACTTGAAGAGCTAAATAAAGATTTTTCACGTTCAAGGAGAATACATACTCAGGCTTCAGTGACCAACCCAAGTATTATCTTTTTAAATACCTTCCCTGCTGTGTCGAGTGAGAATTATTTTGTTTATCTTCTTAACATGGGGTGTGGCACACACTAAGGTAGAGTATTAGCTGAATGGGAAGTGAATAAATGTATTTCTATCACACTTAATATTAATTTATATCATAGTTGATCTTACATTGAATTATGAATATGGTAATGTTTATACATTTATTTGTATGTTAGACTATGAATTTCTTGAGGAAAAAGATCAATTTTAATCCTATTTTATGCCATCATCCTGCACAAATCTTGGCAGGTACATATTCAGTAAATGTATACTAAACAAGTGAGTGACTTGGAGAATAAATGAGTCAATGAATGGATGAATGAGAGGAAAGGATCTTAGAGATGAGTGCTAGCATGGTCAGAAATCCAAACAGTGTCAGTGTGTACACTAAACATCTCTGAGCACTTATCTCATTTTCTTGCATATAATAGCTCTGAGAGAGGCCTGTAGGACTTTTCAAAGATCCTTGTGATTCTTTTCAGGTTTTTTCGGGCTACATGACTAGTTCTGGCAGTAAATGAAGTGGAATACGCCACTTTCGGCTTAGGTAAAGAGGAGGCACTGGGCAGGGACATGCTGGCCTTTTGAATCTGAAGAGGCGAGCCCTACCACTGGGCCGGTGATGGGAGTGGCAGCCCAGATTACCTCTGAGTAGCCTTCACATCATTCTTCTCTTTTTTAAGGAATAGTACATATTTGCAGCCTTAAGTTTTTCTCTTGTATTTTACTATAAGCATTTAGGAAGAACCAAGCCACTCCTTCAACACTTTGCTTGGAAATCTCCTCACCTAAATATCCAATTTAATCACTCCAAGTTATATCTTCCACAAAACACTAAAACACAAATATAATTCAGTGAAGTTCTTTGCCACTTTATAATGAGAATTGCCTTTTCTCCATTATCCAGTCAAATGTTCCTTCTTTTCACCACAGACCTCATCAGAATTGTACCTGATGTCCATATTTCTACCAACATTCTGTACAATATTAATGTATTCTCTAAGAAAACAAAATCTTTCTCCTCTTTTCTTTGAGTCCTCACCAGAATCACATTTAACAACTCCTTCATAGCAATATTGGTTTTTCTAGCATGCGTCTCAAAAAAACTCTCCCAGCCTCTACCCCTTACCTAGTTCCGAAGCCTCTACTATATTTTCAGTATTTGTTATAGCAGCACTCTATTTCTTGGTACTAACTTCTGTAGTCAGAGTTCTCCAGAGAAACAGAACCAATAGGATGTGTGTGTGTATAATTCCTTATAATAAATTATATTATATAAATTAAAGTGTACACAATTTATTATAAGGAATTAATTTACATGTTTATGGAGGCTGAGATCCCAAGATTGGCTGTCTATAAAGATGGTGGCTCAGGAAAGCCAAGGGTGTGATTTCAGCCCAATTCCGAAGGCCTGACAACAAGATTGCTGATGGCCTAAGTCCCATTCCAAGAGCAAGAGAAGTCCAGTGTCCCAGCTCAAGCAGTCAGGCAGAGAGAACAAATTCTCTCTTCCTCTACTTTTTTTGTTCTATTCAGACCCTCGAGGATTGAATTATTCCCAACCACACTGGGAGGGCAAACTACTTTACTCAGTCTGATTCAAATGCTATTCTCACCTGAAACATCCTCACGGAACATCCAGAAATAATGTTTAGCTGAATATGTGGACACTCTGTGGTCCAGTCAAGTTGAAACGTCATATTAATAATCACAGACTAATGTAAGTATTCAATTACTGTTGAATGAAAGAATAGGTAACACCATTACCCATGGCATTAAGACTGACCTCACTGACATATGGATCATGGCACCAAATTTTGTTTCATACTCTATAGTTCAGAGTTGTGTGGCCTTTTGAAAACAATTATGTTGAAGCCCTAGTGTGTTAGGCAGTGTCTAGAAGTGTAAAGGTTCTTCTGCTTAGTCCTCTGACCTGAGTAACTGCAAAACATGCAAGTTGTACTATCTCCTGGTTAAACTATAAGAAGGTTATAAAAATAAAGCAAAGCAAAATCTCCCCGGGGGTTAAGTGTGGGTTGCATGTTAACACTGGCACATTAATTGTTTATGCCTTGCAAAGAGCTGTAGCAAACAATCTTGCCTAAAGTTTAGCCAGTCTGCAAACTGAGTGTTTGGCTCACACAATTACCTGTGGATCTGTGCCAGTTGTCATCAGCATGAAGTCATTCATTTGTTCATCATATATTTAGTGAGCACTTACTCAGGACTACTAAAATGGCTAACAAGCAAGATTAATTACAATTTTTGTTCATCCTCCTTCATCTTTGAACTTATAGGCCAATTTTAATTCAAAGCAGTGAAACTTATGCAAGGTCTACAGGCAAGGGATAACTCTTATAGCTGACTTGGCCTAATTGTGGTATTTCTCTTGCTTCTGTTTATGTTCATAAACAGTGGTTTGAAGGCACTTGGAATCTTAGTTTTCTTATCAGAGATCTGATTTATTTGGAGAGTTGGACCTCAGTTTTTATGAAAAGCTCAACGGCATTGGTTGTTTTTTAGGCATTAAGTAAAATCACCCTGAAGGTATCCCACTAACCCTCTAGCTGGCTGAAGTGTGTTAATTTGAGTACGTAATTCATTCTGATGGAATAAATTTGTTGCAACTTGTTGAATGCTTATTCTTTAGCAATAAAGGACTTACGCACATCCTCAGTGATTTCTGATGAAGTCTTTATGTTTCTTGGCTACAATTATTGCTATTTTCAAGTACTATTTTTAAAAAGATGTGTGTGGCAGGGAGGTGCTTATCAATTATTATATTTCCCTTTGATTTTAAGGTGTTGGGACCTGGTGGTGCCTTTGACTAAATCATATAATATGACCCCACAGGGCTCTAAGGCTGTGGAAGGAGCTGCCCTCCAGCTCAGGGGTCCCCACTAAAGAGGTTAGGCAGTCAGGAAAAAAAGGAAGAGGTATGTTTATTGCCTGTGTTGGGTAATCTGATGCCTTGGGGTGAAATGAATAGAAGTCAGACAACCTTTCTATAAGTTCCTTTGGATGGGAGCTGGCAGAATCTAGAACTGGCAGCTTTTCATCATGGAATATCCATTAACCTTGTTTATCTCTGGAAAAACACTGCTGTATTTCCACAGTCTGCTGCTGGTCAAAGAATGATACAAGAAATCATCTTTGAGTTCAAGGGAAAGGATGAGCTTTTTAGCCCTTGTGAAAATACAGTCTTGGGGTGCTGATTTTTCCTCTTTATTCTGAGATAGCAAGTGGCATGCAACAGAATATGATCGGAATACAGATACCTGATTCAGAAATGCCCTCCTTAGATTCTGGTAGCTACAAACCAGAGACCTCCTATGGCCAGACCCTAGCTTCTTCTGGTGTCTGCAGTTGATATTTGTACTTTGGAAGCTAAAGCTGAATGTAGGATTCAAATTCTTACTCTGACTTCCAGGTTTTTTTTTTTTTTCCCCTTGACATAATGTCCCAGAACAGTGCTGCTGGACTGCAAGACTTCTAGTTCTTTCTCTGTGGTTCACCCTACATCTATGTGTGACATTTCTATATACTCAGAACTATAAAGCATTCTCATTTGTCTTCAGAGCAAACAATAGGTGTTTTATGTGAATGTTTATTAATGAAAGAATCTGTATAAGAGTTTAAAAAGGGAGAGTTTGATTAAACTTGTGAAACTTGTTATTCACAGAAACAGGTATTAAACGTGAAAGTAGGCTACAGTATGAGGTTTTAAGTCACCAGGTGTAGCAATTTTCAAATAAGAGAGGAAATCATTTTCTTGGAGGATTAACTGCTATTTCATCTTGAGACAATTGAGGTGGTTGAAGGAGGATGCTGTTGAATCTGATGCAGAAATTAATAATTCTCTAATTTAAATGTAATTAATTTATAAATATGTCCTTTTAGAAAATACATTGAAAGAGCTTAATTTCAAAATATTTTAAAATGAATTATAGAATATGGACTTGGACAAATAATGTGCTAGTTATATACTTTGTCCCCTAGTCTCTAATCAGCACAGATTGAGTCAGTTTTAAATAGCAATTCTTAAAACAAAATTCGAGGAAGAAGATGCCACAGAATTCTGTGGTATGTTGCTTAACAACAATTATATCAGGAAACTCTTACTCATACCTAAACACAAGCCCAGTATTCTATATTTTAAATGTGTTTTTCTCCAATAAATGGTCAAAAAATCATGTTTATGTATAATGTAATTAAATATAACATACAGTTGTGTATGTTGCCACACACATAGGCTTGATTGTATTAAAATGCAACATTAGAAGAATAGCATTCTTTATAGTCGCATATTTTTGCTTGACTGGTCACATTTGATGAATAAAGGGTATTTCAATCTTCGAAATAAGTTTATGTTCTTATGCTGTTGGCTGTCTTATTAAATGTCCATGAAAGGCAAGCTTAAGGATATGTAAATCTAGCTTTGAATATATATGTAGCATTTTCAGTGGGCCATTGTACTGATTATTTTCACACATTACATCACTTAATTTCTATAATATTCATGTGATACAAGAATTGCCAATGCCATTTTATAGGCATATTCCATACAGAACTTCGATGCCCACCTTAAAGTCCAGCTAGCTGAAGATTTTTATGCCAAGAAATGCAAACACAAAAACAAAAGGTCTTAAAGAGTGATAAAGACTCTTGTGTGACCTAGACAGACAATTCTGTCTTCATGATTGGTTCATTTTAAAAGAAAATGAAGCAAGAAATCTGAACAAATAAAAATAAAATCTTCTCTATATGGGAGATCATTGGACTGGAATGAGAGTCAAGAAATATAATAGTACATCAACTCTGTGACCAGCTCTATGTGTTGTATGGAGCCACAGTTTTTTTCTCTATCTATAAACTCAATATAATGGCCATAATTAATGTATGTTAGATGCTTTGACCATGACCTACAGTCATAAATACATTTTATATTGCAACTCATTAAAATACACACACGCACGCACACACTCTCTCTTTCTCTCTCTTTCTCCCCCTTTCCCCAAAAGTTTTACCAAACACTCCTTCCTTACTATGTCTGATGCATTCTGGTATTTTCTACTTTGTTCTATTTCACCTTTAAAAATCATGTTTGTGACCCACTAAAATGATTTTACAACCCACTGAGGGATCTCTTCTTGAACTTTAAAAAATGCTTTTAGCTCTTAAAAACAAATCATAGTATATTAATCTTGTATTTTATTATCACTCAAAAAACAAACCCATCCATGCCAATCCTCACTCCAAGAAACCACCAATGGAAATAACTGCTCTATTTATATATGTTCAAAAAACTAGAGATAAAATTTAACTGATGTTTTCTATGTTTGAAAAATGATCTATATATTTCAGGGAAAAAATAGTGAAACTCTGAGCTATTGAGTAATACAAAAGGAACAAAAGTCAACATTATTCATTGAGCAAATATGCTTATTAAGGTATCTGAAGCATCATAACAGGAGGTGGCTATAAAGGGTGTGGAACACAGTGTTTTATAGTACAGGACTTAAACATTCGTCATTATTAATGGCAATAAAAGAATTGATAGACTCTTTCACTACATCTTTTATTTAAAAAAAGGAAGTAATCATTCATTCCCTATATACTTGCACAACATTTGTAAGAAGAAAACTTTATATTTCTAATAATATGAAAATAGACATTCCAAGAATTAAAGCCAGTTTCTTCAAGAATGTACTCTTGTTTCCCAAGTAACTTTTATACTCTTTAATATGTGTTTGTGTCACTAAGAAATCTGAGTTTATCATTGAATACTGGATCAGTTACCCATTCCACAGTGTTTGTTGAGCTCCTTCTGTCTGCCCAAAACTGGGGATACAAGATAAATAGTACTGATGAAATTTCTGCTTTCACTAAGCTTACATTTCTATGAAAACTCAGTGAATCTTCACATCTTTTCAGTAAGATAAGTTGCTTTGGCATTTTTTTAATTCCAATTTTTATTTTAGATGCAGGGATACCTGTGCAGGTCTGTTACATGGGTATGCTGCACCCAGGTAATGAGCTTGGTGCCTAATAGGTAGTTTTTCAACCTCCCCCTCCCTCCCTTCTCTAGTAGTCCACAGTATCTATTACCCCATGTTTATGTCCATGTGTGCTGAGTGTTTAGCACCCACTCTTCATTTTAATACACACATATAGACTAAGAAATATTAACAAAACCATGTACAATTTAATGCATATTGAATAAGCCTCAGAACTTGGAGCAATCACTTAAGATGAAGGAATTGCATGTGGGCAAATCTGAATATTTGGTGTATTACAGTTAAAAATGTGATTTACTTTGGATAAAAGTGGCTCAGCACTGAGGAATGATGAAGAATGAAACTGGTGAAGTGTTAAAGACTGGAGTGATATCTGATAGATAAGTGGTGTAAGGGACAGTAGAATAGCGGGTATTCCTATGGCAGATAAACAATAGACAGCCACTCTAAGAATGGGGCTTAAAACTTGGGTTTCCATGGAGGGAGTTCATGAGTTTGGAAAGAAACATATATTTCACTAACCTCTAACTGAAATTTGCCGTTTTCTTCATTTATGAATGTCGGCAACACATCGCATCTGAATTATTTCCTATGACTTTGTTACAAATACAGATCATAGATCTTTCCATATTCTGTTATGGTGGCTAGAGATATCTTGAAATATCATTTGTGCTATCAGCATATTTAAATTATGGTGCTTATAGGTTAAGTACTAAATCATGTTAATGTAATAATAGGGATTCATATAAATTATATGAATTGTATATTTGCACGCCCCCACGAAAAAAGCTCTATATTTCTATATTGATTTCCCTGCAGATTTTTTTAAATTATAGCGTTCACAACTACAGAACTAATTATGTTTTATATCCTCTTTGAAGCTACACTAATTCCTACCTTAATTATCATCACCTGCTGAGGGTAAATTTTGTTTTAAAACATTTTTGAGAACTGTATTTCAGTGTGATTATTTTACTTGTAATCTTGTGTATTTTATGTTACATATTTAAAGATATTATTTCTGAAAGGGGTCCTCAGGATCTGCCAGACTTTCACAGGGGTTCCTGTCTCAAAAAGGGTTAAGCTCTTCTGCTGTAAGCAAAAGATGACAAACTCAAATGCCTACAGCACAGGCCTCAAGAACTGACTGAAGAAAGAGACCCACTAGAAGGCCAGTATAACAATCTAGAGAAAAAAAATTAGGGGGAATTTCGTGGGGTCCCAATAAATAACAGCCCCATTTTTCACTTAAATTTGGATCCAACTGAAAAAAGAAAAGACAAATAATAAGTCAGCTAGAGTTCAAAGTATCACCATTTCAATGAACACACCTGATATTAGAGAATGTGGCTTATTTCTTGGCTGTCACAACTCTAGGGGCCCTAGGTGAGAGAGGTAAGAGGACTGTAAAGTAAAGATGCCTCCTGGAGTCCTGGAGCTTTAACCCATTCAGCAATAGCATGCTGCAGCCTGCTTCATCTCCACCACTACAGACACTGATTCCTGCTGGACTTAAAGCAACTTACCCAGCAGGGCTGGTTTGGGCAGGCTTCCTCCTGCTGAGATGAGATTTTTCTGCAGGAGGCTTTGAAATGGGTCAGAACAATGCAGTAATTAAATGGACTCCAAGGCCAAAAATATTCTTTCTATTCTGTTTCCCTTGCTCAGTGCTGTCCTGCTACAACTGTTCAATATAATCTATTGGAAGTAACTGTCCAATATAACCTACTGGAAGTTATGAAATAAAATTAAGTGAAAATGCAGAGAGAAACTCCACGAATAAAATGCCAAGAAAGCGAGGATGCCCCAAATTTGAATATAGTTCCTCCCTCTGTGAAATTCTCTCAGAAGAATTAAAATCGATACATTAGTCCCTTCGCAAGTTTAAGTCTAATGTTAACAAAACCCAAGTGAATTAAAGTCTGAATCAAACTCTACTGCTTTGGTGAATTAAAAGCCCAACCCAACGTGACTAATTATATACTGACTTCCCATTAAGGGTTGGGGTGAGGGGTCTCCACAGTGTTAGCAGAGTGAGGGGTCCTGCCAGGGCTTGCAGCTGGGGCTCGCTCTTCTTGAGGCTGGTGTGGTTCCTGCAGGACTGCAGAAAATATATGCTGGGTTTCTGATGACTTTACTGATGAAAAGTTTCAAGCAGTTATTATTTTCACTGGTGGGCCACACCTACCATATTGAGAAAAGAAGCCAAACCTCATCCTCTAAAGCAATTATCCCAGAAAAAATTACATTCTCAGAATGTGGGGCTTAGTATATTGTCAAAAACTATGGCCCCAGATGCAATGTCAACATGAAGGGGAGGCTGAATGAGTCCTGGAATGGTAGATGGAAGAACCTCCTCCCAAACATATCCACATCCTAATCCCATGGACCCTGTCATACGTTACTTTGACTTTTCAGACATCATTAAGGATTTGAGATGGGCAGATTATCCTGGATTATCTAGAAAGGCTCCATATAATCACAAGGGTCCTTATAAGAGGAAGACAAGAGGGTCAGAGTTAGAGAGATTTACAGCTGCTACGCTACTTCCTTAAGGATGAATCAAGGAATACAGGTGGCCTCTAGAAGCTGGAAAAATCAAGGAGATGGATTTTCTCCTAGATGCTTCAGAAGGCCTGCAGCCCTGTCAACATCTTGATTTTAGCCTAGTAGATCCCACTTGGGACTTCTGACCTCCAGAAGTGTAAGATAATAAATTTGTGCTGTTTTAGGTCACTAAGTTCCTGGCAATTTGATACAGCAGCAAAAGAAAACTAATAATACAGTTGATTGAGAGCTTGTATTCTGGGGCAAATCCAGCCTGTATTCAGATCCCTGCTCAGCCACTAACTAAATATGTGGCCTTGCTGCCTACTAGCATAGGCTGAGGTCCCTGAATCACTAGCATGTGTGTGATAAGACAAGTGGCTTGTACTGTTTAGGGGAAAGACTTCACCATGAGATTCCCTGCATCCACTTAAGGCAGGCCTTTTCTAAGTCTCGTGCAATTGGTGTCTGCTGATGACATTCCTGCACATGTGACTTGGCTGAGCCCCAGGCTTTCTGAGTCCCCCAGCCACTACTTTGTCAAAGCTGAATTGTCCTGGTATTTTCCCTGAGTGTTACGTCTTTGTTGAGGGCAATGGAATCTTGCTTTAGGCTGTCACAATCTATAAAACAAACAACTACATATAAAAAACAGTCCATATAAAGCTACCACTGGACAAGCTGTAATTATCTGTCGGGGTTGAAATATTATGTCCTAAAGCCTAAGGCCCCTTTTCCAAGTCATAGAATTTTTAAAAAGCCAAGTGTGAAATTATAAAAAGCAACCTTATGAGCTAATAAAAGCCTCCGCAATCCACTAAGGTCAAAACATCTCTCTCATGCACACAAAAAAATCCAAAGCCCAGAACCGCTCAAGATCATTTAATGTTTGTTTTATTTTTCCCACTTCAGCCATTTGTTATGTTTCTCAGTGTTTCCAACCAATCCACCAAATGTTAGACTATTCTAAGGAAAGTCCTTTTTTTGTGGCCAAATTCAAACACAACTGAGAAATAAGACAAAGGAATAAGGCAATCATACACCAAAACATCATCTTTATTACCGATAAAGCTGAAGTTACAGGATGTGGCTTATATATGCTGTCAAGGGGTGAATGAACGGGACTCTGGTGAGAGGCCAGAAGTACAGTGATAATGTATGATCCTCCACATGGAAAGAGAGCAGCAGTTGCTAAAGCTTTCACCCATGACGGGGATAAAAGCCTGCCTTAGTCTGCTGTGGTAAAGAAGACTCAACTCAGGCAAGAAGTTACATACCCTGTTCAGGTGGATTAGGTGCAATGGTTTTGACTGACACACAGGCCACTTCAAATGGCTCAAGCACCCATCCCATGGACTTCCAGTCCTTCTGAAATCATCGTGTGAGATGAGTAAAAATGTTCCAGTGTAGTGGAAAGAAAGCTTTGTGATACCAGTCAGGTGATGATTATTTTTTTACTGTGGTGTGAGCAAGCAATGAATGCAAGAAGCAGCCCTTTAGGTATTGTTATGTAATTAACATGACTAATAAAGACATAAATCACAACTACCTGGAAGATCCTGTTGGAGGTGACACTGGATTAGCTATAGTATTTGCAGAACCCTCATGAACTATAAAAATAAAATAGCATAAAACTTATTCCTAAAGCTCATTTATAAGGTGAATTTTTGGCTTTTGTTCTTATTTGGGAAGAGACTTGCCTATTTTTACACAGAATTTGATTTTCTAGTTCACATTCATTTCATTGTGCAGTGAAGATATTAGCTGAAGTGTGAAGGTCAGTTTACGTGCAAATGCCTTAGCGTGGAAGTTTGTGGCAAGCTATGCAGGTGATGAGATTGTCAGTCCCCAAAGAGCCTGGAACAGGTTAGGATGGAGCTGCTAAGAGTGTGTTTACAGCTGACATGCTTCCTCTGGTAAATCTGGATCATGCTCACTCCAGAAAAGCACACTCCTCTGCTTTATAGGTTGTGCTTCTCAAGACTTCTGGGGTTATTTTCATTGTCAGCTATAGCTTGAAAGCTTAGTTATGACTTGCTGATCTGATGCCCTAGCCTATTTGTGTTCTCTGGTGATGTCTCAGAATAATTCATGCTGTTGGGCTTCCTGCATCTGAAACTCCTTGGTACATATGGGCTTGGCAATGGACAGAGCTCAGGTGTAACTGAAACCCCAGAAAGCTGCTTTTTTGCTGACATAAATCAAGGATGTTGATTTCGAAGAAAAAATTTGGATAGCTTAAAAGAAGTCCATCACCATCATTGAAAAGCCTAGACAACCTGTGTGTTCAACTGATACTCAGCCAGGAGCTGTCTCTCCAGGAATCCAAAAGAATTAAAAGGAAGCATTGTGCTATTTAGAATTATATTCAAAAAGCGTGAAGCCGCTACTTTAGATCTATAGAACCTTTAAAATTGTTGCAATATTTTAGGTTATATCTTTGTGTTCTTTCAAATGGGTGTAATATTTTAGATTTTATTATTACATTATTTGAAATGGTTGCCTTATTTTAGGTTTTTTTTTTTTTTTTTTTTTTTTTTTTCCCTGAGACGGAGTCTCGCTCTGTCGCCCAGGCTGGAGTACAGTGGTGCGATCTCGGCTCACTGCAAGCTCTGCCTCCCAGGTTCACGCCATTCTCCTGCCTCAGCCTCCCAAGTAGCTGGGACTATAGGCACCCGCCACCATGTCCGGCTAATTTTTTGTATTTTTTTTTAGTAGAGACGGGGTTTCACCGTGTTAGCTAGGATGGTCTCCATCTGCTGACCTCGCGATCCACCCGCCTCGGCCTCCCAAAGCGCTGGGATTACAGGCGTGAGCCACCGTGCCCAGCCCCTATTTTAGGTTTTATCTGTTTATTCACTTCCATTTTTTTCCCCAGGGAGGATTGCTGGTGATGCAGATTCCTTGTGAAAATTACTGATTTCACTATAGTAATAGTGAAATAGTAATCCTTTCACTATAGGAAAGGATGAGTTTTGATGATCATTTCCTGTGCTTGGGGTACTACTTCTTTATTTATTCTTGGGAATTTTTTTTGTATAGTATCCTCAGAATCCAATAGAACTAGCATTTTAAACAGCAGTGCAAATGTAACAGCAAGTGCTGAAACCAACCAGGTTGAAATTCCACAGCTTCTTCATCTCACCAATGACAATTTGATTTTACTTCAAAGTGGCCATGGCTCTTGCGGTAACATACTACTTCGAAGGCTGGTTTTGTGTACCATGATCTCCAACTGCTTCAAATGAGCACCTATTGCTGTCACCCCACCCAGATGTACCTTAGTGTGCTGGAAACCTGTGCTCATTTCTTAGATATGGAGGTGTTTGTGGACTGAATCATTCTGACTAGTTACTCTCCATCTGGTGCTTTGTCTATTTCGTTTCCTCTTTTGGTTCAGTCTGGAACAAGGCCAAGAAACCAAAGTTCTTCTCTGGAAAGGACTTTCTCTGCCATGGCAGGGAGGAATGGGTATGTCTTCATATAGTGCCTGGGGGCAGCAGGATATCCTGGCAGGGTGTGTGGCTGTCCCTTCCAGGGAAATAGCTATGGGTTTGTTCTCTACACCCAGAGTTGGAGAATGGCTAATCACACAAAAATTTGAAATAGTTACTAAAGAGAGAGACATTACTTTGGGTGGCTCATAAGAAGTTGCCGTTATTATTCGAGAATAGTGTCTTGGACTGACTCATCATGGCTTTAGAGCTTGGGTTAAAGTGTCTGCCCAGCACAGTGCTACCCTAAGCATAGTGCTTAGTGTTGCTCCCTTAGAAATTCTTCCCTCAAAGCATCCTGGGGGTCAGCTCAGCCTCAAGTCACTTTGGGACCTCAGGGACAGATTTTGGGGGGTGGTAAGAAATGGCAACCAGGTTGGGTGTAGGATGACCCCTGAGAAAAGCAGTCAGAAGTCCAGAATATTATATCCCAAAGCACTGGAAATCAGGCTGACTTCACTGTTTTTGTTCCTGGACTATGGTCAGGTAAGTAGGGATTGGTGGAAAGGGTTCTTGCAGCAAGAATACTGAAAATTAAATGAATTATGGCTTTGTGGATCTATATAGATAGAACTCCAATTGGAGATCCAGGTGAGGGGTCTGCCATAAACCAAGGTATCTGACAAACAGGCAAGGCCCTAGGCGAGACTCTGGACTCAGCAGGGAAAACCAGAGCCTGAAGCAGGTACACCAGGCTGAAATCAAACCGACAAGGAGAACACAATAGGGCAGTAAAGGAAAGCTTGACTCAGTTTGTGCATGGGTTCCCATGCCTCATCCCTGGGACTAGGTAGAGTAGGGCTCCTCAAACTCAGCGCTGTGAACAGCTGGGGCTGGACAGTACTCTGTTGGTGGGGGGTTACCCTCTGCATTGTAGGGTATTTAATGACATTCCTCACCTTTACCCACTAGGTGCTATTAATTAATATTCCCTCAGCTGTGACAACCATAGATGTCTCCAGACATTGACAAATATCTCTGGGTGGAAAAAGTTGCCCTAATTGGAAACCATTAGTTGACAGCAAAAGACTAATTCCTGTCAGCACTGACTGGTGGGACCACTTTCTTGATCAGAATTGGTTCAGGAATAGGCACAGTTGAATCTGTCAATTAAGGCTCTCTGGATCTGCAGACAAGCAGGGCTAGTACTTGACAGAAACTGTCCAAAGACCTTTAGCACTAAAATGAGAAAAACCATTAAGTGTTGGAGAGGAGAAGGCTATCATTGTGTTTGGAGTTAAGAAGAGGGTGGAGAAGGAAGATGAAGATGTCAGGGTGAAGTTAGGTCTATAAGTCTGAGCCAAGTTGAGAGCTTATGGTAGAGGCCACGCCTGCTCCATTGGGCTTGTCTAGACCAAGACCTATTATTCAGAACCCCCAGTCCTTGCCATTTGGTGCACTTTGGTATCCAAATCCTACATTTTGATAGAGCACTGAGCAAAGGCCTAGGTGGATCTTTGATGATGAAGTCCGTGCTTGTCACTCCAACTTGATGATCCACTCTCTTCCATATGGCTGTCTGGTTCATTATGAGAAGGCTTACAGGAGGCTACAATGGCAACTTTCCAGCAATATGAATGCTTTGAAGGCTCAGATGAACTCTGTTAAGAGAAGAATGCCCAGCAAGGTCCAGGATAATGTTTATGCTGAATCTTGTCCAAGTTTCTCTTCCTGGGAAAGATATTAGCTGACTCTGGAGCTAAGTCTAAGTTGAGGCCAGTGAGACCTGTCCTGTAGCTTCATCCCCATAACAATGGTTGATACTGGCTTTATTCATGGCTTCCTATCTACTGTTTCCAGAGATGATCTTTCACAGTCTTCAATAAGCCTTCAACTCTCAGGAATTTTACCATTTCTAAATTCAGGATTTCTGCTATTTCCTGTGGTTATATTGGCCCTATAAACAGCACATCTTTCTTTTCAGTGAAGAAATTAAATGTCACATAGTCTGCTCTGAGAAAAGAGCCAAGTTCAGGGCAGAGACTACCTTCCTGGGTACCCCCCAAGAAGGAGTCTTGATCACTTCTCTAAACATGCCCTGGATGTTCCCAGAGCTCATGAAAACGCTGCTCTCCAGTGGTGCTAGCAGCTCTGATGAAGGCTAAGTCCAAGCTCTGAATTCAGGAGAGCAGAGCTGCCTCCTGCTCCCACCACCGTGGTTCTCAGGCAGTAATGGTGAGCATGGCATTTAAGCACAGTATGTGGCAGATGGCAGGAATTTAATGCATAATTTTGTTTGTAAATTGAAAATGAAGTAGTGTTCCTTATAAGACTTCAGGGTATTGGGAGCTTTAGGTAATTGCAAATGAATTTCATGGGGCTTTGCATGGGGTTAAGTTTCTTTCTACCTTCTAAGAAGATCCATAGCAGCACAAGCTGACTTTTCTTAACTGAGATCAGGAAGTCATCAACTAACAAACAGGGCGGCGGCATTTAGCCTCTGCTGTGTACTATCTTTATGTTTGTTTGTTTGATCCCTAGGATACAGTACTATTTAGTTAGAGGAAAACATTTTTTCTACTTGAATATGTTTTTATCAGGTTTCTGATCCATTAGGCATTCTCTTCTTACTGATAAACATTTGCAGGCAGATTGTAAAACTACATTTGGAGGGGCAATGGGGGTAGAAATTTGCTTAAATTTTGTGCATTCCTTATTTTTGTACTCTCAAAATTTCCTACACTCTAGATTTACTTAGAGTTTATTTTATATATTTACATGCCTATATTTTCTTTAAGTAATTTTTTTGTATTGGTTTGAAGAGTGTGTATGAAAGGGAGGGGGAGAGATAAAGACACACAGAGAGGGTTTTGCTTTCAGTGCCTCAAAAGGCTTAACTTGGTTATTCAGGAATGATCTCAATTTTGTTTTGCACATATTTCACTCTGAATTTTATCCAGAAATTTAAGGTTACAATAACTCTTCTGTGGTTAAAAGCTGTTTTAATTCTAGGAATCTCAGTCTGAATATACTTTAAGGAAAGAAAAAGTCTAATATATTTGGTACTGAACACTTAGGTCCTAATTTTCTGTTCTGCCCTTATGCATTATGCAATATTTTCAGTGGGTTGGCGTTCTGCTTGGTGACCTTTGAAACATGCAGGCACCATCTTGAAATGAGGACCAACAGAAGTTCTGTCTTTCCTGTTTACTGTGCTCGCTTTCCAGGACTTCTTCCTGACAGTGTGTCTCAAACCCTGAAGGTTGACAATGAACACTCATAGAAAAAAAGATAGAAATTTGTTTGTGGAAGTGGGTATCTGAAGGGTTGCGGTTGATAAATTATTGCAAAATGGTGAGGAGATTATCTGAAATCGATCAAAAGTTATAACGATGGTTGTGGATGGGTGTGGCCCATCACACACATGGTGAACTACACTAGCTGGTAGGCGTCTCAGGTTTGTGAATGTGTGGATTTTGTGGATCCCACATAGCTCAATTCAGCTGAGTGCAGTTTCCTGGGTTCATCTAATACTTTTTGCAGATAAAATTGCAGAGAGTAAACTTGGCATTTACATTATGCTCAAATTGTTTCCTGATATTTCACTTACACTGAAACGAATGCAGTTTCAAAATAAGAATTTATAGCTAAACCAAGCGTATAACTATGATGATCACAGCTAACATATCTTGAGCCCTTGTTATGTGCCAGGCACAATTCCAAGCTTTTGACATGTATTAATTAACTCATTAAGTCCCGTTAGCAACTCTTGAAGTAGGTACTATTGTAACCCTTATTTGTAGATGAGTACACTGAGCCACAGAGGGGTGAAACAACTTGTCCAGGTTCATAGAACTACATGGGCAAGACTCCAGCTCCTGTTTTATTCACTCTGCTCTTCCTCCCTCTCTATTGAAAGGAAAGTAACTACTTTTGGATGCTAAACCTCAACTTTACAGAGTAGCAAAAACTATCAGATGTTCTTGGCCTATCATTTGCCACCTGATATTAATAGGAAAATGTCTTAACTCCTTCCAGCCAGCAGAACACTCACTGAATATGACTTAAGGGGATTGATGATGGAGGAACTGTCTAAGCTATGTCAGAAGAATCCAATGTGTTAACTCACTTTTTGCTTTAGTCTCCTTTCTTTCCAGGGCAAGATTTTCACTATGTGCTAATGGAAAGCAGTGGGCAGGGGAAGGGCAAATAAATGACTACACAAAGGTACATACCTGTACTTGGCCAGGGTGGATCTATATTTGGTAAGATTAAGCCCTATTGTATTTTCATGTCTAACAGTTACAGAATTGAAACTTGTCCCTCAGGACAGGAATTTGCTATCTACATTCCAACATTCCTTGTCTTCTGAGCAAAACCACTGCATTGATGTCATCTAATCCTCTTGTTTTTATATTTTCCCTCTTAGCTTGGTACTGTCTCCTTTCTTCTCTGGCCATTCTACCACACTATAATGGAAGGTTTTTGTTTTGTTTTGCTTCATTTTGTCTCCCCCACTCCTTTTAATTTGTCTTTGCTGGTGAGGGTAGTGGTAGTAGGCAGGAGTACGTTGGGAAGAGCAGAGAAACAAAACCACTCTAGGCTTTGAGAAAATTAAAAATTTGAGGTCCATTCTCATTTATTCTTCTTATTAAAAATATATCTTTGTTTGCAACTGTTACATAAGTCTCAAATTACTTAAAAATTGAAAGTCTCAAAAATTTCCTTTTGATTGTATAAAGGTTATTTAAAAAAATAATAAATATTCTCACATACAACCAGAAATGATAACAATTACCCCAAGCAGTGGTTCTCAACTCTGCTTGTAGGTTAGAATCAATACTTGGGGATGGTTTTTAAGTTATTTAAGAAACAATATCAACAACCCCCTCCTTTGTTCCTGTGCCCTGACAAAGAACAAGAAACTATGGTAAGTTGACCAGGGCAAGGACTTCTGCCTCTATTACTATACAAGGACTGCACTGGATAGCATGTTCATTCATTCATTCATTCCTCATTATTTACTGAGGACTTAACAAGTGCCAAGCATGGGGAGGAATGATGTGATGATTATGTATGCTCTGGAGTGAGAAGACACTGAGATCTGAAGGATGTGCAGGAATTAGCAGGGTGAAGGCAGGAGCATCATGAGAGAAGGTTGTGGGAAGAGTAATCTGGGCAAATGGTAGAACTCTGTGGTGGGAAGGAGAAGACCTCAGAGGAAGTTTTCAGAAGGAATGTGTGGCTGGGGAGGGTTGTGACTGGCCAGGACTGCTCTTTGAGACCTTTCTGTCTAGTCTCCGGTCTGCACTCACTGGCAGCCTGGGGAAGGACCAACAGAATATTCTACCACCGCTCTCCCCCAGTGCCTCTCTGAACAGTCAACTGCGATAGCTGCTCTGTCTTCACTGAATTCACCTAGGCCTTTCTCTCCGCTGTCCTGTCCATATGAGGTTTCCTCTGTGGTCACTTACTGTGTAGCAGCATCTATTCCTTAACTATTTAAGAAACCTTGGCCAGTTTGAGGCAGGGACGATATAAAAAGTCAAGGGAGGCTCTGGGGATTTGGGTTCTGGTCTTGGCTCTGATACTAAGTAGCTCCGGTGTCACGAGTAAGTCCTTTCTTTTGGGGGACCCCAATTTACTCACCTATAGGATGAGAGAGTAGGCTGAAGGGTCTCTGAGGCTCCTCCGAACTGAAAGCTTACCTTCTAGAGAAGCTCTTCAAGCCAAAAGTCTTTACCTTGAGATACCAGACTTGCTAGTTAATTTAGTTAAATTACACTTTTAAAATAATCATTGCTAGGACATAAGACTAGTTGAGAAATATATATTTTAATGCATATTTTAATTCAGCCAAGCTTGGGATGTCCGATTTCTATAGAATAGCATAAATATGGATGTTATATTCCAGTGGCCCTAATTGTGGTTAACTTTCGTAGATCCAGATGCTGCATATACCACAATTGAATAATAAAATGTCCTCAGACACACAGTACAAATATATGAAATATTTATTTGTGTTAATATGATGAGCCCTGAGATGAGTCATTCAAAATGGTGGTAATCTAATTATATTAAGAAATAATTTACTTACCTAAAATGAAAAAAAAATCCTAAAAATACCTAATGTTGGTATTTCTCAGGTTCTATTATTGGCCATGTCAATTGGAGCAACCATTTGGAAAGTCATTTGGCAACATCTCCCAAAGCTGAATATACATGAAGCCTAGGAGCCAGGAATTCCACTTCCAGGATATGCCCAATAGAAATGAATACATATGTTCACCAAAAGGCGTGTCCTAGAATGTTTATAATTGTGAACAGACCAAAGCTAGAAACTATCCAAGTGTCCATCAACAATGGAGTGGGAAATAAAATGTCTCTTCGTACAATGGAATCTACATAGCAATGAGAACAAAGAACTTACAAAAGTACACAGCAACATGGATGAAATTCACAAGCATAATTCCGAACAAAAAATGCCATGTACCAAAAAGCTTATAGCATATGACTCCATTTATGTACAGTAGAAAAACAGGCAAAACAGCTAGCCTGTTAGAAGTCAGAATGGTGGTTACCCTTTGAGGGGCTGTTCCTAGATGGGGACTCATGGGGTAATGTTCATTCCATGTCTTGAACTGTGCACTGATTACACTGGTGTGTTTAGCTTGTGAAATGTATCCACCTATACACTTATGTGGTTTTCTGTATGTACATTATATTTCAATAACATTTTAAGAAAGTGTTTTGCCACTTATTAGTTCATTTGACCCACACAACAGTTCTAGGAGATAAGAAGGCCAGGTAACTTTTCTTCAGATTTATAGAAAGAAAACAGACTCAAAGTTTGGTCCAAGGTCTCAGTGCTAATTGGTGGTGGAATCAGGTTAGGTATGTCAACCTCCTGGGCCAAGAAAGATAGTCTCTGTTGGAGCACCTTGCACAGTGCTTGATGCATAGTAGGTGCTCAATAAATTTCATCTGAAGCTGGATCATAGAATGGTGGCCTTCTAATCCCACAAGGCTGTTATCCTGCTGTGGGAGTAACCATCTTCTCTGGTGGTCTAATGTCCCTTATAGAATGTGCGTATTCTCTCCTAAGAGAAGAGTGGAGATGAGGCCTGAGTCAAATATCCTAAGAAGCTGCCAAAATACCTGTGGAGAATTGCATAACCTTGTCCCTCTAGGGCTTAGAAAAGAATGAGTCAGACAGTCAGTTCTCAGACACGGTGCCCAGGAAAACAGGAAGAAGGTTCACTTAGGCAGAAATCCATGTATGTGACCTTGGATACATCACTGAACTTCTTCAGGGGCAACAATTTGAAAGACACATTTGAGACACTCTGCCTAGGATGACGTGATCCTTCTGTAGCTGATCTTCTGAGACCCGTGAATTTTATGTACTATTTTCTAATTATATTCTCATTATTTTCAAGGGCATCAGACTGCATTTCAAACTTGACAATTCCTTTGCTATAATTTCAGCTCAAATTTTGACTAATTTATACTTTAAATACAAATATGCCCCATTTTCTGCTTGTCATCATAGTTCAGAAAGAAGTTATACCGACCATGTTATATAAAGTAATGAGGGGTCCTATTCAGCTTGTTAACCATGTTTCTTAAAAAAAAAAAGTACAATAGAACTTTCTTTGTCAATATAAAATTCGAGTTATTTATGATGTGGCTAAAGATATGATAAGAAGTCTCAGGAATGGAATCTGTTATTGCTTGGAAAATAAAATCTCAAGACCTTCTTTGGAAAAAAATGGAGAGTGATAAAATGCTTTCATTTAGGGCTTGGCTGTGATGTCAAGGTCAGCCAATGAGCTTAGAGGGAATCTGAGAAAAATAAAGAGAAAAATAGAAACAGATGTCTGGAAAATCTTCTTGAATATTGCTGGTGAAATTGTATGGTTAGAAGACAAAATTTCAGTGTTACATCCATCATCCTAAAAAGGTTATAATGAAAGCCATTTAAATTGGTGTTCAAAAACCTTGTGAGAACTTTGGTTGACTGTATTCCACCATGAAGTGCGTTTTGATCTGAAGTCTTGGTTAGGGTATTCCTCCAATAGGTCAGCTGCCATGGGCCTCCTATTAAGTCAAAGTCTCTATTTCAAATTAGCATAAGAGAGAACGCTGATGAAAAGGGGAATAAGAATAAAGCTAAATAATTGTTTTGGCTTCTGATTGATCAGCATCTATGTTCTCAGAAGCAAGTTTCTTTTTGCCTCTAGTTGCTGCTGATGGTAGGAAACAGAAAAATACCTGTCTTAAAAAGTTGCCGAAGATGGTCAGTTGAAAGGGTTGAAGAGCCTAACAGAGGAAATAGATCACCAATAATGGAGCTAAAAAGGAATGAAAGTAGACAGCTTAGAGATAGGACCCTTGGAGACACTCAGATGGAAGGGTTGTCAAAAGGCTAAGCATAAAAGACCAGGAAGAGCTATAATTCTAATTAAGGTTCAGGATGGTTTAAAAAGGAAAATAATCAAGATTGGTAAGAAGAGTTTAAACTTATAGTAGTGATAATGATTTGACAGTTTGTTCTAGAATGTCTATCTATTTTACTGATTAGTTTTCAAGAGTGCTGTAATTCATACTAAGAAAAGTAGAGAAAGCTGATTATTTCTAACTCAGTACTACAAAGGTTTGACTTAATTCTGTTAAATTCCTGGCTTACTGCTAATTGTATGACCTTGGATAAATTACTTCACCCCTCCAAGCCTCACTGTCTTCATCTGTAAAATGGAGAAATAGTAGCACCTACTTCATGACATCACTTTGAGGCCTCCATGGTGGATATGAATTGCTTATTCCAGAGCTTAGATTATATTAAAAGAATACTACATGGTTTTTGTTGATGGTGGTAATGATGATGTCCTTGAATATCTTTAAATTGAGGTGCTCATCTCTACCTTGTCTTTCAAAAGATTCGAAGTGTCTTAAGTCCCAAATAATAAATAAAATTTTATTTCTTTTTATTTCTTGTTTATATCTCACCTCCCCTAAAAGCAAGACTAAAACAAAATATTTATAAGGTTATTTCAAAAATAAAAAGGGGCTAGACACAGTGGCTCATGCCTATAATTCTAGTGCTCTGGGAGACTGAGGCAGGAGGACCACTTGAGGCCAGGGGTTTGAGACCAGTCTGGGCAACAGAGCAAGACACCACCTCTACAAAAAAAAAAAATACAATAAAAAAAAAAGAAAAAGAGAGAATTTATAAGAGAAAGATTAAGTCAGAATAAAAGAAAAAATACAAAGATGTGAACTAGAGAGAGAGTCTGTTTCAATCAAAATCTTAGAATGGATGGTTCATTCAAAATAGGGTAATGTAAGAAACATTTATTTTGAAGACTATTTACAAAAGTGGGATTGTAGGAGACCTTTAAGAGATATTACTTCTAGGCCTGAGGAGGGTGGGGTCTGGAACCCTGAAGAGAGAGTCCTGTAGAGCACACTGCCTTGAGAGGACCACAGGTCTCTGTTGAGACGCACAACTAGCCGGAGGTGACCTCACGGGGAAGGACTGGGGAAACACATTCTCTGAATTCACTCTCTTTCCTCTTTCTCATCTCCTGCTGCATCTTCCCATTTGCCCAAAGAGAACTGGAAGCCAAAGGGAGTGCGAGCCATTGATATTATTTACACAGACCCATCTGTCTCCAGGAGCAGAGGAAGAACGGGGAAGGGGAGGCAGTGGATCCAGAGGAGCAAACAGAACATGTCGAGCAGAGGGTACCAGAAAGTTGATAAATCAACGCTGAAATCTCAACCAGAATCCAAAGCACAACGGGGAATAGGATCATATACAAAAATAGCGTCATCAAATAATAAAACACCATGCCATTTCCACTGGAGCTTTTCTAGAGAATTCCACTTTTAAATGACATTCTGTAAAATTGTCCAAGTTGCTAAACATATAAAATTGTTGGATATCAATTTACATCAATTAAATTTGGGATGCATCTAGGAAAAATAATACTTTTGGCTTTAGAAATTGGTCCAATCTATTCTTTCTGAAAATGAATAGATAAAGATTTACAAAGGCAAATTTTACATTGTGACAATAAAATATCTTCTTTTTCATTAAGATTATTTTTAACCTACTATCATGACTGTTAAGTAGATAGCTCATAAAAAGGGTTCAGATCATTAAGGTAGGTTTAAAAGAAAGAGGACCAAAACATGCTGACTTATTCCATCCAGAATTGTTCGCTGATACATTGGGAGAATATCCCCGAGGGTTGAGTTTCATGGGGGTGAAGTGTAAGTATTGGGAATCAACATTCTCAACTGAGCACACACAGCTTGGCCCATCAATGGTTCTTTCTCACAGAGATGGAATCTAAGAGAAGGTGAGAAAAAGCTCCAAGTCAGCTTAAACTGATCTGGACAGATCGTTCCCTCTAGGTGAAAAGTCTGCCAGAGGAATCAGTGGTTGGAAGCAATATTCTCCTGTTTTGATATTTTGAAAGCCAGATCTCCCCAAAGATACAGCAAATAGAGCAGAGATTTGCATAACTCTCTTTGGTAAAATCTCTACTTTGTGTAAATACAATATTGGATGGATGGGGCAAATCCAATACTAGTTGGTTGTTAGTACCACTAAAAAACAACTTATGTTGTTAAACTTTATAAACACTTTCAGAGAATTACATAAACCTCAGAACAACATTGTGAGGCACTTTCCTCTTTCGAGGATGGAAATGTAAAACTCAAGAAGATTGAGAACGTTCTCCAGATCACCAACTGCTAGGATTAGTGTGAGAATGATGACTGGAGGGGGTGATAATCAACAGTCTTCTAAACATCTTTGTTACATGAACAAATGATACAGGTGAGAACACAGTCCTTTGCTTGTTTAGCTCCTGAGAATGCACATGAATTTAGAGGATGAACAGGGTGGGATTCCCATGCAAATCACTTCCATCTCTATGGATGTAGATGAGGATGGGGAGAGGCAGTGCCAGTGGCAGAGCAGCAGCAGGACTTCCTGGTGGCCCAGGCACCCAGTGGCTGTCAAAGCATGCCAACCTGCAGGAGCCAGACAAGCGTGGGTGGTTTGAGGTAAGTCCATGTCTCACGGATTGCCTGGGAGGCTTGGAAGCCTAACCACCCACGATGACAGGCCCTGACAGCCACAAGCAGGCATCACTAATCTGGGTCCCACTGCTCCATGCTCACTGTGTCAAAGGCTGCAGGTCAGTTGACAGCCTGGCAACCCTAAATTTGGAGTGCATCTAGGAAAAATAGTAATATTGTTTTCAGAAGTTGGCCCAATCTATTTTTTCTGAAAATGAACAAATAATAAAATGATCTATAAAGGCAACTCTCACATTGTGACAGTAAAATTCTATTGTCAATTTTATTGCTGTTACTCAGAGTGAGTCCTCTGTGTGAGGCGTCATCAGCAGGAATAACCAGGGTCATTGCTTGCCCTTTTTGGATTTTTTGTGCTAGAATCCTCTTGGGCTATTGTCAGTATGTGTCCTCCTCACCTCAGGGAAGTGAGACCTGAGTAATCACCCTTTTCACAACCCTTCTCAGAATTTTACAGAACAACTGGACTCAGTTAAGAAGCTCACAGCATCAGCATGCCTGGCAAGGAAGACCCTTTATTTCCCTTGTTAACAGGCCTGTGGTGGGCACTCAAACAACCAGATTGTCTCTCGGGAATCTCTTTGCCTTGTGAAACCTAGAAAATGTCTAGGGAATCTCTTTGCCTTGTGAAACCTAGAAAATGTCTTCAATGACAGGTGTTTTTGGAGGGGAGTTAAAGAAATAGCTTCTTCTCAATTAATGCAAAACACTGCCTCTCATTCCACCATGCAGCTCCACACATTGCTTCATGACTTTTCATCAGGCTTATGTAGCCCCAGAAGGGTACACTTTGGCAATAGGACATTGCCCTCTTCATTGTGCTTGGCAAAGCCCACTTGAGAAACGAAAGCTCCACAGAACCCCTCAAATTCATATGCTGGGCCACCCTAACTCTAATGTGAATGAGAATGGCCATAATGTGATAAAAACTTGTAAGTACCCAGCTTATTCCTCCTGAAGACCCTGAACACATTTCACACTGAGAAATATACTCTGGGCTCGATGTAAGCCATGGACAGGAAGCACTGCCATCAGCCAAGAGTAAGATTCCAGGAACTTCACCTGAAACCACTGCCAGATGAAAGCCACCTTGATTCTGTGACCATTGGAGACTTGGTTTCCTTAGTTGAATAAACACAGAATGTGGAGCTGGTAGATTCGGGATTAAAGCCCTCCACTGCCATTTAAGACGAATAGGGTTTTAGGTAGTCTTCTTAATTTCCCGAAGCTTCACTTTCTCATCTACAAAACCTGGAGATACCAATGCCTGTCTTATAGGGTTTCCAAAGCGATTAAATGTGCGCTCACAGAGAGAGGATGGGGACAAATAGCTCCCAAGGCATTCTTAACTGTGGAATCAAGATGGCCTCTTGGATCCTTGTAGCATCTCTCTAGGTGCCCAGTGGCTTTCACCTCCATGACTTCCTTGAGTCTCACACTAATCCCATGAAGGGGTTAAGAGCAGCTCTGGAACACTGTTGTGTAAGAAGAAAAAGGCACAATACTGAGAAGTTTAATGACTTTTTCCTAACATCATAACAGGTGGAACCAGGACTGATTGTTCTGCCCAAAACATTATCCAGGAAACTCTGCCAAATCATATTTTGTAAACAGTCTTACAATATCTGAACAGCAGATATTCAGGTGAGACACAAGGAAGAAGAGCTGTTCTACCCTGAAACTAGCCACAAATGAGAAGTTCTAGAATCTTCTCTGACGCTGAAGGATTTAGAAATGCCAATCATGAAAATGGCATTTCTGTTGAAAAAGTAATGATTCTTTAGCCACACCATTAACCTATTTAAAATGATGCAATCAATTTTGCTGTTAGTCATCTGCTGTGAATTATTGAGAAATAATGGCATTATGAAATATTATGAAGCCATTAAAAACAATGAGGCAGATCTATATGTGCTGAGATCAAAGGGTATCTATCAGATATTGTTTACTGAGAAATGCAGAGCAATATGTATAGTGTAATTGCATTTTTGTAAAAATAATATATACAACTTATATGGCATACCTGCTATAAGAGATCAGTAAGATTATATATCAAACTGTCAACTGGATTTGTCTCTGAGAATGTATTTGGAATGGGGATCAGGTAAAGGAATTTCAATTTTTTAAAACATTTTTTCCATTTAAAATTTTACAGTGAAGTGTATCCATCTTTTTAAACTGCAGAATATCAAAAGTCAGGAAAACAAAAAATCACATATAGTATATATAATAGATATTTATTAAATAAGAACTTAGTGAGTTTCATAATTCTGTTACAAAATATTACTATTATACTTCACATTTAATTTGGCTTTATAATATATATATTTTTAATATGCATTATGTCATTTGGGTTTTATATAACCCTCTTGAGTTGGGCAGACAGCATCTTACAAAATGGGATTTTGAGGCTCTGAGAGGTTACATCATTTTTCCAAGGTTATACATAAGTGATACTTGGACAATCTTCTTGTTACTTGACTTTTATTCTTTTACCTGAGATTTTTTGGGGCCCCTCTATGTGCTAGGCCCACTGTTCTCCCCACTACACCATATGCACTGCAATTTGCAAATAAAGATTTGAAAATACACAAGCACCATATAACTCAAAGCCTGAAAATGATAAATACAAACCTCTAACTAATGGATAACTCTTAGATGCAAATTTTATTTTGGTTACTCTCCCTATGTGCTTTTCTAATATAAGCTATAGCAGGTTTTATTTACTCAACCAAAGTTTCAGCTTGCTTTTCTGAAGAAAAGATTTGCTAGTTTCAACTTTAGCTTTTTTTCCTCTCTACCATTCACTTAAAGAGGCCATTACATGGTTTTTAGTTCATCTCTCACTTTAAAAGATAATCAAATGTCTGCACAGTCCTTTGTTTCTTTCTTCCATAGCAGATCATTTTTCCTTCATTTTTGTACGGGGAAAGGATTAGGCAGAAAAGATGTGCCAATCATCCCAAAAGACTGGAGAAGCTTATAAACTCATCCCCAAAGGGAAATTCTTTTGCCATCATGTCTCAATTAACTTAATTTCTGTGGTCTGACTTTGCAAATAGAAACTTGAGTCCATCGATGTGCTCAAAGTTAAACACCAAACAACTGCAAGCTTTAACTGTAGGGTGTTGGCTGGCTATGCTCACACAGAGGAGAACTGCAAGGAGAACTCTGTCCATAGTTATCCATTAATAAAGGCAATGCAGACAAATATGATTCATGAGGCTCCTGCTACAGAGGGATGGGTGGGCAGGAAATAAAGTCTTCTAAGGCAATGGAGTCAAGGAGGTCTGGGTTCTGGGGATAGCATTTGTTTACACACTTATTCTTTTATCCTATTTATGTAGGTGCTGCCTGTGATACAGGTATAAAAATGATTAACAAGTAGGGTTATTGCCTTCCTGGAACAATATTTTGGTGTGAAGATGGGACAACAAACCGATTTTTAAAAAATTAATTACAGATTGTAATAAATGCTAAGCAGAAAATAAGCATAATGCTATGATGGTTAATATCAATGGTGGGGGAAGGCAGGAACCTATTTAGATAGGGAGGTCAGAAAAACCTGAGAGGCAGCATCATAAACTCCTGTCATACATCATTCTAATCCCTGCTGCAAAGCAGACACAGCCCCTCCCCTCCCCTCTGCCAGATTTTAATACAGCTCTCTTGAAAAGGCTGGGAGTAAAATGCCAAATGGAATAATTCCTCCAATGTCATGTAATCAAGTCTTGCAATGTGTTAGCTAATTTTGTGCTGTAGCATTGTCATAAAATGTTTTCTGTGGCTGAAGAACGCCTATTTTCTTCTTTATTTTTACTCTTCTCCTCCCTTCTCAACTATTGCCATTTTAATTCTGACCTCCCACACAGCAATGAGTTGAGTTTTCTCTGCAGTGACCATTGTGCAGTTGTAAGAATTTGGAGAGCAGCAGGAGCCTGCTGGGGCTGTGACTTTGTCTGGTGGCCTTGTTCTCAGAGAGAGAGAGAGGAAAAAAAATGGGCTTAAGAGGAAGGATATAGATTATGAACAAAGGAAGCCTTCATGGCTGCAAATAAATAATGAGGACACAGGATCAATGGCAGCATAGAGCTCCTTTCCTAAATATTTAAGACAGTGAATTCTCTGGAATTGTTTTGGTACAGTCTTACCTTGAGGCACAGGACAACCCCCAGCAGACTTAGGGTGTCCCTTCATGTCCTAGGACACTATAACACAGAGTCTTTTTAAAAATTTTTCCCTTGACTTATTGTGTTCAAATGCTCTCCATTAGATAAAACCAGCAATGCAATGCCAAAAAAAAAAAGCATATATTTGGAATTCCTTCAGATGATCTGTTCTTGGACATACTGTTTAATTGCATGAGCTTTTCCAGATGTGAAACTCTGGGAAATAACACTCTATGGGAAATAACAAAGAATTTGTGAATTAAGTAAGTTATCCTGCTTTTATGCATTTTTTCCTGTGTGATTATATATTGTAAACAGAATGTTGAGGTTAATCATATGAATTTGTCAGAAAATGCACTCTCAGAATTGTTTTGCTTAATAAAAGTCAAAATTTCTTAAAAAGAAACCAGCTGTTTTACATTTATACCAAGATCAGGGTTAAATATTTAAGATCTTTGTATTGAGTCATTCCAAATGAGGTAACCAGTTCTCTTAAGACTAAATAGCATATCTCAAAGGCTATAATACATAGGAAAGAGTTTAATGTAAATTATACAATTAACATTTACAAAATAATTTCAACTGCTGTCTCTTTTTTTTTTTTTTTAGAGACCTGCCTGGTTTTAGCAAACATTCTGCTTTAGACAAATTACAGTCATTTACTTTCTTAATCTTTTTGGCTTGATGTAATGCTAATACTGTGAAATTCAGATTTGAAATATCTACATCTCCCTGGCCTGATGACAACCCTTATAGTCCATTTAGATGAAAGTAGCATTTGGAGTGCTTTTGGTGTGAATTACCCATACAACCACTCTCAGCTGCTGGTCCCCATGCCACGTAGGAGTCTCTCCTCCTTCACCAAAGGCATTTCCTTCCCTTGGATTGTGTCTGGAAAGCTTACCTAGCCACAGGGGGCAATAGTGTCTCCAGCAATTCCTCAGAGAACACCCAACTTTGGGACAAAGTCTTAGACTTTTATCATTTAGGGAGACAGTGATTTTATTCTACATAATTCTCAAGGCAATGGAATAGATGATCAGCTTGGAGAGTGATGCTTCATGACATCCCTTTTCCTTCACACTGGCTTCTAAGAACTAGCAGAAAGCTGGAGAAAACATTTTGCCTACGAAGGTTTGACCAGGGGCACTATTTAGCCAGGGCTGTGATCACAGTTCTGAAAATTTATATTTACTGGGCATAGGGAGCCGAGTCCTGGAAAAGATCAGAGATTAGGAAGTAAGATGATGGCATCAGTGTAGAGACTCAAGGCGTCAAACATCCTCAGAGTCTTTTACAGGTTCTCTAGTGTGTTTGCCTGGAGACCTTTATCTGGATATTCTTCTCCTGTCTGTTGAAATAAGGGATAGAAAAGGGGAAGCAATGCCCTTGGTAAAATAAATGCTAGTTTGATGTGTAGATAAGATGTCTGCAGTCTGGAGAGCTTGAGATTGAGGTGGAAGAACCATATTTGAGCTACCACATGGAAAAAACATACCCATGTGCCTGTATTCATATATTTTCATAAAGTCTCCTGGTTTCCTACCCCAGGGAAGAAAGATAAGCATGTTGGCATATGGATTAGTTTGGGAAGAATACAAATGTTTATGAGCCATGTTTTTACATTAAGTAAAAGTTTACTTAATCCTGTGAAAAATAAATATTCTTATAATTTAGATTATTAACTCAATGGATGGGAGAACTTGAATGAGAATTTAGACACTGCTTCTTACTTACTAAAATATTAACAGTTGGGCAGCTTTGAAAAGAAGTAGAATAGAGGCAGCTTTCTCATTTTTTTTTCCTTTGTGGCTGGAAGAGGTGCAGGCAGCCGAAGCTCATTACTGTAGTGGCTTCTTTTCTTGCTCTTTTGGTTGATTCCTGGCCTCTCCTACTAGGGAGAACTTGCAATCAAACTATATACTTTGCCTCTCAGGGGCTCAGTTTCTTCCTCCAAAAAATTATTGAAAATCCCTTCCATCTGTAACATCTAGTGCTTTTATGGCTTAAAAGAAAAACATCACTGTCATAATTGCCATCATTAGGATAAGCTGCCTCAATCGACATTTATTTAGTGCTTCTTTGGACCCAAATAGGGCCCACCTGACAAGCTTGGCCAGGAGGGGATTAACTGAGGGGAAGCCAGAGAGGAGAGACTGCCAAAGACCTGACATGCCTGAAGTCAGAAGATGGACTCTGATGGCAAAGCAACCTGACCTCGGCAAGGCTTGTCAGGCTGCCTGGAAGGCAAGCCCACTCCCATCCTCCTGTGCCTACCCAACCCACAACTTGTCTTGATTTTGGTATTGAGATAATTAAGGAAAAAAATTAGATACGTAGCTATACATAAAGACTTTGATCTACCTATTTACCAATGAGGTAATGGTCATTGTTTTTTATATCATGAGAAGGCCTACAATGACCAGCGAAATGTATAAATGAGGTGGGGGGAAGTAAAAATCTTTTAATTTTGGAAATGAAGAGAGACAGCTCTGAAAGAGAAAGAGACAATGGTTAGCATTCCTAGTTTCTCCGCTGATGCCCGTTAGACCTGCTTCCTGACTTCTGCCAGGACTTGGCTCCTGCCACCAGGCAAATGTGTTCCAGGAGGCATCTAGCATCTTGCAGACACATCCATGTATCTGAAACCTGTGGCAAATGAGGAAGTGAAGGAGATGCAATGAAAGAGGTCAATAAGGCCCTGATTATGGGATCTATGCCAGGCTAGCCAGCAGGCCCCCTCCCCTTTATTTGTAGGTTTGGGGCTTTATGATCAGATGTGTCTTAGGAAGATCACACTGACTCTGATGGTGCTGGTTTGACTGAATCATTTGACTTTCTAGGACATACCTAGCACAGTAAACAGAGCGTTGCAGCTACACTGAGAAATAGGTGAAAGAAAGTGCTCAAGAATCTAACGTTAATTCCTCATGGCAGCACATCTACAAGCTCAAACATAAAGACAAGTACGATGACTCTGAAAACATAAGAATGAGTAGCAAGTGCCACTCTCTACACCAAGGCTGCATACTTATGCTTTACCATTGATTATCTACTGATATGGGACCAATGCATGGTTTTTATGCCCTTAACCATTGAAATAGAAAAATACTCTTTCTTTCCCTGCTTCGTGACCAAGGATGAATCAGATCACCTTGTTACACTCATTCAATGGGCATAACTCAGAGAAACCCTCCCAGTGTGGGAAACTGAGAGTCAAGTCCTTGTTCTGACACGAATTGGAGAAACCACAAAAATTGGCATGGCTTGTGCCTGCCCAGTTGGCATAACTGCTCTCAAATGGCCTTTGACACGCTCTGCTCCTGCCTCTGCTTGTTGGTGAGTTAAAAAATGCTCTGGATGAGTCAGCTGACTTTCTACTATAGCTTTCAGCATGGGCCGGGCAATTCTCTTGAAAAGCCTAAATCTGACTTCTATACATGTCAGTTTGAAAGGGCATAGGTGTATACTTCCCTGCTCTGGAAGGATAAACACATGTTACGAAGTGAATCACTAGAGAAAATACCATGTTGACAATAGTGTTGTTGCTGGAATTATTACTTCTCCAATTGATGTGGGAATACCTGTATTCCCCCATTACTCTCCTGTTCAGCTCTGGTCTTCTGAAAAGCTGGTTATCAAAATGACACTTGGCACAGCTTTCCAAAATTGCTCACTCATTGTGATTAACTGCCATTGATTGCTGAGAGAGTCACTAAATGGATCATTTGATGACAACAACCATAGATGTGGGGTAAATGACTTCTTTCTTGTCTAGCAATAGGCAGCCTTTGCAATGGCCCAAAGTGATGAGTAACAAAAATGCTTTTTTTAAAAAAAAAAAAATTGACGTCATCATTTTCTTTAGTGACAGCACATTGCTCTTAAAGTAACAAAAATATGTGAAGGTAAACTTTTTTGAACATAGTCAAATTATAAATTGGGTTAGACTGTGGACTGAGCCCCATTATTTCATTTTAATCTAGGGATTAATTCCTATTTCAATGGTACTCAAAGTGTCATCCACAGATCCCTGGATGTACCAATATCTTTCTAAGTGGTTCATGAGGTCCAAGCTCCTTTCATAATAATACTCACATATTACTTGCGCTTTTGATCCATTGATATCTCCACCAACTGCACCAAAGCAATGGTGGGTAAGACTGCTGGTGCCTGAGCGGAAATCAAGGCAGTGGCACAAACCATACTAGCAGTCATTGTCGTCTTCACTGCCACATGCTTGCAGTAAAATATCAGATGGCTTTTACTTAAAGATGACCTGATGAAGCAGGAAAAAAAATGATAAATTTTGTTAAATTTTGACCTTTGAGAACGCCTGTTTTACTATTCTGTGTGACAAAATGGGAAGTGACACATAAACATACACTTGTGCTGTAGGTTCAAGTATCACGGTTGTCTAAAAAAAAGTGTGTACTTATTTGAGTTCCAAGTCAAACTAGATATTTTTTCCATGGAACACCATTTTCATTAAAAGAATGACAAATGATAGCTATTCTGACTTGGGTCTTTCAAGGATATTTTCTTAAAATTAACAAAGTCAGCCTGTCACTTCAACAGAATGGAATTTGTTGCCAATGACAGAATTTAAACTTTCAAGTAAAATTATGTTTTAGAACTTACATCTGTCACCAATAGCTTGACAGCTTTGCAGTATTTAAATTTGTTCTGGTAAGGTTAGTGGCAATAATAATGACTGTGGTTTTTTGATATGGTATAATGAAATTTGTCAAAATGTTGGCGACATGCAAAAAAGAGTGAACAAGCGTTTTCCAAATGATCAATTTATGGTGTTACACAATCCTGTAGGGGTAAAATCTCTGTTCAAAGTGTAAAACAGACCAATGAGTTTTAGTGTAACGGAGTGTGAAAGCTTCACTGACATGGTTTCATATTCCATATTGCAACTAATACTCAAGAACTACTGCTTGTCAGATTGCAGTGTCATGATTATCTGAGAAAGGCATTAAAACCTTCCTCCCTTTTCCAACCAAAAAAGCAGATCATAACAGATTAAATACAGAAACTGATATGAGAATCTAGTTATCTTCTAATTAGATTTTTTTGTTTTAGAAAATATAACTATCTTCACAAAATATATTAGCTCTGTTGACATATAATGGGTTTATTATTTTTAAATAAATAATATTTTTAAAATTTAAGCCTTAGTTTTTGGTATGATAAAAAGCCACAGACATAACCCACATACACAAAAGTTCTTTGAAGTCCTCAGTAATCTTTTAGCATGTACAGGGCCCTGAGACCAAAACATTTGAGAAGAGCCGTTTTATTTTAAGAACTATGTCGTACCAAATCTTACGACAGCTATTATCATCAACCTAATAGGAAACACTTGTATTGAACTGAAATTAGAGGCATTCTATTGATTGATCATGTTATATGCAACTAATTTTTTTCAGCTGGTCACTTGACATCTGTTCACTAGAATATAAATAGCAATTATTTGGGGGACAATTATTGGAGGCAGGGAATAAAAAATCTGATAGTTAAGATTGCACTTATTAGAAACAGGTATTTCAACATTATTTTAGGCATTTTGAAATGTAAACCTCCTTTAATTCTATAATCAATGACCAAAACTTTGCTGTGGAAGTAGATATATTTGTTAACTTGGTATTTAAAATTTTAAATAACAAACATACGTCTTTGCCTCAACTCTCATTCTGCATTTCTGATTATGACTTTCCTCTGCTCAGGCATACAGATTATCTCCATAAACACAAAGAAAAGTGCATCTCAACACCTTATCACACATTCAAAGTCCTGTGCAATTAGTCCCAACCCTCACTAGCCTTATATGCTGCTTTCCTTCTCCCTCTCATCCATCTCCACTCACTCTGTACAACAGCCATGCTAAACTTTCTCCAAATACACCCTTTCCTTGCATATCTGGGGACTTTTGAATCCCCTATTTCTATTCTTGAAATGCTTTTACTCCTCTTCTCCATGCAACAAACTCAATCAGGCCTCAAAATCAATGATAAATTTAACCTCCAATAAGAAGCTATATTTTCATTCATTAATTCCCTCAACAAATGGGATTTGCTAGGCAATGGTTAGACATGGTCCTTGCTTTCATGTGTTATATAAATAATAAACGATAAGTGGCACAATTGTGATGAATGTTTGTGTAGAAAAGTTTCAGGATGCTTTGAGAATCTGGAATAAGAAGATTTTCCAGGGTCAGGGAAGGCTCACCTGAAGAAGTAACACTTGATCTGACCACCAACTAACAATAGGGATAAACAGGAAAAGAGGGGAGGAAAGTGCCCTAGGTGGGACAAGGCTTTGTAGCAAGAGGGAGCATGTGTAGAATAGGGGCAGTAGGAAGAGCACTGTGTCTGGTGTGCAGTGAGTGAGAGCACAGGACATTTGAATTTAGAGTAGAAACCAAAGCAGGCAAGACCATGTGAGCATGTTAATGAGTTTGTCTTTAACCTGAGACTTACGAAACCATTAAACTGAAAGGTTAATGGATTCTCAGATTTGCATTTTGAAAAGATAACTGTGGTTGTTGTAGGAGAACAGAGTAGAGAGAGGTCAGATACAAGGCAGGGAGATCTGTGATGAGGTTATTGTAATAGTCTAACTGCACAGAAGTGGTTGTTTGGATTAGGAAGTAGAAGGAAAGAGGTGGATTTAAGTGACTTCAGGCAGTGAAATTGAAAGGATGGTGCGTGATGGATTGGCTATGTGGCGTAAGGGAGAGACAGGTGTCAGGGATGATACCTGGGATTCTAGCTTGTGCAACTGAATGCATGAAGTGTCATCCATTGAGCCAGGCAGGCCCTAGAAGAAAGGCTTAGGAGAGAGCTCCTGACTTCCCCAAGAAGTAGTGACCACTGTGGCCCTAGTGTCATACCATTATTACGCACTTTTCTTTGTGTATGGACATTTGCCAATGTTGAATTTGGGGTTGTTGGTATTGTCTGCCCTGCAATGGAAGAATCCCCTATTATGTGAGCCTTTATAGGAGACAGAACACAACTTCCCAGTACAGAAAACAGAATGGATGAGATGCAATTTCTGTTCAACCCTGACATAAAGGTCTCAGACAGGTGAACTGGGGTTTGGCAATTATTTGCTTCCATATTAGATTTCGAATTTGGAGCAAGTAGAGAAAAACTGAATTGATAATTGATTTCACTATAGCAGTGTTCAGTAGTGACCATAGAGGTGACTGACTAGCTGAGATGGCAGTGGTGTCTACCATAGGCCGTGGCAGTGGTGCCAGGGACAGCATTCTAATCAGGCTGTTTCTGCAGCGTAAACTTTGCTATTAATCCTGCTGCTTATCCTCCCTTAATGCCTACCCATTTTCTGAATCTGCTTCCATGACCTTCTGATTGAGGATAAATTGATGATGATGATGATCATGATGATGATGATGGTGGTGGTGGTGGTAGTGGTGATGGTGATGATGGTTAACAGAATGCTTCATATGAGTCAGGCCCTGCTCCAGTTAGTTCACATATATTCAATGCATTAATCCTTCTGCCCTCATCTGACGAATGAAAATCTGAAGCCCAGAGTGGTTGAATAATTGGTTTATAGGTCCTACAGCGAGTAACAGATAAAGACAGAATGGAGACCTCAAAGCCTGGCTCCAGAACCAGCCTTCTGATTAAGAATGGATTCTGTGGCTTGTAACCAAGAACCCTGGCTGGTACATTTGGTTCTGTGGTCTGTTTTCCCCTGGGAGCCCAGAATATGTTAGGGGTAAATATTGGGTATCATTTTGCCTCACACAATACACTTGTAGTTGACATTCCGAGTACTCAGGGTAGCAGCGGGAATGGTTCTCCCATGATTCATCTCCCCTCCTTCCCTGCAGGCACACATAGCCCTGCTACTTGCCTCTGCTCAACTGCTGCACGGGGTGGGATCGCGGCACCGCACTCTGGTAAACGCTTTCTCCGCTCCATGGTACTGTTAACCCAGGGTTGCAGGTGCCAAAGCAGGAATGAAAGCTCCCATTGTACAACACCCATGCAAGGGATCCATGTAGAGGTTTCTGTGGGGACAAGGGAATGCTGAAAGCCAGCTGACAACACAACAAGACAGAGTGAAACTGTGTAGTTTCGATTCCCCGGGAGTGGGGGAGTCCGTTTGTTCAGAGCAGCTGCAGCAGCTCAGAAACATGTAGTGTCCACATTCCATGTGCAGAACTCTCTGTGCACAGAGCCAGTAAAGCAGCAGCCCCTAAAGGTGATGCTGCCCTTCCCTGGGGACTTCCTGTTGCCCTTGAAGCCTTTCAGTGCTGAGTTTGAAAAAGGTCAACAAGGCTGAATTTGGGATGAGGGCCCTGACCGAGAAGCTCCTCAGAGGACAAAGGGACCGGGAGTCAGGGGTCTGGGGTTACTCTGTGGCTTCCAGGCTACTGATGTGGGACATCACATGGCACAGTCTCTCTGGAGCTTCCTTACCAGAGAGTCGGTGTGTAACTGCAAAGTTTCCCTGACATTCTTGGATAACTTGTGACCTAAAAGCCATTCAAACGGGGTTGGAAAGACAGATTGTTCCTGCCCTAACATCTTTGAGGATTGCAAGGTTCTCTAACTTGAGCCCAGAGACAAAAAGCAGTTCGGAACCGTCCTTGAAACTTTACTTCCTTTCCTAAGACTAAGACAGGATTTGAGAGAGCACAAATGCATCAGGGAATGCAGGCTTCCATTCCCATTCACCACCACCCTCACTCCTGTTCTTGAAGGAGGTGGCAGTCCTTACCATTCTAATGTATGTGGTGCTCTCTGCTGGCAGCTAAAATCTTTTTGTTCCCTGAAACAGGATGCCTCTGTAATCCTGAGTCACCAAACCACAGGGAGCAGCTGAGAGAGGATTTGGCTAACAGCCAGTGTCTGGGCCCTCCCACTCCCTAGAAGACCTCCTTCACCTGTTGTATGATCAACTACCCTTCCTATCAAAATGCAATTGCAATTAAAACCCCTACTTCTCCTCTTCCCTCTCTCAGTAGCTCTCTACTTGGGGTTGTCATACCCTCCCGACTGGGCCAAAGCTGCAGCTCTTCTTCTACGGGCAGGGCGCCTATCAGGAAAATGGGTCTTATGTTTCTCTCTTTTGTTTTGTTTTCATTTTGTTTTGTTTCTCCAAATGGTAGAGCCAAGGGCAACAGTGCCATGAGGCAGGGGTAGGGTCAAGGAATGCTTTGATGGAAAGGGGAGGGGGGCAGGTATAATGCCTCTCCTTCACAGCTTGCATCAGCAAACACCCCCACTTCATATATGTGTTAAAGCCAGGTGAAAACAGTATGTTTTCTATGAAAATGCAACTCTAAGACAGATCCCCCGGCCCCACTTTCTTGTCAGATCATTGCTAGTACCCAACTTCCTGATACAGAAATTCTTGGTGCTGCCACAGCCACATGGATCAGAGACCAAAACCAGCTTCAAAAGGTCACAATCTATACCATCACTCATTTTTCATGACTGATTTTGTTAATTCCTACCTATCGCAGGTTGCCCTCAGAATGGCTATTCTCCGTCAATGTCCATCACAATAATAAGAAATAATAAAAAAAGTAGCAGGAAACCATAGTTATCCTTCTTCAAGCCAAGAAGACACACATCAGAAATGCTGATAGTGGGTTATCAGAAGAAAATATATTTGCGGACTTATTTTTTAATTAAAATGTGAGAAAAGCAAGGTGCATAATTGTATTTGTAAAAAAAATGGCTGGGGGAGAGGTAAAGGAGTATGTGTAGGTGTGTGTGTGTATATATGTATATATCTTACATATGAGTAAACTATCTGGAAGGACTCACAAAATTAATAATGGCTAATATTTATTGGCACTTATTTTGTGACAGGTACCATTCTAAGCATTTTACAAATATTAATTCACTTAATTCTCATAAAAACTCCATGTGGGAGGTATTTTATTATCCCCATTTTTCAGGCCGGAGAACCAAGGCACAGAAAAATTAGGTATTCTGCCTGAAGTTACATGTCTGGGGAGCGCAGAGCCAGAATTAGACTTGAACAAGCTGTTGGCTGCCTCTAGGAAGGAGAACTGGTTGGCTCAAGAACAGGAGTGAGGAGAGAGACTTTTCCTTTTATATCTCTTTGTACCTTTTGAATTTTGAACCACAAATTTGTAATATATAGTCAGTGCATACATGAATATATATTTAAATTAATAAAATAACTTAGAAATATAAAATTAAAAATTAATATTAAAAAGCAAGGAAAACATACATGTTTTTTCTCTACCAAGTATGCTATCTAGAGAGTCGGTAGTAGTGCAGTGGTTAATGACTCAGAGGCAGACTGCTTGAGTTCAAATCCTGCCTCTGCCAATAAACTTGGACAAATTTATATTCTCTCTGTGCCTGTGTGGGTTATTTTAAGGATTAAATAAGTTAATAGGTGTAAAGTGCTTAAAAGAGTATTTGGCACATACTAGTGGCTAGATATATATTTGCTTTCATCATCTAAATTTAAAAACCAAAACTCATTCAACAGTCAATAAATATTGAGTGTTTATTGTATGCCAGACATCGTTTTAGGCTCTAGATATAAAGCAGTGAATAAAACCGAAAAAAAATTAAAGATCCTTGCCTTTATGGAGCTATTAAGTCCTCAGAGACTGAGAGAGAACATTACTTGGGGCAAGAAAATAAAACAGGCATCATAAGGTAGGAGAATAAGTGATTGAAAAAGAACATAAGATGTATAGTATCCATTCACATCAGCAAAGTCTCATGGCATGTCACATCTTCGGCAAAAAATGGGATTCATAGATTACATAGTATAGAATCCTTCATTATTCTCAGAATTTATATAAACCCCTCAACCTAGATAAAAGTAACAATAATTTCTCATATTATTTATTTACAAGTCCTTTCTACTTCGAAAGGGGATTTACAATGGAGCATAACCAGAAAATTCGTCTTGAAAAGAAAAAGATAACTCATATATGTGTACTTTGGAACTAGAAGAGACTCTAGAAAAATTGTAGTCGTAACTTAAATAGCCTTGTGGAAAGTAAATCTTTTCAGACTGGTTTCATTTCTGTGTGACTCGATGGTCAAGAAAGCATTGTGATGTTAATGTATCTCAGAATCATGTCGGGGGAATGTGTTAAGAGAAACAGCCTGGCTGATCTAACAGAGACACACATTCATTCATTTCACAGCCAATATTCCATTGGGCATGGTTTCTAAGTTTTGGAAAATAAGAATAAACTTTAAAGAGAGGTTGGAAAAATCAAGAACTAAAGTTAGGGCCTGTGGACAATGATATCCTGTGGTGGAGCGATCGAAAGCCTGGGCATGGCATGGCTTCTTGCTCCCTGCAAGGGTACACTTTTCACCTAATCCCAAAAGTCTTTCCTAGGCTTGTTTCTCTCTCAAATAATTAGCTTCTCCAAACACCCAGCAAGGACCATTGTAACTACTCGGTGCTTTCTCTGCTCTTATTTGCATCCACGTGGTATCCTCTCTGAGAAGTACTCTGGCTGAGCTCATCTGCATGGCAAGACAAAGTAGAACATAATGAGGCTATACATGATAGGTGCATACTAATTTCTGATGTTACTTTAAGAATATTTCAAAATAGCATTTTGCTTCCATTTTTGTTACGGGAAAATTCATTTTTGTTGTTGTTACGAGTGAATCCAATTTTTCTACATTAATAGGTAAGATACTCTCTGTCCTTATAAGTTCCACAAGGGCGAGAATGTTTGACTATTTTCTTCATTGTTATGTCCCCAGCACTTAGAGCAGTGCCTAAATGGACACACCAGATGTTCAATAAATACTTTTTCCTAAATGAAGAAAATAGACATAGAACCCACAAAGTAAATGATGCTAAATTCTAAAAAGAGTTGAGGAACTGAGACCCAAAGAGTTTATTGGATATACCTCAGGCCACAAACTAGAATGCATCCCAGGTCTGTGTGACTCTGAATTCTACCCTCTCTTTGTAATGCCAAACAAAATTATACTAATACCCTCCAGCTTCACCTTAGATCTAGAGGAACAGAAAGCCTACATGGGCTGTGGTGCTGTACTTAGGTTTAGTTTGTTTGTGCTGTCTTTTCACAGAATTGAGAGATTTTTAAAAATAGAGATCCCTATATTCCACAATGCATACGTCTAGCTCTCCTCTTTTCCCATGCATGCCACTCACCTCCATGCAGATAAAATACAGGTGCCATGGAAGATGAACAGCATCTGCTCACCAAAGCAACACAACAGGTGTTTCTAGGAGTCCCTGGACTATATCAATACTGCTAACTAAACACATAGGAAAAGAAACAATGAAAACTCTGTGAAAGCAAGGGTTTCTGTCTGTTTTGATCACTGAAAAATACCAATCACATACTATATCATCTAAAAAAATAGAGCTGAAATACTAAGGAAAATTTAAAACCAAGAAAATTATACACCTTGGTTTTAACTCACTGCCATAGCTGAAATAGCCAGTTTGAATATTCATTGATTTCATTTTCCATACTTTGAAATGATTTGCCATGTATTGGTGGACATCAGAGAAAGGGTAATGAAAACAAGTCATGGAAAGGTATAAGATATCCCTTTATGCTGTTCTGATAAGTAATTTTGAAGCATCCACACATTTTGTTATGTTCTATTTTGATATATTAAATATTATAACATGACCAGTAGGAATTTTGCTTGATTTATAACTAATATTTTCTTAAGTGCTTTTAGTTTTGTTGCTTCTGTATCCAAAGTTTGTTTCAATCCTGCTGCATGAGTTTTATTCCTGAGGGCCACTTTCTGAAAGCAGAATATCTAATTCGGGAACTCAATCCCATGGAGGTTAACTGTCCTACAAACTCAGGACACTAAGGGGAACCTCAAACGGAAAGTGCTTATGCCAGAGGTGGGAATTCATGAGATATAGCAAACATTTATAAATACTTAAATAGAAATCACTGCCATGTCCAGCCTTAAGCCTCTGCTTAATCAAAATTCTATCACATAGCAGTGGGTTGCTTTTTCTAGCTGTGATAACCAGAACAATTTTCCCATGCTACCAAGTTAAAGAGAAGAGAGCTTAAAAATACATATATAGGTCAGGTAATGTAACCAAGAGGTAGCCCCTGGTAGGGGAAAGGAAGTGTTGTGGACTTCGGTCTGATCTGGAATCCATGTGATTCCAACAAAGGCTTTTACCTCTTTCCTGGAAATAAGTGTGATTGTTGGAAAAGAGGAAGAACAGACTGAGCCCCATCAGCAGAACAACAGAGCTCTCACTCCTTGCTTAGTTTCTTCAAGGATCAAGACCAGTTTTACCATGTGATAAATGAATGCAGACCTTCCTACTGAGGTAATAAAGAGGTCATTACTTCATAAAGTATGATGATTTACAAAGTGTGGTAATGTCCTAACAAAACCTAAGCAATGTTTCACTCTGATTAGAGTGCTTTGAATGTGAATAAAGGACATGTGAAGACTGATACATGATTTAATCAGTTACAAAGACCACAATTCGTATGTTAAATTCATGTCTTTTAATTTGATGTCTACAATTATTTGTTCATAAGACCACAGGTGATTTACCGAAAAGAGCTATGCTTGTTGAAAACTACTTTGCTTAGAAATATGCCCTGTGCTCCCATTTCAAATATTGCATCAGTGGAAAAGAAAGAAAACATTTCATTGAAAATTCCCTTGTGTTTTCTGCTCCACTGATACCATGATTTATTTTCTTCACGAAGAACAAGGAGTCACCAAAATTTCAAAAATATTTTCCATGATACCAGGGCTAATTTTTCCAAGGCTTTTATCTTGAATAAGCCAAGCAACTTCCAAATGCATTTTTATGTCATTTGGGAGTATTTTTCTCTGTTTTTCATTACTACATCTTTTCAGTTTTTGCCAACCCGATTGTGAAATGATAAAAGAAAAATCTAGCTACTGCGAAATCAATTAATGACTGCCACTATTAGTCAAGCAGGTAGGATTTGGATTAGTTTAGGTTATAGAATGCCTTCTCGTATTGTGTTAATCATGTGTAAACAAGGCACTCGTATTTAGAACAAACATTCAAGTCTATTTGTTATAAACTTTTGAGAATTCTAACTCTATCTGATTCTTCTTCCCCCATTCTCCTCCCACTGTCTGGAGGTGACTGATAATATTGTCTACAAACCGTTTTCAAGATCTTTAAATAATAAAATTGTAATATACTGCTTTTCTGTTTGAGCAGAAATGCTTCTGTGATTAACGATGTTTTGGTAGTAGGGAAAAATAACAGCCCTGTAACTAGTTCTGTCTTATGTAATCTATCTGAGGTTATATAGTCAGAGAGTTTTAGATAATACACAATATTTAAATGATATCTTCTCCCTAATTTGTACTGATCAAGAGGAAAGTTGTATCCAATTCCATGTTTGCTTGAAGAATGCACCTATGTAGAGGTACAGAGCAATTTTTCATATGTCTAACTTCCTGCTTGGGGTCAATGGTAGATTTATTTTTAGCTCAAATGACTTGGAAGTTATATGTAAAAAAAGTGTTATCATTTCATATACACATCAGCTCATTGATACCTGTGCACATATGAGTTAGGAACAATTTGTATTTTGACTTGATTTGCTTTGCCTTTCTATATGCTAAATAAATGAAAGAAGAAAGAGATAAACTGTGGCCCTAAGTGTATGTAAACTTCAACTCATTCCAAATTAGAAAAATTTTATTCAGTTATTTTCTCAAAAGTCTTATGACAAAGCAAATGGCCCTAGACAGTTCTGCTGATGATGGGAAGACAGCAAAGAGAAGAAAACAGATATGAAAGAATTTTTCACATCACTCAGGAAAGGTTATCTTTCCTATTCCTCAACTCTCTCAATATCCTTCTAGTAGTGGCACCCAAAATAACAAGATGATAAGCCAGGCCCAGCAATGAGCCCAGGGAGTTCTTAGGAATTAAGACCTCTTGGGCAATGGACTCCAATAGGAAGAGTCAGAGACAGTCCCATTGGACTGAAGGCTGCCTCTTCCTATCAGCTCTGAATGCTACTCACATCATGGTCACTACCACCCTCCTTTGAGAAAATATTTTGTTAATTTTCAAATTGTTTTGCTGACTACTAAAGGAATACCCCAAAAGGTTAAAAAGGATGTGAATGGATAATTAAGTAATTAACAAGAAAAGAAATCCAAGTGGCTACAGAATTTTTGAAAAGCCACTGAAGTCTAGTTTTAAACTGACAAGAACAGATCCTAGCCCAAAGGCTGAGAAGCAATTAGGATCTGGGTTTAAAATGGCCAGATAACATTAGACATTTTTCTCATCTCCCAGAAATCACCCAAATGCAACAGAGGTACAAGACCCAGACACACAAACTCCAGTTTTGATTAAACTAACAGACTTTTGAAACTCAGAACCACAAAATAGAAGGAAAGGCTGCCCAAAGTTATAATAGGCAACAGGGAAGTGGGAAAGATATGGAACATGCGTGTAGCTGCAGATCTCAGAGAAAGCAGAGCCCAATTCTCCTTCCAGTGGCACAGCCTGAGGAGAACAACTTGCTTGACACAGTGGGAAAGCAGTGTATGAGTTGGTTCACTGTGCCTCCCTGGATTATTATTTTTTTTGGTAGGCAATCTAAAAAATATGACAGTGTGACAAAACAGGGATTTATAAAGAAAAGCCATTTTGGAGGAAGCAGTTTGTGAGACCGTAAGAGAAGGAGAATGTACTGCATTATGAGTAATTCTGCAGGGCAGTTCTCAGTTCACTGAGAGAACTAATGGCTAAAAATATTCACTCATACACACATCACATGTCATTAAAAAATTTTTTTTGTATGCAATAGAGCCACAGCCACATGCCTATATAAATCTGAATTAAATAGCCCACTAAGAATTTACCTCATTTGTATGTGAGTAATCATCAAAAGGAAACTATCACATGACATCAGAATTTCTCAGAAGTGGGAATGGGGTGAGAAAGAAATAAGAAAAAACAGACACTTCACCAAAGAAGATATGTAGATAGAAAATAGCATATAAAAAGATGCTCAACACCATGTGCTATTAGGTAATTGCAGCATGAAAAAACAATGAAGGATTATCGTACACAGAATGGCCAAAATTCAAAACGCTTACAACACCAACTGCTGGTGAAGATGTGGAGGACTGGAAACCTCATTCACTGCTAGTAGACATGCAAAATGCCACAGACACTGTGGAAGACAGTTGGACAGTTTACTACAAAACTAAACAATGTTACCATATGATCCAGGAATTGCAATTATTGATATTTACCTAAACGAGTTGAAAGTTTATGTTCATAAGAAAATTTGTTCGCAGGAGTTCATAGCAGTTTTATTCATTATTGCTAAAACTTGAAAGCAACCAAGATATTCTTCAGTAGGTGAATGGATAAATAAACTGTTGTATATCCAGGCAATGAAATACTATTCAGCACTAAAAAGACGTAAGGAGTGACATCAGTAAGATGGTGGGCTATGAAGCTACAGGCTCTCTCTTCCCCACAGAGAAACTGAGTTAACAAAAATATATGAACCAGAATACCGCTGTGAGAACTACAGAGACCGGTTAAGATGCTACAACACCCAGCCATTGTAAAAGCAAGACAGGATTCCAGTGAAAAAAACAGAAAAATCTTCAGCATTTGTGCCCCTTCCCCTATGCAGCATAGTAGAGAGCTACTAGGAGAAAACTTTCCATATCAGGATCCCTCCCTCAGGACACATGTAAAAGGTGGATCATACATCCAACTTTCTGGCTCATCTGGGGGCTGCTTGAGGGACTAGTTTCTGTCTTGCCTAATCCAGAGCATTGATGATGGGATCAGTGCCAGGGTTTGAAAGCAGATGAAAAGAGATGAGCCCATATTAAAGCTGCAGTTCCACAGTTATCAGAAGGAGCAAAAGGTCAGAAAAGGTTTGAGAAGTCCTGGAACCTCCAGCAGGGCCAAATGGGTGAAGGTCTTCCCCTTTACAAAGCCAGCATACAAAAAATATCAGTGGTGGTTGTTTTTCCAAATGCCTAAATCCCAGCAAAAGAAATAATAAGGTATAATGGACAGATGTTTGTGTTTCCTCCAAAAGTTGTATGTTAAAATTGAATCCTCAATGTGATGGTATTTAGAGATGGGGTCATTGAGGGGTAACTAGGTCATAAAGGTGAAGCCATCATGAGTAGGATACCCTTATAAGAAGAAGCCAGAGAACTAATTCGCCTTCTGCTGGTCATCTGAGGTTATATGGCTGTCTGCAACTTAGAAGAAGGACCTTGCCAGAGTCTGATCATGCTGTCACCATGATATTGAACTTCCAGCCTCCAGAACTGTGAGAAATATGTTTATGTTCTTGATAAGTAACCCAGTTTATGATATTTTGTTATAGCAGCCTGAAATAAAACACAAGGCATATAAAGAAGCAAAAAACACATGGCCCACTCAATGGAACAAAATAAAATTCAAGAAACCAACCTCAAAAAACGTATAAATCTATCACCTGCCTGATAAAGAATTTAAAATAACTATCATAAAAAATACTCAGTGGGCTAAAAGAGAACACAGTCAGAAAACTAAGCAAAGTCGGGAAAACAATGCCTGAACAAAATAAGAGCATCAACAGAGACAGAAATTATAAAGAACCAAATAGAAATTCTGTAACCGGAAAATACAATAACTAAACTAGAAATTTTACTGGAATGGCTCAACAGCAGACTTGATAAGGCAGATGAAAAAATCAGCAAACATGAAAAGAGGTCATTTGAAATCATTGAGTCAGAGGAGCAAACAGAAAAAAGAATGGAGAAAAGTGAAGATCGCTTAAGCGACTGTTGAGACACTATTAAGGGTATCAACATACACATTATGGGAAACTCTGAAGGAGTAGAGAGAAAGAGGAAGAGAGCCTATTTAAACAAATAATGTTTGAAAACTTTCCATATCTGAGGAAAGAAATGGACATACAGACTCATGAAGCTTAAAAACTACAGCTAGGATAAATCCAAAGAGAACCACACTGAGAAACATTATAAGCAAACTATGCAAAGTCAAAGACAAAGAGAAAATCTTGTTTTTGAAAAGCAGAAAGAGAAAAGTGATTCATCTCATGTAAAGGGATTTCCATTTGCTTATCAGTGGATTCCTCAGCAGAAACTTTGTAGAATGGAAGAGAATGGGGTGATATATTCAAAGTATAGAAAGAAAAAAAAACCTGTCAACCAAGGGTATTATATCTAGCAAAACTATCTTTTAAAATGTAAAAAACTAATACTTTCTCAGGTAAAATGTGAGAGTTCTTTACTACTAGACCTGCTCTACAGAAAATGCTAAATAGAATCCTTCAAGTTCAAATGAAAGAATAGTAGATATCTACATGAAGCCATACAAAAATACAAGGTTCTCTGGCAAAGGTAAATACATGGAAAAATATAGAAACCTGTACTATTGTAATTTTTGGTACACAGAACTTAACAAAATACAAAAAACCCTATAAATCCATGTTGATGGGTCTATTATATTTAGAGATGTAATTTGTGACATCAGTGACATAAAATGGGAGATTAGAACTGTAAAGAAGTAGAGTTTTAATATGTGATTGAAGTTATTAGTTTTAAATAGAATGCTGTAACTTTAAGATATTTTATATATTTTCAATGGTAGTCACAAAGAAAATATCCATAGAGTATACATAAATAGAAATAGAAAGGGAATCAAAGGATATCACTAAAAAAATCAACAAAACATGAAGGAAGGAAGGAAGAGAAAAAGATGGACAAGAAAGCTACAAGATAAAACAATAAACAAAATGGCAATAAATAATCCTTATGGGTACTTTAAATGTAAATGGATGAAATTTCCCAATCAAAAGACATAGGTTGGTTGAATGAATTTGTTTTTTAAAAAGGATCCAACTATGTACTGTCAAAAAGAGACCCACTTTAGATCTGAGGACACACATGGGTTGAAAGTATAAGAATGGAAAAAGATGTTCTATGTAAATGATAACCAAAAGAGAGCAGGAGTGGCTACACTAACCCAGACAAAACAGACTTTAAATCAAAACCTGGTGCAAGAGACAAATAAGGTCATTATATAATGATTAAAAAGGTCAATTTACCAAGAAAATACAATAGTTATAAATATTTATGCACCAAATCTCAAAGCTCTAAAATATATGAATGAAACTTTGACACAATTGAAGGGAGAAATGGACTGAAGCACAATAATACTAAGAGATTTCAGTACTCCACTTTCAATAGTGGCTACAACAACCCCAGTGAGGATTAATAAGGAAATAAAGGACTTGAAAAAGTCTACAGACTAACTAAACCTAACAACATATACAGAATAGTCCACCCAACAGCAGAAGAATATACATTTTTCTCAAATGAACATGGAACATTCCATCAAGCTATGAAAAGACATGGAAGAATCTTAAATGCATATTAGTAAATAAAATAAGCCAATCTGAAAAGTCTATATACTATATAATTTCAACTATATGACATTCTAAATAAGGAAAACTATAGAGACAGTAAAAATATTAATGGTTGCCAGTGGTTAGGTGGGAGGGATGAATAGGCAAAGCACAGAGAAATTTTAGGACACTGAAACTATTCCATATAATACTATAATATGATACAGAACACAGCACACATGCCATTATGCTTGTCGAAACCCACAGAATGTACAACACCCAAGAGTGAACTCATGAAATGTATAATACCAAGAATGTAAATTATGGACTTTGGGTGATAATGATGTGCCAGTGTAGGTACATCAGTTGTAAAAAATGCACCATGCTGATGTGAAATGTTGATAGTGGGGGAGGCCATGTGTATGTGGGGGCAGGGAAATATGGGAACTCTGTACTTTTTGCTCAATTTCTCTGTGAATCTAAAACTGCTCTAAAAATTAAAGTCTATAAAAACTGATGTATTCCTATATAACAACATAAAAAGATGTCCAAGGAATTTTGGTTAATATAAAATAAATTGTAGAGCAATATGCTCAGTATTATGTTTTTATAAAATTATTGTATAAATGTATATATATGTGTATATCATGTATATATGTATATATATATACACATAAATAGTTTGGAAATATAAACTGTATTTTTCTTGCTAGTAAGCAGAGATCAGGAGAATGAGTGGGGAGATGTCTTTTATTTCATACATTTCTATGCTGTTTCAAGTTTACAGAATATTTATCACTATTGCAATTATAAATGCATATCTGGTAAAATTGAGTAACATGCTCAATATAAGCAACTGGAAAACACAGAAAAGTATAAGTAAAAATTATTCTTCTCTTCCACCCTGAAATAACCACTTTAACTACTCTGGCATATTTCTTCCCAATGTTTTGTCTAATATATCCATTTGTGTGTATTTGTGTGCATGTAAATATATTGAGGACATGCTGTACATAAAATTGTATTCATGCTTTTTCACTTAATGCTGTGAATATATCCTCAAAGATATTACTTAATACTATTTCATCTTGTTAATGTACATTAATTTAATCATTCCAATACAATTAGGCAGTTAAGGTGTTTTGTGTATTTTCTATTATAACTATTTCTTTAGGATAAATTTCTAGTAGAGGAATACTGGAACAAATAATTTGATCACTTTTAAGGCTGTTTTATTTTGCCAAGTTGCTTCCCAGAAAAATTGTGTCAATTTATACTTTATGAGCATTGCATGAAAATTTCCATCTCCACATATTCCTTAACAAAGTCTTAAACATTTCTAAAGAGTCTGACTATCACATCTGGTAATCACAGCAGCAAATGGAAAATGGAGGAGAAAAGAGGAGGCAGCACTTCTTCAGTGAAGGAGAGTGTGGCTTCAGCCCTTTTAGAATTAAAATCAACTCTATTCTTGCTCACAGATTCTCATGTCTTTCACCTTAAGATAGTAACTCCAATGTTCCTCCTGACCACCAGCATAATCTTGATGATGTGTCTAAAATCAGAGAATATTCAGGAACAGTATGTGCCATGCTAGAGTTTTGAGGTTTTGTTTCAGTGTTGTTTGGAACATTTTAACTTGCCTGTCACCTGGTTTTATTTGGATTTATGTTAATGCTAATATTCCTGGTTGCATTTACTTTTCCATAAAGAATGAAATAAATTTAAAAGATTGTCAAATAGCAATTATCTTATGACCAACTGAATACTTACGAATGAAGAAAAGTAACATTAGTTAATATGAAATAAAATAAATGGTACAAGAGACAGAATGTGTTGGAACACTAGGTACAGCAAGCTAACTTTTAAGCTGGTTTAGGGTTATATATCTCACTTCTCTGGTATACCAAAAGACCAGGGAACCATTTGCTATAGAGAAATAAAAGAGCTTTTCAGCATCAATCCAACAGAAAGTCAGGCTACATTGTTCAGAGAGGCCACAAGAGTTTCATGCTAGATAAAAATCTGAGTTTACCCCCAGCCCCCAAAGCTTGGAATAAATCATTGAAATTCTCACCCATTAAATGTAGACATGAAAACACCAGTGGGCATCTGTCTGCTCATCACCATGGAGATGTTAAGATTCACATCTCTTTATAGGCAAGCAGGGCATTTCATCAAGAGCTTGACCATGGCTTCACCCTTCTTCTAATCTCAATAATATTTCATGGCTGAACTCCAGGAGCTTATAATTTTTGTTTGTGTATTTTTTCTCTTTATTCCACTTTTGGAAATTAGGCTTTTACATACACAAGAGCAGACATGATCATTCAGATCATTCAGACATTATTTGTATCCTTTTATATATATATAAATTTTTTTTTTTTTTTTTTTTTTTTGAGACGGAGTCTTCGCTCTGTCGCCCAGGCTGGAGTGCAGGGGCGCGATCTCGGCTCACTGCAAGCTCCTCCTCCCAGGTTCATGCCATTCTCCTGCCTCAGCCTCCTGAGTAGCTGGGACTACAGGTGCCCGCCACCATGCCCGGCTAATTTTTTTATTTTTAATTTTTTTAGTAGAGACGGGATTTCACTGTGTTAGCCAGGATGGTCTCGATCTGCTGACCTCGTGATCTGCCCGCCTCGGCCTCCCAAAGTGATGGGATTACAGGCGTGAGCCACCACGCCCAGCCTCCCTTTTATATTTTTTGCATGTAAATTTGTGGTGTGCAGCACAGGGCAGATTGTATGTGGGAAAATGAAAGATGTGTTGATAACGTCAAATGCCGAGATTATCTTGGTCTTCACTTAAAAAGCAATTCTTCATTATGCTTATTTTAAATGAATATAAAATGTTGTCTGTTCCCTGCCAATTTATAATTTATTGCAGGCAAATACCAGAATCCATTTCCTATGTCATTTTACCAAAGCGCCCTTGTACTAAATTTGTTTCCTTTTGGTTACTGAAAGCCATCATATAAGAATGCTCACTTACTCCCTCATTAGAGAAACACTTTAGTTAACAATTCTGCAGGCACTACTATGTTGTGGGCATAAAAGGGGTAGCAAATACAGTTTAAAGTCTAGGTCTATGGCTGGTGTCTTTGTGTATCGGTTTCTTTGTAAATAAGAAGGTGGATGCCATCTACAGTGACTCTGCTGACTCGATGGATAGATGATGGCGGTGTTGTACCCTTGTGTCTCTGTTTCCTCATTGTTATGCAAAGACTCTGGGTGAACAGCATTATTTGAGACAGATTGGAATTAACAGGCAGAAGAGCCAGTGGCTGCATGGGTCTCTGTTCTCTTGGCTTCCTGCAAAAAAGAAATGCTTAGGCTGGAACACATCTAATTACACTGAGGATCTGGGTTCCAGAAAACACTCTTTTCTGTGGCTCTCCCTTTTTTATAGAGTAAGCCTGAGAGCAGCCTGGAACGGAGTGAATAAGCATTTTGGGCTTAAGTTCCTGGAAGTCTGAGCTCAGGTGCCAGCTGTTTAAAGGGGAGTTCTGGGAAAGACACCCCCCCACTAACTAGAGATCTGTGAGAAGCTGAGTTTGGACATAGCCTCCTTGCTGGCTGGGGAGTCTAGGGCACCTGTTATCTGTTTTCAATACATTGCTAATTACCCACTGGGGTCATTCATCAGAGAATCCTGTTTGTCTTCATGTCCACTTCTGAATTGGAATATTGTTGCTAGCAGCTATCTTCTTGTTAACCTATTCATTGGCATAATGACATACAACAAGTAAATGTGATTGATTTTTAAAAATTGGACTCAACTATGATTGAAGTAGAATTCTGGGTCATTTTCATCACCAGAAATCATCACCAACAGCTAGTTATATCTTTATTTACTAAAATGTAATTATCGAGGGGAATGTGTTTCCATTTCAGTTTTGATGACTTATTTTTGGTTTTTAGCTGTGGGACAGTTTTTTTTTTTTTTTTTGCTTTATAATGCAGACTTTTAAAGATCCTACTTTTATAAACATTGAGAAAGATGAAAGATAATTTCACTGAGAAGAAGCAAATCTGTTCTGCTAACTATGGTAAATTTCTTTAGATGTTTTAGAATGGAATCATCCCATTTCAGCTGCACCAAGGTCTTCATTAAAGAGGAATGTTTAGGCTGAAACTTTTAGCTTTTATTAAGTTGGCAGCATGTCTTTGAGTATTTTTCAGACTATCTCATCTCTTTTTTCCCTTATAATCAGGTGAATTCTATCTAGGAGATAATGCATAAAATTATGAGAGAGTGAATATTAATCCAAAGTCTAAATTAAGGGTGGCCTTCCTGAAGTCTCTATGCAAAACTTATCTAATCATAAAACCCCCACAGAGAAAGATTATATAATTCATCTTGTTCAGTTGGATTTAGCAACTATTGGCCTATTGAATAACAATGGCCCTTTGGGGAGTGAGGCTGAGCCAGGAAGGCTCCAGCTATGGCCTAATAACCCCGATGCTGGGTCTCAGGCACCAGCTGACCTCTGAGAAACAGACTTTGGCATTTAGCTTTTAGTCTCAGCTCCAGGGTCAGCTCACATTGGCCAGTCTTTTCAGGGCAGTCTCTGTAATTGACTGGGCTTGTCCCAATTTTTTTCTTATTTGGGGAATTTCCCTTTTTCCCTTCATGTCCTAATAGGGAAGCCTCCCTTTATCCTTATTCAACCTTCACTGACTTTCTTCAGACAGCTTAGCTAAACTTCCTTATCTTTTCTGGTTGAAATATCCTCTCTCTGGGTGATGATTTATGTGCACACAGAGCTGATAAATGGCTCTTCAGTTTGATGTTTATATAAGTATCCCTTTACTGAAATTTTTGAGAGTCATCAATAGGTCTGATTCCTTGGACAGTGATCCATTGAGTCTAGACTAGAGCAACACTAGAGCTTGTAAGGATTCAGCTGATGTCCAAAAGAGAACGTTCCCAGGGGCAAAGAACATACCATATGCTCTCGCAAGCACCTGAGGGTCCTATATGATCTCTGCATAGAGAAGGATCTCCTTGGAACTTGAATGTAGCGTGAGAGATCATGGTCTGGAAAGGCAGGGAGGACCAAATGAAGGAATTGTCGTTTTTTGGTATTTCACTAGCTGCCAATATTTTCATTTTAATTTTTGGTCTGATTTTTCATCTGATGACTTCCAGGCCTGACCCCTGCCCTCTCAGCTGCACTGAGCTCAGATTACTCACTGCATTTGACTTTATTTGTAGAATGTGCTTCAGTCTCAAGGTCCCTGGAGTCCTATGAGCTGGCCACAGAACTACAGAAAGTAAATGAAAGACAAAATTATAAGGAAACAAGCCTTAGACATGCCTCTTGTCCCACCCTGAGAAGGACTTACTTCACCTCTAGTCATTGATCACATGTGGGAAAGAGTAAAGAGGCAATCATAAAAATTCACATATCCTTCCTAGTGCTGACAAGGGTCTTGATACTTCTCTGAAAACTGCTTCCTTGAAAGAGTGGACTGGCCTCTTTCCCTGCTGATATTGTCTTTTCTTAAGGGTTTGGGAGAAATTCATGGCAAAATGACCTTGGGAATTCAAACATTGTGTTTAAGAGATGACCGAGAGAGCTATGGAAATGAGACATTAATGTTCTAAACTCGAGAGAGCCAATGGGTTGTAGTTTTGTTGAACGCTTTGGCTTGTGTCTCCCCAAAAGGGTAATTAAAACTCATCTCAATGATCTGTAACCTCAGGCAGTCTTCATTGCTTTCTATTTATTAAAAAGTCGAAGGTCACACACCTGAGTTCCTGGCCTCTCTGAGCTTGAACATTCCAGCCAAGGACATTGATTTATCCAATCTGGTAGAGAGGACATCTCAACAAGCCTTTTCAAATCATAATGGCAGGGAAAGCAATAAAAATTCAGACAATTTTGATGATCCAGACCCCATATTATCCTAGACAGGATGTGTTTTCTTTGACGGTTACCCTCTCTCTTCTATCTGAGTCTTTCGGGAATCTTCCTTTTCTTTTTCTTACCTAGGGAAGGTTTACATGTGAAAATTCCCCATCTAATATAAATTAAAATACAGGTCATTTTTCTAGGATAAGGTTACTTACACAAGGTTTCAAGAGCTTTATGAGTTTAAATATTAACCCTTTGCTATTTCTTAAAACAAGAATGGAAGCCTTACTAAAGCAAGAGCTGCCCATTCTGTTTTTTTTTTTTTTTGAGACGGAGCCTTTCTCTATCATGCAGGTTGGAGTGCAGTGGCATGATCTCGGCTCCCTGCAACCTCTGCCTCCTGGATTCAAGTGATTCTCCTGCTTCAGCCTCCCGAGTAGCTGGGACTACAGGCATGTGCCACCAAGCCTGGCTACTTTTTTTGTATTTTTAGTAGAGACGGGGTTTCACTGTGTTAGCCAGGATGGTCTTGATCTCCTGACCTTGTGATCCACCCGCCTCGGCCTCCCAAAGTGCTGGGATTATAAGCGTGAGCCACCGCACCCGGCTGCTGCCCATTCTTTTCACAGACCACAGCAGCATATGTTACCCTACACTCCAAAAAAGGCATGGAAAGATGCTGCCCTGAATCCTTTTGGGAATAAAGGAGGGTATGAGTTAATAAAATATTTCCAACAATCATCAGTCCATCCCAGGAAAGGAATGTTGTTTATGTGCATAATTTCTTTCCTAATTATACTCCTTTTAGGAAGAACTTTTTGGCTGGAATTAGTTACAGAGATATAGTTGCTTTGTCAGTGTGGACATTTACTTGAAGTGCACCCCTCATGACACACGAGGGAATGTAACAGTGCAAAATAAAATTGTTTCAACAAAGGATCTGAGAAAAGTTGGGAAAGAGTAGCTTGGGTCAGGAAAGGAGGAAGGTAGGTGGCACTATGGAAGTTGACCCTGTCAAGAAGAGAATGGTCAGAAATCAGGAAGGGAACTTGTCTTCTAAAGAATAGGTGGCTAAAAGAAAGTAACAGTGACCTGAGGTGAAACCAAGTGGGTAACCATTGTAAACTTGTGAGTGCTGGACTCTGACAGCACCCTGGGGTGTGGCTGTACCTTGTATGTGGCCCACAGTTTGTGCCCTCCAGTAGAGGGGCCCTGGAGTGAGAAACAGCCCTCAGAGTGCCTGGAACCCTGAAGACTCCTTATAGAGGAGACTCACTAAACAGGATGAACAGATAGTCAATCCCAAAGGCAATCCAGAGAAGGAAATCTTGCTTATTCCTTGTTTGGTGGCAATAGAACTGACTAGAAGCTAAGAGATCAAGTTCCAACCTCTGCCACTAGAGACAAAGTCCAGACTTTGTTTTGCCAGTAACTACAGGTGAGAGCTGTGATTTCCTCAGTCTGACATGGCTATTCTTTCTAACCAGTGCTAGCTTCTCCAAACAAGCTTCACCCCAGAAGTGGTAAAAATAAGAATTTATATTGTCATTGTCATTTCTCTAATTTTAAGGGCTTAAAAATTAACTCTTTGTGATTAAGCCTGTATACGCTTCCATTTCCATTTAGAAAACATGCTCTGGATTTCTTAATTTTGTAGACATGGGGATTAGGAGGGTTTAATAATGTCACATTCCAAGATGATAATATGTTGCTAAACTTCTGGGTGCTCTAAGTTTATTCCTTGTAACAGGTTTGGCAGGAACAAAACAATTACAGAATATGTGTGCCTTTGCTGGTCCAGGTGCCAAGAGGAGCAAAGGGCTGAAGTAGTGAGTCATTTAGTGACAGCCTTGTCTAGTCCCAAACAAGCCACTTATCCTGCTCTCTTCTCCACTTTCTGTATCCATGACAACGGGAGACTAGTGCTTGGATCTCCTATACTATTTCTAGAGGTTGTGAATAATAAAAAGAGTAGCAAGGCCAGGAGCAGTGGCTCACGCCTGTAATCCCAACACTTTGGGGGCCAAGATGGGAGGATCACTTGAGCTCATGAGTTTGAGATCAGCTTGGGCAACATAGTGAGATCTCTGTCTCTACAAAGAAATTAAAAACTTGACTGGGCATGGTAGCATGTGCTTATAGTCCCACCTACCAAAAAGGCTGATGGTGGGAGGATCACTTGAGCCAATGTGGTTGAAGCTGCAGTGAGTTGTGACTGTGCCACTGCACTCCAGCCTGGATGACAAAACAAGATCCTGTTCCAAAAAAAAAAAAAAAAAAAAAAATAGCAAAGAAGCATTCATCTTGAATTGTACATAGTCTATCAAGTGGCCTTAGTCTTTCTTGGGGATATTTGTTTTGACACATAAATTAGAAGAGTTGTCTCTGATCTTTTGAATTGTCCACATACAGTGTGATTAAGTATTTCTTTAGTGAGAGCTAGGTAAATATTATGGACTTACAAAATGAGAAAACATGTAATCTTGGCTGCAGTTGTGGATGATAAATAAATATTGTTTTAGCTAGCATTTGCAAAATGATTCACAATTTATAAAGCCCTTGTATATCCTTGTTACATTATACTTTCAGGTTTCCAGAAGAGTGCTCGTTTTCATTTAATGCAATGTTCTTAGGGGAAGTTTGAGAAAACATCTATTGCCACTAAATGATATCCAACCACCCTTCCCTTTCCTTATTTTTCTCCTTCAATAGTCATTGTGTCCAGAAAAGAACTAGATTTTTACATCACTCAGGAGAGACTCTATTAGCTGCAATATAGTAAACCCACATATATGATTGGTTATTAACAACAAGGGCTTATTCCTTACTGATGCTTTATGACCATCACGGGTCAACTGGAGGCCCTTCCCCATGTCCTAATCCTCAGGTGCACAGGCTCACGGAGGCTCCATGGTGTCAGGCATTGTCAGTTACTCTGGAAGTGTCTGGGAATGTGGCACCCGCTCTCCAAGGCCTCCACCCGGATGTGACACATATCGCTTCAGTCATGTTGTACCTCTGCTTGTCTTAGATGTCCCTTAGCCACATATAACTGCAAGGATTTGGAAATAGCAATCTTACGTGCCAGAAAGAAAAGGAACTGAAAATATCGGTGAACAATACTAATGATTACCAGAATTTTATTTACAGTAGGCCTGAACTTTGGCAAAATTGTGAAGAAAGAAAATTTTATTTTGAGTGTCCCAATTCTCATTATCATTTTCCTGTGTTCCGTACTCCTTCCTTTGGCCTCTTCAGTCAACCAGGGCTCTTTTCTTTCACCATCAGAACTGGTTTGATATTTTTGCTAATTTGTCTAATTCTGAGGTCAATGTTATAGCTTCCGATACTATTTATATTTTTAGCTTCATTTCCGATGATGGAATAATAAGCTTTTCCTCCAATAATGGTTGGGGGGCAGTTTCTTTTTCTGTGGAGTAGTTGGGGATTGAGAGGTCAGAGCTAAGGGAGAGATCTCTTGAATTCACACCCTGCAGATGGGAGCACACAGGCAGCAGGCTCTGTCAGAGAGCTACAGCCAGCTGTGAGATGACAGTCTCTTTTCTCAATGAGCTTAAATCATAGTAGTGAAGGAAACGCAAAGACACACCTATATGTTAAACGATTCCCCCAGCGCCCCCCACAAAAAAATAAGGCATTTCTTAGTGTGTAATTGAATAATGGTCCCCCAAAGACATCTGCATGGTAATTCCCAGGATCTGTGAATATGTTATTTTACATGACAAAAGAAACTTTGCAAGTGTGATTAAATAAGGATGTTGAGATGTGAAGATTATCCTAGATTATTCATCCCAAAGAAATCACAAAGCTCTCCATAAGAGGGAGGCAGGAGGGTCAGAGCTAGAGAAGAGTCAGCAACCAAAGTAGAAGTTAGGATGATGTGACCAAGAGTCCAGAATGTGAGTGGCTTCTAGAAAGTGAAAAAGACAAGGGACAGAGTTTCCCATAGAGCCTCCAGAGAGAACAAATTCTTATTTTAGTTTCGTAAGACTCATTTCACACTTCTGACTTCCACAACTGTAAGATAATCAATTTGTGTTGTTTTTAAGCCACGAAGTTTGTGGTGATTTGTTATAGCAGAAATAGGAAACTAATATATAGAGACTGTTTTAAAAAATGGTTCAGAGTGTAAGCTTCAAGGTCAGACAGAGATGAGTTTGAATTCTGGGTGAGCCAGTCCCTCACTATGAGTGTTGGCTCAATATATACAACCTCTCTACTCCTCAGATTCCTCACTGGTAAAAGCAGGGCAATGTTAACAGCCACTTATAAAGGTTGTTGTGAGATTAAATCAAATATTTTTTGTTTGGCCCACAGTACAGCCTCAGAGCATGTTACATACAAATGTAAACTCACAAGCATTACTGCCTGGGATGCCGCAACATGTACAATTATAACAATAACGCTTTATACATGCATAGAAATTTCCATCTTCCAGAGCATTTGACTTATGCAGATTTTATGTAATCCTTAGTTAAATTTCATGAGAGAAATCAGAACTAGTGAAGGGGCAACAGGAAAGGAGTCAGGCTGGTTGGAGACAGGCATGACTGGCATGGCTAGTGCAGACAGCTTCTTGGAGCTCAAGTGACACCTGAGCAGAGATTGATGGAAGATATTATTTTCAGTTCAAAAATATCAACTGAATACAAAATGTGTATTTTGTGTATATCATTTGGCCCACACTGTGTCAGGCCCTGGAATGAAGGTTGTAGGTATTATCAAACAGAAGCAAAGTGTATGAATCAAGAGAATGGCCTTTGCTTGGTTGACATAGTGTCCCGCCCATCGCTCAATGCACATCACTTCTAGCAGCTAATGCCTTGAACCTTTAGAACGTTGTCTCCTGTAGGATAATGGTTTTGCAATTTCAGTGAAAACTATCGTTGTGTTCTCTGAAATTTAAATACGTTGTGGCTATGGGAATTAAGGACAGCTCACATGAAACTAAGAGGTGTGGAGTTTGAAAATTTACACTCATGGTTAATTGTGTGACTTTGCTATGAGAAAGACCAGGGTTCAAGCTCTAGCTACTGTTTTAATGTTATTAACCTAAGTTCCCTCTGTGTGAAGTAGGACCAAAATGGTACCTACTCTCTATATCTTTTTTACAGTTATAGTAAGCACTCTAAGTTTTACTCATTATAATAATTATTCTAATCCAGAACTTTAAAAAAGATATCAGTTGATTAAAGTAACTAAAATAGCAAATACTAAGGTAACATTTCCTGAGAGCAACTTATAAGGAGAGAGTTTTCTATTCCCTTGTCCTGTTTTGAAAAACGTTCTCCAAACACATTTTCTCTCTCATATATTTCTCTAATATATATATTTGTTTCTTTATTTGGGGAAAAAGTCAAGAAAGCAAAAGACCTACCCTTTCATTTCAGAGATAAAATTTTAGGAAATCAACAAAGTCAAAGGGTCTTGAACAATTTGTTGTTGCTATGCTTTGTTTTAATTGGCTTTTATTAGAAATAACCTTAAAATCTCTTTTCTGAAACTACTCCACCACCTTTTTTTATTTCTGATTTTTCAGTCTCCAGATTGGAAGTACTTTATATCTATCTCCTAATTGGGACTCCAAAACTTCCCACTCCTGGCTCCCAAACACTTGCTAAACTTTTAATTGCTAAAAAATCCCTCTTCAAATGTGAGGACATCTGTGGGCATGGATTTATTTGGCTTTCTTCTCTCCCACTTTTGCTGCATTTTATGTAAACATTTTCAAGCTGCCTCACACAGATTCCTGTATGGTTCCCCCTAGCAACTTGTTTTGAGCCTGAACACTTTCCATTTATGACTGCTCCATGTTCCCTACCCCTTGGCCAATTTAGACCCAATGCCCTAGTGTTCTTTCCAATCAGTGAGCTGGGTGACAGCTGACAGGAGGTGAGTAACAGATGGGCAGTTCACCTCAAACCATACTTTGGTTTGCAACACTGAGAGTGATGATCTTGCAAAAGAAAAAGATAAGAAAGAGAGCATTTGTGGGGTCCTTCTTATTTCTCATTTTCCTGGACCTTCTTCTGGGCAATGACAATACTTCCAGGAGGCCGAGGCAGCTGACACAGTGACTTCTCTATATGCTGTTTCATAAGCTGAGTTTTCTCTGCCTGCTTCTTTTCTTCCCCACCCCCACCCCAGCTTTATTGATGTATAATTGACAAAAACGTCACATATTTAGGGAGTACAATGTGATTATTTGGTATACGTATACCTTGTAAAATGATGACCACATCATTAACACATTCATCACCTCATATGATTAGGTTTTTTGTGGTGAGAAAAAAATAAGGTCTACTCTCTTAGCAAATTTCAAGTGTGCGGTAGAGTCTTACGAACTATAGTCACCATGCTGCACATTAGATCCCCAGATCTTATTCATCTTATAATTGAAAGTTTGTACTTTTGGACCAACATTCCTGCTTTTCCCCCAACCTTTAGCCCCTGGCAACGACTGTTCTACTCTCCGCTTCTGGATTCAACTTTTTTAGATTCCACCTATCAATGAGATTATTCAGTATTTGTCTTTCTATGCGTGGCTTATTTCACTTAGCCTGATGTCCTCAAGGTTTATCCATGTTGTCACAAATAGCAGGATTTCTTTCTTTTTAAGGCTGAAGAGTATTCTACTGTATATACCACATTTCCTTTATTCACTGATCAAAGGACACTTAGGTTGTTTCCATATCTTGGCTATCGCGAATAATGCAGCAGTAAACATGGGAATGCTAACATCTCTTTGAGATCTTGATTTTAATTCTTTTGGATATATATCCAGAAGTGGGGTTGCTGGATCAAATCGTAGTTCTATTTTTAATTTTTTGAGGAAGTTTCATACTGTTTTCATGTCTATAAGGCTTTTTTCTAACAGAAAAGCAGAGACCAGACACTGTTCACTGCTCTGCCAGGCTCTTTTTGAGTGTAAATATGCACATCTATGTGTTTGTGTCCATGTGATTGAAAAAGGGTTAAAAAACAAGAATCAAAACCCGAATGGACATGGGGCAAAGCTTGGTTTTGGGATGTACAAAGGGGTCAGAGATGCCTCATTTTCTGCTTTCAAGGCTTCATAGTTTTGCCTCTGAAGAGTCTCCGCCACAAAGCGTTTCACATGGAGTTTTGGAGAGAGTGCCATATCTTAATGCCTATACTGAGGCTGTGTTCCACACCTCTGTAAAGCACTCCTCGTCAACCCTGTGTGGTTGGAACTCACACTCAGTCTAACCCTCCTGGCAGGCAAAATGTTTGAGAAGACTCACTTTAGAATTGCTCATGGGAAAATATGAAAGTAGTCAATGGTTTTATGATAAAAATTAGCTACATTTCAGTGGGTCATATTATATTTTTAATTAGCTAAAGTCCAAAATAAATATCAGCTCAAGAAAAATATAAGTAATTATCTCATTTAGGCCATATATTTCTTTTATAGTTTAGAAAACTATAAAGGGTTCCCACATTTCAAAAATAAAACCGCTTGGGCTGTGAGTTCATTGCTAACTGTAGAGTCAATTGTTGAGTTGATTCTTGGGGAAATAGTATGAGCAGAGACAAACTTGGCTAATATATCTTGTAGAAAATATGTGGCTTGAGGTTTATTCACAAATTAGGTAGGGTGAGAAACTATGTGGCATTCCTGTTGCTTCTCCTTGCTCTTCACCCACAGAGGCCCTACTAACCAAGCCCCAAACATTGTGTGAGCATCCGTCTCAACAGTGTTCCAGGGGCCCAGCGAGGTCCCTGTGTTTCAATGTAAGTCTGGGCTGTTCAGCTAAAGGGTTAAGGTCATTGTCTCCACAGCAGCGACTAGAAGTTTGTTCTAAAGTGAGCCTTTCTCAGGCCATTCTGTGCCTCCCATTTCCAAAAACTAGAGCCCAGTGGCTCTGGGGCTCTATTTTGATTTCTCACATTTCTCTAATTTATCTTGATTGGGAGGGGAGAATTTGGCATCATTGAAAATAGAAAAAATATATAATGTGTTCATGTTCAAGCTTTAAATTGGGCATCATATCTCTCAGAAGGTCCATTGAGAATTTTCAAATTTGGCTAAGTGTCTCTTAAAATATTCTTCCACTGTATCACTCAGCACAGTACATTGGAATAAATGGTCAGCCTGTGTGTCTATCACACCTAGGCTGTATGGCCTTTGAAGGCAGGCAGAGTTGTACTATTAATGAGGCCTAAACTTGAGCCTGAGCTGTGCTTTCCTTAGAAATCAGGCCTCCCTAGAGAGGAATGGCATAAGCTCTTCAGCTCTCTGTTTGCTTCAGTGACCAAGAATTCCCTCAGGAGAGAACTTGCTCTATGAGAAGAGGAAACTAAGATACACCAATTTCATGACAAGAACTGTGGATAATCCTGAACACTGTAATGGTACCACCAGACTTTCAGCCCCTCTAGGCTTTTGCTTAGAATAACATTTGGCTTAAAAAATAAGAGCACTCTAAAACGAAAAAGGGTTGTTTTGCTGAAATCTCTTAAGGATATTGAGAGTTCCAGGTTTTGGTAATATGAGTGTGAGAATCTGCAGGTGCCTTCCCCAACACTGAGCACTGGCAGCCTCTGTCGAGGCCTTAGGCACAGATGGAGATAGAGAGCTCTAGCTCCTTGGCTTGGATCTGGAGAGAAGGAGAAGAGACATCGCATGGCAGCCCAGATGCTCAGTGCACAAAGCACATGCTAGGCACTCTTTAGGACTCCTAGAACAGTCTGGGAGGAGTTCGAGAGGGGTTTGGAGTGCCCACAAAACTGTTAGGGGTCAGCACCATGGAAATACTAGTGTATAACTATTGTTTCTCTGTTTTTATCCCTTAGCTAGGATGAAATGGCTTGGAAGACATATATACATGTGTGTGTGTATGTGTGTGTGGTTATATATTATATAATTAAATATGTAATATCTTATTCATCTAATATATTACATATGTGTGGGTGTGAATTTTTGGTGTCAAGGATAGCATCTTGTACATAGAAATTTAGAGTTTTAATGAATTAATTATTGGCAATAGGCATCATTATGCAAAGAATTTTTTAGTAATTTCCATTTTGAATAAACCCAAATTATTTTAGATCCAGAATAATTTCTTTTAGGCTCTAGGCAAAGAGGCCTGGGATTGGTTTGTATGAAGACGAATTATATACACATTGGGAAGAAGTTTTGGGAGTCAAGACAGCATGATGACTCCACCAGAAATCCTATTTTCAGAAAGTATATTAAGACATTTTATAAGCCTTTATTGGTCATAAACAACAAATTCCTTGTGCACAATGTTGGCAAACAAAATCATTGTTTTCTGTAAGCTATCTCTTTTAATACACACAAATTTCTGTTCTTGGAACAATATCAAGTTATTTTTTAAGGATAAACTGCAGTAGAATGAGTTCTCTCACTTTCTTAAAGAGTTTGAGTTCTGAGGCTTTAAATATACATATATGTATATATATATATATCTGATTGACTAAAAAGAACAGAGGAAGAGTCTTCATTATTATAAGACAAATGATAGAATTTTATGATGGACTGTGGCTTCTCAGATCTGGCCAACTCTGAGATTCTGCTAAAGTTTACTAAGTGAAAGGTCAGATGATTCATATCTTCTCCCAAAAGAAAGCATTCATTGCAAGGTACTGTCATTAAAGGAGTTATTTAATAATAACTCCTCAAATTGAAATAATGCTTTATACTTTCAAATTTCTTTCGCATACTTAATCTCAATTTGTATGGATAAAATTACTCTTGCCATCTTGGCCCTCATCCATCTTGGCTGGGGTTCATTGGTTTTCCATGGACAGACACTTCAGATTTGAATAATGTTTTCTAAGATTCAATTACATTTACCTAATTGGTTTAAGCACACAAGTTATAAATGCTATACCTTGTATACTCATATTTATCATTATGCAGCAGGTTCTTAATTAGTCTATAGAAGTTTGCTGAATGAGGGCTATCTCACCAGCTATAGTCAAATTGAGTGACATTATTATATTTTATTTTTCTCCCCTAAATTCAAATACACTCTGTACCTATAAAGGTCAATAAATTGCGTAGAATTTTTATACTGTCAGTTTTAGGCATGGGAAAAGCAGTGTAGAGTAGATCCACAGTCAGATTCCCCTAATACTTTTTGACGTTTGCCATTGAAGATTGTAGTTTCTCTAAGGTTAAGATGTTAAAAAGAATAAGCTCCTCCAAATGAGGAAATACGCTCAATTATTGTGAGTTTTGCTGAAATACAAGTGAAAATTTCAGCTGGCACTGTCTTTACACAATCATTCTGAAAATGAATCTGTTTGATTGCTATCTTTCAGTTATCAGTTTAGATTTTTTTTCAATTATCTTTCAATTTAATCTCCACTGATTCCTAGAGAGACTAAGATGACAAGGGAATTAGAATCATCTAGTCTAGAACCATCTGGTCTGAGGGTCATAATGTGACTCATTAAAGAGGCCCAGGATGATATATTAAAACCCACTAAGATAGTAATAAATTATTTTCTAAATCATGCCTGTAATATTGTTGTGTATATCTTCCTAAGGACAGTTCAAATTCCTACATGCAAGAGGTAGAAGTGTCTAATGGGATGTTAAATCTATTCATTCAAAGATACCTCCGGGTATGCAGAAAAATCCAGTTTAAAGCTTAGCCAAGATTCTTTCCTTTTCCACGCAAAGAAAAGATTTGAAAGATTTGTAAGCAAACACTTTATTTCTGGGACAAAGCTTGACTATAAGAAAAAAAATTCAGTTTTCTTCCCAGCAAGAAATGCCTTTTAAATGGAAAATATGATCAAATCATCTTTCATTTTTAGTCTTCACTGGCTTCCTGTTCCCTGCAAGATAAAACTGAAACTCCTTTGTATATCATGTAAGATCCTTTATGATCTGTGACATACATTGTACCAGGCCCATCATGGATAGTTCACATGTCATTCCTCACTAAATTCTTACAAAATTATGTCAATTTCCCCAGTTTAGAGCTGAAAAAAACAGATACTCAGAAAAGTTGCCTGAAGCCACATAGCAGTTAGGTGGGCATAGCTAGAATATTTGATACCAAATATTGTCTAACCATGCTGTGCTAGCCTCCCAACTTCCTTGCAGAAATTGCGTTTAAAATGCCCGGAAAAGTCACACACATCCCGACACGCACACACCTGCGTGCGCACACACACACACACTACACACATCCCCACAGGGAAAGCGACACAGGGAGAGAGAGTTCTTTTCCAATCCAAATGGAAATCTGAAGGAAGAAATAGCTTGAGAATATGATGGTGAAGATAGTGAAGATGGGTTAACTCACTGATTTTGGTTGTTTCATTCTGATGCCCCAGAGCATGAGAATCTCTAGAGAAAAATGTAAATCCCTAGAGGAAATTTTATTTCTTTTTAGCTCACAACATGTGCTGTGATTAATGATCATTCCTCTTAGAGCAGCAGGTGCCATTAAAAAAAAATTCACAAACTCTGGGCAGCAATAACCTAGAGGAATGTGCTACTGACCCCAGAAAAGAGCTGACATCTAGGCCTGTGCCGTCCAATACAGTAGCCACATAACATTGAGCACTAGTAATGTGGTTGTTTTGAACTGAGATGTGCTTTAGCGTAAAAGAGACTCTGGATTTCAAAGGCTTAGTATGAAAAGGTAAAAATTTCTCATTAATAATATATTGATTACATGTAGAAATGGTAATATTTTGAATGCACTGGGTTAAATATAATATGTTATTAAAATTAATTTCACCTATTCACTTTTTAAATGTTACTACTATGAAATTTAAGACTGCATATGTGGCTTACTTTGCATTTGTTCTGGACAGCTCTAGTCAAGTTTAGGCAGAAGTGGGTCCTTTGCCGATTTCCTCCCCAGGAGGCCTCAACTTGAAAAAAAAAATGTGGAAAAGAGGAGCATTTTCTAAAAATGCAGAACAAATCTGCATTTGTTTTTCAATCCGAGGCCTACTGGGGACAGAATCTCTCCAACGTATGTGGCCCAGGAACACAGAAGATCACAGCTGCCAAAGAACTGGCTATGGCCTCCAAGAGCTGTGATTTCCTAAGGAGGGCGAGCTGTGCATCCTAGAGGAGTTTTGATCACATTTTTCTATTTCTGTGTGTTCAAATCACATCAATATCCATAAGCACAAGAATATAGAAAGCAGCAACAAATGCTCCGAAGCCTTAAGTAACAGTCTCCTGACCTAGATCCCAGATGAGGTAGGATCACTCATCTGGATGAGAATAGAAATCCATAAAACTAGTTAGCTATGTCATTGGTAGTCTGCCTTCTGTACACTTCAAATTTCCAGTACTCATATCATACTTGAGAGCTTAGTTTCTATATTTACCTGTCTGACATAAAACATACAGATGTAACCACTACAAAAAATGGCTCAAATATGATAGAAGTTAATATTTCACTCAAGTGAAATAAAAAACAAGAGTTTTCAATTGATGGAAGGCTCTTTTTCAGATAGTGACTTGAGACCTTGGCTCTTTCTATCTATCTTGTGACCTGTCCCACTTTAGCCATGACCTCCAAGGTCACGGTGTTCATCTTTGTCACACTGGAGGGGAATGTGCTTGACGGTCACAATTCTATTAATTGGAATTCAGTTGTAGCCTACCTGTGGGCCTTCAAAGAAAAGGACCATTTTGGCGGACACAAAGCAGTCTCTTACATAGTCTGCTCTTCTCGTTCACCATACACCAACTCTTCCCATACATAAAACACACTCATTCTTGTCCCAAGGGAGACAACACAAAGCTCTGTCCTGCTGCTGCATCCAGTTCAAAGTCCATTCTTGCATTGCTATAAAGAAATACCTGAAACTGGGTAACTTATAATAAAAAGAGATCTAACTGGCTCACAATTGCACAGGCTGTACAGGAAGTATAGTAGCTTCTGCTTCTGGGAAGGCCTCAGGAAACTGACAATCATGGTGGAAAGTGAAGGGGGAGTAGATACATCTTACATGGCTGGCAGAGCAGGAGGAAGGAGGGGGAGAACTCACTGTCACCACAACAGTACCAAGAGGTCTGGTGTTAAACCATGAGAAATCTCCCCCATGATTTAGTCACCTCCCACCAGGTCCCATCTTCAATGCTGAGAATTACAATTACATGAGAGTTGGGTGGGAACACAGATCCAAACCATATCACTTCTGAATCATGGAGATTTCATTTGTTTGTTTGTTTGTAGACAAGGTCTCACTCTTTTGCCCAACCTGGAGTGCAGTGGTACCATCATAGCTCACTGCATCCTTGAATTCCTGGGTTCCGGAAACTCTCCTGCCTCAGCTTCCCAAGTAGCTAGGACACAGGTACATGCCATCATGCCAGCTAACTTTTTATTTGTAGAGATGGGGGGGGTCTTGCTTTGTCTCCCAGGTTGGTCTTGAACTCCTGGGCTCAGATGCTCTTCCCACCTCAGCCTCCCAAAGAGCTGGGATTACAGGTGTGGGCCACCCCACCCAGTCCGCAGAGTTATTTTTGATACAAGAACAATGGTTTTCATTGGTAGATTTAAGTGTATAACAATTTGAGTCAATTATTTGACATCATATGGGCAAATTGTAAGTTTCTACCGATTGAGTTGGAGTTTTGCTAATGATAGCTTCAATGTGGTGTTTGTATCTTTACCACAGGAACTTAGACATTAATCCACCCTTTCCTTCATATTACCATCTCAGTGCCACTCCGCACATCCCAATTCCAACCGCTGGGTCATGGCAACCTCTAGAAGTCAGGACTAAGCATAGAATAAAACCTTGTCTCAAAGTCTTTTGTTTTCGTTTATTTGTTTTTTAAAGCAGTGCTTTGCCCTTTGGGAAGTATGTATGCGAAAGGCAGGGCAAAAACCAGCAATCCTTGCTTAAGAAGTAGGGGTATTTGCTCTGCCTCTGGTTTCCAGTGTCTGTTCTTCAGAGGCCTGGGCAGCTTCTCCTGAAGCTGAACACCATCTCCTAATGCCAACACCCAGAGCTTCTCTTTTCTCACCATAGCCAGCCCATAACATGTGAATGAGAGCAAGAGTATCCCAAATGAAAACAAATATATTCAAATCACTGCTTCAGGAGTGCACCCGAATCCTCTACTTTCTCTATACAGAGCTGGTTAAATATTACACTCTTTGAACTTCATCTGCAAAATAATGATCATCTCCTTCACATGTTTGCAGTAAAAAGTAAACAGTAAATATCTGAAAATGTAGAGCCCAGTGCCTAACTGGTAATAAGTAATCAATTCATGATCATTTCTAACTTTTCTTACTTCAGCTTCTTTTCAATTCCAATACCCCTGTGCACCCCCCGCTCTGCCCACCCACCCACACCTTGTCTGTGGCTTTCAGTGTCCTGATTGCCAGGTCAGGCTGCTGACCTTAGACAGGCTTTCCCACTCTCTCCTGCTGCGCCAGCACTTCTCAGCCCCAGCTGGAGAGGTTTTAGAACCATCTTTCCCCTCAGTGTTCTGCCAGCTTGCCCCACGACTGCCTAGTTCCATCTAGCCCCAGCCCATTTTTGTTTTATGCTTGTGGCTATTGGTAGCAAAAAATCAGTGGCTACACTAGCTGGAGACTGTCAAGGCCAGCTCGAGGAACCAAGAGCAGACTGGGATCTGGAGAGTACATGTGAGTGTGTATGTGTGATGTGTGATGTGTGTGTGTGTGTGTGTGTGTATGTGTGAAAGAGAAGTTGGGTGAGAGTGAAGGTGTGCAAGCAAATGTGACTAAAAGTATTATACAATGTGTTAGTAAGAAGTTTGAATGTAGTAATACATAAGGCAGAGGATGAACAGGTGTGAATGATACAGAAGAAGGGACATAAAGAGAAGCCAGTGGGATATGTCATCGAATTAAGTTGAAAAAAGGAGAAAAATGTTTGTAGGAATGTAGTGGGGAAGGAAAAAATAGTATTAAAATATATGGAGTTATATGTGAAAACACGTATGTGTGTGTGTATGTATATATGTGTAAATTTTATAAAATTAAGTCATGAAAAATAGATTGCTTGTTCCGAAGCTTAGTAAGTTAGGGGTCAATTCAGGAAAAATCCGTACTGTTATATATGCAACTCTCCTTTTCTAGGGGATAAATGTAGCCCCAGTTAAACAATCTATATATAGAAAAGACCAGCACCCTTAAGAGAGGAAGGCTTGATTCATGAGTAACGATGGCCAGTGTCCATTCCAGGAAAGCCAGCATCTGCTCTTAACCACAATCCCTTAAGGCTGGATGCCATAGCCATATATGGAGTGCTATAGGGAAAGGAAGGGAGTCTCTTTCTGGAGTCCCCACAGATGCTGTAAGTGGCATCCAGCCTATCTTCAAGTCAGCTCAAATTCAGAGGAAAGGGGTTCTGTTTTGATAGGGACCAACTAGACCCAACAGAAGGAAACAGACACATGAGCACAGGCCAACTTGCTGAAGGAACATTGCTTGGTTTCCTTTTTCTGTAGAAAGGAGCCAGTGTTCTGTGGTGTGCTGCCTTCTGTGTCTCAGAAGGTATGTTGTTTTCTGATCCTAACTCTGTTATCATCCTGTTTGCACTTGGTGACTCACAACAGATGCTCTGGCTTTCCCACAGCTGTGCTCTTATCACTGCAGGGCGAGCAGAGCAGCAGTCACATCTGCGTGGTCCTGACCTTACCCTCCTGGGGCTGCTCCTATGCCAGCCATTCCCAGTTTAGAGGGGCTGTAATAGCGTTTCCATGGTACTGAAGACAATTCACAGGAAAATAGTTTATTTGAATAGCAAATGCTTTGACCAGGTTCTGGACTGTGGAAAGCCCCTAGTACAGTGACAACATTAACCACACAAACAACAAGTATTAGTACTATTACTATTACATTATTATTACTATACAGGGAAATGAACCAACACCACCATGAATCAAACATTTTCCTGGAATTTTAGCATCTGATTTGGAAACATATTTCTTATTAGTTGACAAAAGACAAAAGGAAACTTCAGTAATATCTCTATAGCCTTATAAAAAATGAATGCAGAAATATGTTTGAATGTCCTGCTATCCAATTTTCCTCATGGTATGCAACAACGCCACTGTGGCAAATATTAGAGGAGAGAAAGCAGAAAGTAGCTCCAAGGCAAATTCCAGCCAAGGGCCATTTTATCATATCTTTTTCTCTGTGTCACTTTGGGTTTTGGGAAATCTTTTTTTTTTTTTTTTGATTTTTTTTTTTAATTATACTTTAAGTTTTAGGGTACAAGTTGTATATCCAAAAGAGATTTTGAAGGGTTAACAGTGTCATTGATTAATCACCCTTAATGTTCAGTTGTCTCACAATCCCAAGGCATTATGAAACCTCTTGTAAGTAAATAAATTGTCATTTTATTTTAATGGTTTTGAGACAATTGTAGACTCACAAGCTATTGTAAGAAATAATATAAAGAATTTCCACATTCCCTTTACCTAGTTTGCCCCAACTCGCAAAAGTTCTGTGCAAAACCACAATTAAATATCAACCAGGATATTGGCATTGACACAACCCATTGATCTTATCTAGATATTCAGACTTCCCTAGCTTACCTATACTCATACTCATTTGTATATTTACTCCTATGTAATTCTATCACATGCATAGGTTTGTGTCTCTATCACTTGAGTCAAGATACAGGACAGTTCCTTTACCAGAAGGATCTCTTTTACATTGCTCAAATCAAAAGAACATTTCTCATTGAGTGGTACAAGGGAATACCTGTAATTGAGGAATTAAAAAAGAGTGAGGAAAAAACTCACACCTTGACCTTGTAAATCAGTGATTATTATGCTTAGGTAGAACATTTAATCAAACAGTTCTTTTTCTTCACCTTTAATTCACTTAGCAATCATTTTGGAGGGAGTGTGCTAGACATTAAAAAAAATTATTAACACACATGGTTCTGGCCAGGCATGGTGGTTCATGCATATAATCCAGCACTTTGGGAGGCCAAGGTGGAAAGATCCCTTGAGTCTCAGAATTTGAGACCAGCCTTGGCAACATAGTGAGGCCCCCATCTCTACAGAAAATAAAAAAAAATTAGCTGGGCATGATGACACACACCTGTAGTCCCAGTTACTTGGGAAGCTGAGGTGGGAAGGACTGCTTGAGCACAGGAGTTTGAGGCTGCAGTGAGCCACGATTGCACTACTGCACTTCAGCCTGGGCAACAGAGTGAGACCTTGTCTTAAAAGTAAATAAGTAAAGACACGTGGTCCTTCAAAGAGAGAGGTATAAACAACCAATGGTATTTTGATAAATACTTTAATGGAAGAATGTACAAAGAACCAGGAGAAACAATATTCATTTGACTAACATTTGTAGTCAACTAACACCAGTAGAAACAATAGTCAGTCAACTAACATTTGTAAAAAGTTGGGACAGATTTATCCTAGCACATTGCTTTTCTGGCAGGGACGATGTTCCTTTCGCTCTCTACACAATTCTTATCAAATCTCAATGGAGACCAAACACACACAGAGGAATGTAAAAAGCTGGAAAAAGGTCACGAATATACCCCCAAACCTCTTTGGATTGAAATGATTTTCAAAGGGTGAAGACTATGAAATTGTTCAGCAAGGACCCCACTAATAAGTCTGTCACACTTAGGGAATTTTTGCATTTTTATCTCCAGCACTTTCATAAACCTATCAAATTAGTCAGAACACACATGGTTAGATACCATTGAATTAAAAGAATGAATGCTGCTTTTGCCTTGTCTTGAGGAAGTTTTCAATGTTTACGCTAAAAATTAGTGAAACCCAAATTATCTGGTATATATCTGAAAAATCTGACGTTCATGTTCCAGAGATAACAGTGTTTATGTGTGTTTGTTTCTTCCTTCAAAACTGTACTAATAACATCTATTTGTGGGAGAGGGGGCTTCTTAGCTGTATAGAAGTAACATAAACATGGTGCTGTACAGACTAAGTGGAGAGTTGGGATATTCAAATCAACCAGTTAAACAACAGTAAATGCAGTAAGTCATGAAGAGAGAGAGAAATGTGCATGGCTTATGATATGGGTGAATGAAGGTAGGACTTGAATCCAGCCCAGGTGTTGGATAGTGAGAGAGCAGGGAGGAAGTATGTCCCTTGAGAGATAAATTACATAAGCAGGTTAGAAAATGAGAATTATATTCAAGAACAGTGAGAGTCCAGGTCAGTTGAGAGTGTGGAACTCAAATCAGGAATCATGAGATTGGTGGGCTCTAGGATCTGATGGCTCAGATTCAAAACCCAGATATACCACTTACTGGATGTATAAATTGGGGAATGAATTAACCTCTCTCTGCCTCAATGTTGTCACTTATAAATTGGGGATAATTGTACGTGTCTCATGGGATTATAGTGAGAATTAAAGACGATAACTTGTGAAAACCACTTCTCAGAGTGCCTTACATAGAATTGCTTATTGTATTATGACTACTATTCTATATTAATTATGAAATAATATTTTGTTAAGCCTTAAATGCTATCTTAAAAACAGACAAAAACAACTGAAGATTTTAACTTGTAGGCAATAGTATGATCATTTTTAAATAGAGCAGTATGTAGGGAGATGTAAAAAGGTCTTTCCATAGAGACTGCATTAAAAGAGGGTGAGAATTGAGACAGGGAAAAGCTTTAGGAAGAAGGAAAATCATCACAGCGTGAGAAAAGGGAAAACTGGTTTGGAATAGAAGGGAGAGACCTTAAAGGAAAACTGTGTGGAATTAGGGATTACTGGATACTACAGATGAGAGGAAAGAAACGTCTTTCTTTTTTTTTCAAATTCTGGAAAAGATTGTATCATGAATTATATGAAAAAGGGAGTTGGTTTTGGTATAGAATGAGGAAAAGGATAATGAGTTTATTGTGAGTAGTTGAAAGTGAGAGTAGAATATTCTATATCAGTTGGGGTTCAATCAGAGGCATAGAACTGGTAGGAGCTCTCTCTCTCAATATATCACATCTATATATCTTAACACTTACATATGTATGTATACATATGTATATTTTATATTTTGTTTACATTATATAAACTTACATATGGATTTACTTGTTATGTAAGATTAGCTCACACAATTGTGAGGTCTGGCTAGGTAAGCCTGAATTCCACAGAGCAGGCATCAGGAAGAGATTATCATAAGCAGGCAGGCCCCATGAGCTTCAGCTGATGCTTGAAGTCCACAAAAAGAAGGGAAGGTCCAGGGGAAGGGGGAGCATGCTGGCCTGTTGGTGTGTCTGATTTTCACGGAAGGCCTAGTCCCTCTCTAAATGGCTTCTGCTTAATTAAGTGAGGCACCCAAGGATAATCTCTCTTTTGGTGAACTCAAAATCAACTGATTTGGGGCTTTATTTACATCTCCTCTTACTGGAGAATTCAAACGGTAGTTTGATTGAGTCACTGGTAGAATGTGCATGTCTTCATCACTGCCTCCCTCCTGCACCCTAACTCTCAAAAGAGAATGTTTCTTGTAGCCTAACTCTAACTAGAAACACACTAGAAAGGAAAGTCGGGGAAATGTGGTTCAGCCTAGCCAAGCTGACACATCCCAAAGCCATCACACATTCCAGTGGTGATGACATATATGTTATGAGAAAAATAGACTGAAAATGAGTAAAAGATACACATGGCCGGGCGCAGTGGCTCATGCCTGTAATCTCAGCACTTTGGGAGGCTGAGGTGGGCGGATCACCTGAGGTCGGGAGTGCGAGACCAGCCTGACCAACATGGAGAAACATGGTTTCTACTAAAAATACAAAATTAGCTAGGCGTGGTGGCACGTGCCTGTAATCCCAGCTACTCAAGAGGCTGAGGGAGGAGAATCGCTTGAACCCAGGAGGTGGAGGTAGCAGTGAGCCCAGATGGGCCACTGAACTCCAGCCTGGGCAATAAGAGCGAGACTCCATTTCAAAAAAAAAAAAAAAAAAAAAAAGATGCAGGCAGATGATAAGGATTTGAGTTAATAACAGAGAGCTGACAGGTAGATTAGGAAGCAGGAATTATTCATCAGGAAAAAGAAAGAAGTAAGAGTAAACCTTGTGCAGTACCCACAGTGAGGCTACATCAGGAGGAACATGAGCAGTAAAGGAGCAGTGAAGCCAGCATGGTAGGAGAGAGCCACTAAAGGTTAGGAATGCAGAAGGCAAGAGCGCGTATACTGTCAGTTACTCTCCTGCTTAGAACACCTAATGAATCCATGTCGCCCGTCAAATATCAACAGTATACACTGAAACTGGTATTCGAGGCCCCTCATGCAGTGACCCCACCTAGTTTTCTATCTTCGCCCTCAGCCACTCTTCCATACTCATGACCCCTCTGCTCTAACCTTACTGGACTTCTATCTACTTTCCAGCCACAACTTTGATGCTTGACATCTTCTCTTGGAAAGCCCTTCCTCCTTACCTAGCAATCACCTATTTATTATATGTTGTCTAGTTCAAATACTGCCTTCTGTCTTTTGCCTTCTCCAATCCTCATCCTCCATACTGTTCAGAAATTAGAATTTCGTGTCTTCTTCTGCTAAACTACTTAAGCTATAAACATTAAATTACCTGACTCCTTCACTCAGTTTTAAATTTCTGAAGGATACAACTATATGATATTTGCATTTGATCCCTAGCCTGTAGCATGATGCCTGGAAAATAGTAGTTTTTTTTCAAATGAATGAAATAAAATAATGATTGAATGAGTAAATCCATTAAATATTGAATAGAGGCCCTTTGGAAACTATGTTCTCCCCTCCCCCTTGTTATATAACTCAGAGACTTGAGGAATTGTATTCTTGGCTGCCTATGAGAAAGCAAGTCATCATTTATTCATTCGCCATTGATTCATTTTTTTTAAATGTAAGCTTATCTTTTTGAGAAACATATAGGAAAGGTATTTGAGGGAAGGTTTGACTTCACATTGTCCCTCAGTTAACCTTAACAGTCACCTTAACCATCAAGAAAGACTACTTGTTAGATGTAAACAAAACCCTAAGCTGCTTTTCAAGTTCCCATAGTAGGTGGCTGAATCTAAATGTGAGGAAGGTGTGGACCATATTCAGGTAGGGGAGTTCAGGTGATCTGAAAGCACAGGCCACAGAACTACTCATGAGGTCTTGATGCCTCTAGTTTTTGAAGCAGATCAAAAGGACATGTATAGCAAGCTCCGGAAATGTCCAGAAACAATTCTGATTTTATAACCTCCTTTCATCTTTATGACTAAAATTAGCAAGTAGGACCAAGGTTTATGCTGATGACCTCAGCATAAATCCTCAAAGTTTGCCACAATCAGAAGAAAACATTTCTAGGTTGACAATTGTCCTGTGTTCCTTGTCCCTTCCTGTGGCACTTTCTTGTGCCCAGTCATAGTTTGTTCTAACTGCTGCTAATTCCTCATAATTCTATAAAGTTTTCTTCAGCAGTAGATTGTTAGACCCTGGTCATCATGCCCCTATGCTGTCATTGTCCAAATACTGTCAAAATTGCAAAGGAGAGACAAGAGATGCCCTGTGGATCATCCAAGTGCCAAATATATCTCCCCTGACTCCACTGTGATAGAGCATCACCATCTCCTCCTTGTGATCAAGTTCATTTACCCTACTAGGGTGGTGATTCCTTTTTTGCCTGCTGGTCCCTTGGCCAAGGAACCTGAGTGACTGGGTGAGAACCATACCTTAAGGTTTCACAAAACTCTTGCTGTGTCTGTCCCCTGGTAGAAATGTTCCTCCTCTGGGAAACAAGATCCCCAACATTGATCCAGCTTCACAGGTGATACTGAACTTTATTCTTAGCAAGGTTCACACAAATATATAACAATAATTAGGTCAGGCTATTTTTAAATTGAAAGTATAATGAAACCAGAAATGACAATCTCAACAAAGAAAATTCTAGAATCTAGGTAGTGGGGCATAGGTGATTTGAGAAGAAGAACCCAGAGATGTGGGTTCAAATCCTAGCCCTGTGGCCTGCTATCAGTGTGAGGGTGGACAAGTTACTAAACCTTAGCTTAGTCTACTCATCATTCAGAGTCAGTACTTTCTACTTGACGAGATTTTTGTGAGAACTAAATTAGAGGGTTGCACGGAAGAACCTATACTAAGTAGACTTCAATTCAACAATGCCAGGCCCTTCCACTTTGCTTTCTAAGATTATGCAGGGGGTTCTCAGCAGGAAGATGATGTGCTTGCCATTCTACTTCATCTATGCTTCCCAACCCCCTCTTGCTTCTCACTTAATCACAATCCAGAATGACCTCTGGAAAAGATAACCTAGGAAACCACAAAACAAATATAGAAGTGTTTAAATTTTCTCAGCAACAAAAATAGCCGGGGTGACTGGTCTTTCTCAAGACTCCTTGATGCATGACTAAGAGAATTTTGAAATGTCTTTTAAGTTTTCCTACTAGGGATACTGGTATTTCCCCACCATCCCATTTCTGTTATCCAAAGAGTTGTGCCATTTCTCAGAGAAGTTTTCAAACCTTCTTTATGCAGCTATGTTTGGAAATGAACTAATCTTTTTAGAGTGCTGAAACATGATATGTATGAGTTTTAGAGTCCCTTGATGACAGTGAATATGTAAATGTATGGATACATGCATCATATAAGGGATTATATACTGGAAGCAAGAATGAAGGTGAGAGTGAGAAAGCGAGAGAGCAAGAGAGCTAGAGAGAGAGAGAGAGGTGGTGAAGAGTTTTCTATGATGATACATGGTTTAAGCTGGAGGTGGGGGTGAAGTTGCCTAGTGGTTAAAGCTTTGGCCTTGAGTTTATATCCCAGCTCTGCTCCTCACTCTCTGTATGTCCTTGGCACACCTCTGAAACTTTCTAGGCCTTGTCTCATCTGTAAAATGGAAATAATATTACTAACTACTGGCTTCATAGAGTCATGGAGATGTGGTAGATGCGATTATGAATATTAAATGCTTTGTATTGCGCCAAGTATAAAGTAAGCACTCATTATAGAATTTATTGTTATCTGTTCATGGGACTTTCTTTTGTCTTCCAAAAAAGCCATCCCAATACTAAACTTAATTCTTGCAAAGGAAAGGACCGCCCCATTTGAAGTTTCTCACTGTTGGCACATTTGCTGGATAAAGCTTATTTCACTCAACATCCATTTCTACCATTTATTTTACCTATTTGTATCTGGAAGACTAAAAATGACATTTCACAGACTAATGTGCAACGAGGTTCTGGATGTGATATAGTTTTACCAATGAAATGGGCATTCTACCAATGTAGGGACCGCCTAAGGGAGCTGGGTCTCCTGCTGCTATAGGGGCTAGTGGGCAAGGTCAGGAGAGGGAGAACATTTTTGGAGGTGGAAATCCACATTCCAGAGCCAGGTGGCCAACCCGTGGGTGTCACACAGTTGGGGCAGTGGCCAGAGTGGAAGCAGCATAGCAGCTCTTTCCAGTCTCAGCCCTGTAACTATGGTGATGCTACCTTGAAGAAAGTGACTTCTCCTCCTCCAGCCCTTCCAAAGATTGTGCAAGCACCATTGTGTGAAATCTCTCTTCTTACATATCTGGAGCTATTTCCAGTTATGTTACCTGAACTCTGAGTGACGTAGCACCTATCTGAGCTCTTTCTGTGCCCTTTACCTTGTTGCTGTGGTAGCTGATGAGACTTTGGATAAAATGGCCCGTGTCCTATCTATTGACTGCTAGGTGTAGGCATATGATGGGCATTGTCATAAAAAACAAAAAAGAAAAGAAAAGAAACAAGTAAAAACAAAACCCCAAGCACCCAAATCCAATCCTTTCCTTCACAACACTTTGCAGAAATAAGGCGTCAGACTTATTAAAGACTTTTGTGCTTTTACTGAACCACTTGAATTCTTCATTAGCCTGTGGGGACCGTTAAAAAATTTGAGTCAGCAATAGGCCACTCCTAATGAATGTGATTCATCCAAGTTTGGAGTGAGAGTGCGTACTACTAGTGACAGGGTCATTGTCAGCATGTTTTAGATTGTCCTACTCTTTTGTTTGGGAAAACCTGTATACTTGGATATGTGGACTCACCACATACTGTTTACTCATCTGCTATTTTATACATTTATTCAGTAATTCAGTAGCTATTTGCTGAATGCCTGCTAATACAAATAGTTCTGTCTAGGTACGAGGGACACAGCAGTGGACAGAACAGGAAAAATGGAAAAATCCTTGTTTACATGGATGTTACTTTATAATGGGGGAAGAAAGACAAAAGACTCTTTAATCAAGCAATTAATAAGAGAATGTGAGGTAGTGGTAAAGGCTATGCAGAAAAACAAAATAGGTAGGCACAGAGTATACTTTTGTTAGAATAAACAAAGGAGACCCCTCCGATAAAGGTGGAAGCTAGCCAAAGACCTGAATAAAGAGAGGTGGCAAACCATTTGTGTATTGGAGGAAGCACACTCCAGGCAGAGAGAATGGCAGCACCCATGCCCTGAGCTGGGAGACTGCTTGACAAGGGTGGGTCAGCCAGAAGGCCAGAGAGTGGAGTGAGGAAGGAGAAGAGCAGCTGGAGAGGAGGCGGGTGCTTGTGAGTCCTGGGAGGGACCTTTGATTTTAAGAGTGATGGGAAACCATGATGTGGAGTGACATTACCTAACTTACATTTGAGGATCATCCTGGCTGCTGAGTGGAGTAAAGGTTTTGTATTCAATGGGAAATAGACTTTGTGAGAGAGATTTGAGTGCAGGTGGTTGTGGAGTATGTTTGGGAACAGATTGTGTAAGGAGTGAAGGAGGCAGGAATGGGCAGAGGAAGAATTCAAACTGTGATTGAGTTGATGTCTCAACTGGAGGCAAAGGTGGGGGCGGGTGGTCAGGCCTTTGTAACCCCTCATCAAACAATCATTAGACATTGGCTGCCCCTGGAAAGGAGGTGCAAGCTTGAGTGAGGCAGCTCCCTTTTATGAAGGTGGATTCCTGAGAAGGGACTAAGTTGTGAGCCATCAGGAAGTGACACTTCCAGCAACTGGGGGAATGAGTGGCTCAAACCTTAAGGGGCATTTGGGTATCAACAACAATCAACCCCCGTGCCATCTGCATCCAGCTGCTTCCTGTTTCTTCATCCCATCTGGCAGTAGCTGCTCTAGGATTCTTACTAGTCTGTTTTTCCAGGGGAAAAAACTGGTCTCTTGACTATAACTAAAACTTACCTTCTTTACTACCCATTCTAGCTTCTCTGCATTTGGCTCACTCCTCTGCTGGCCCAGTAGCTTATGTAATGGAGAGACTCAGACACTCACTCCTAAGGGGTCCGAGCTCTGGTCACCATGCCCTTCTGGTTGCCCATGTGCTGTCAAATGGGTCAGAGGATAACCAAGAGATTCCCTGTGGATCACTGGGTGCCAAATGTGTTCTTCCCTGACTCCACTGTGATAGAGCAGTCCTGCCTCCTAACAAACAGGCTCATTTACTTCGACTATGGCAGTGATTCCCTTCCTTGTCTGTTGCTTTCTTGGCTAAGAAGCTCAAGGTGACTGGGTGGTTGTTGAACTATAAGGTTTAATAAAACTCATATGTTCCTTGGTGGACGTGTTCCTTCTCTGGGAAACACAGACCCACAAAACCTAGAGTGGTGGTGATGGGAAGCACAGATTACCCAAGTGGGTCACTGGGAGTGAAGGTAAGCAGAGTTACCCTTATTTCTGCTATGCAGTTCCCATATCCATGTATTCTTCCTTTTTGATAATACAGCATCATGCGATGGTCATTGATTTAGGGTACGTACTTCATCGGCAAGCTGGTACCAGAGTTGCACCTTCACAAGGACAGTCCACAGCACTGCCAGGTCAGAAGTCTCTGGGTACTGTAGCATGTGGTAGCTCCAGTGGATCCCATGGTCACTGCTGAACCTCTGATGCTGTAAAGTGGATTCTGCAGTTACGTATATTGCAATACATATCTGCAATTATATGATAGTATATTATGTTGGCTCTCATGTTGTTGGATCACACTCTCTCTAAGCCTTTGAATAACAGTGCTGGCTGAGGCCCTGCAGGGAGGAAAGGCAAAGCTAGTAGCTGGAATATGAGTTAAGTCCAATTAAGCAAAGCAAACCTCTTCCAGGATGAAAGTGATCCAGTGTAGTTAATTCACCAGCATGTGGGTGATTCATCTCACTTAGGGTGCTACCAAACTGGGGACTCCAGTTTGGTCTTTATGGCTGGAATATTAAAAACTTAGTGGCTCTGGAGTTCGAGACCAGCCTGGCCAACATGGCAAAACCTGGTCTCTACTAAAAATACAAAATTAGCCAGGTGTGGTGGCGCACACCTATAGTCTCAGCCAGTCAGGAGGCTGAGACGAGAGAATTGCTTGAGCCCAGGAGGCGGAGGTTGCCGAGATCACACCACTGCACTCCAGTCTGGGCAACAGAGCAAGACTCCATCTAAAAAAAAACGAAACAAACAACCAAACAAAAAACAACTTAGTGGCAGTAATAACCAAATGAGCTTTGGTAAGTGAAATCTCATACTGATGGGCCCAAGCATAGGCTCCACTCTTGTGACCATGGCTATTCTGTTAATACACCTGTTGTACCAGCTGTAGGGTGGACAGTGACAGAATGGCTGATGTCTTCCGGTCAGTACTTCTGCTGAAGTCATATGGAATGTGTACTTTAGTTCTAAAGGGAGACATTGCGGTAGTGCAGAACAGCATCAACTACACCAGATAAGGGATCATAATGGTTTCATGGATTGCATAGTGAGTATGAGAAAAGGGAGGAGGCAAGGATGACTCCTAGGTTTTCCACCTAATTATCATGGTGAATAGTGGAGCCACTCATTAGGTGGAAAGACTGGGGAAGTGTAATTTTGGAAATGGGTGAAAGGGTAAATGGATGGAATTTCAAGAATTTGGTTTAGTGTACATTCAGTTTAGTACACATTTAGTACACAAACATCTTGTGGTCATTTTGCCACTTTTCTGAAGGAGGTAGCATCTTAAAGATCAGTGTCCTAATGGGCGTTTCTTTTCTCCCAGGCTGGAAGAATTGAGACTGGTTGATTTTATTTTAAGCCTTTGTATAGCTCTTTGTGAAGATAACTTAGTACAAATGCTAAACAAGAGAGCATCACCCATTTGTTTGGCCTTTTCAAAATTTACATCCATCTAACTTGATCCAAACAAGCAACTTCTCTTTACCAGGAACCCCATAACTTGCTCACTTGGCACGCAAGGATCTCCTGTAGCCCACAACTGAGTTATTGCCACCACAGAAGGAGGAAGGGGAGGCTTGTTTTTCACTGTAGTGAGTTGGCCTGCTGCATGATTTCAGAGGCTGGGATTCAGCACACAAAGGTTACCTACTGTATTTAACCAGTGAGTGACTCATCAGGACAAGAATGTGGGTAAAGGGCCTCTCAAATGGTGACATTCTGCAGTTCTGCTCTTGTCTCTACAGCTATAGGCTGCAGTTGAAAGAAGAAAGGTGGCTCTTAGTGGACTAAAATAGGGGGCTGCATCACATATATACTCTGTTCATCCAGGCAGTGGCACATGACTTTGTAGGAGTGAAATGCACATTTTCCCAATCTAATTGTTTTCCAGAATCATTCTCTGTGTGGGAAATAAACCTCATCCTCCTGGCCTTAGAATTCTTAACATACTATTTGCTCTCCTAGGAGTTTTGGTACTTCGCCAAACTAATTGCTTATCTCAATGACTAAGGACAATTTAACAATAAAATTTCCTGGACTCTAATGCAGGAATTGCTGACTCATGAGGCCTGGAGAAAAACCCCAGAAACATATACTTTTGAAGGTAAACTTGTTTTTTTAAAGTATAACACACAGAAAAGTTCACAGAATTACATGTGTAAGTTCGAGTAATTGTCATGAAATGTGCATTCTCATTTAACGCTTTTTGTTTCCTATTTTGTAACTATATGTCTATTTCAAGGTCATGTTTTCTTTAGAATCCATATTTTTAAAGATCTCTATGATTCTGCTGCATTAGAGGTTTAAGAAAATCCAGTTTGGAGTATTTGAAATCTGTTAAACAATGTTATATACCAGAAGAAGTATCTCAGGTCTGAGTTAATAATAGTGAGGTTTGGTCCAATGTCAACAATGTCTTTCCTAAAGCACTAAGTGAAAGGGAGGGGAATTAAAAACCAAGGTCTGATATCATGGTCTGTTGAGGACGGATGGGGTAGGTGTAGAGTAAATGAAGAGTAAGTAACGTTGGATTGCTATGTCAAGAACAAAAACTGAGGAAACAGAGCCAAGCAGCTTTCCAGTTTTGGGTTCACAAGCTAAAAGGGGATAGAGCAGAATTTCAGAAAGAGAAGAGACTTGGGCCTTATGGCCTAGGCTATATCTGGGAGTGTCCTCCCTTGACAAGGGTCATCAGGATTAACCCCTCTGCACCCTCCTTGCCTGCTTTGAGAAAGGGAATTTACTCCACTGCTAGTCTATCTGCATTCTTACCATATTTTGGAAAGTTATTCTATTGTTCTATTACAGAGAAATCTTTGGCTAGAATTCAGTGGGATAGGCAGTAAAACATGTTCTTGCTTGGGAATGAAAAAAGACCAACAACAAAACTAGTTTTCCATCCCAGCTTGACCACTTATATTTTTCAATAAATTCCTAATTTTATCCTTTTAAACATAGGTACTGTTACCTTTGGTGCTGCTAAGACCCAAGCTCTGGAGTCAGACTAATAGGGTTCAAATTCTTGCCTGTGATTTTGGGCAAATTGCTTAATATGTTCCTTCATCTGTTAATTAGAAAAAATAATAGGGCCAGGCGTGGTGGCTCATGCCTGTAATCCCAGCACTTTGGGAGGTCGAGGCGGGCGGATCACCTGAGGTCAGGAGTTCGAGACTAGCCTGGCCAACATGGCGAAACCGCGTCTCTACTAAAAATACAAAAATTAGCTAGGCGTGGTGGCAGGCGCCTGTAATCCCAGCTACATGGGAGGCTGAGGCAGGAGAATCACTTGAACCGGGAGGTGGAGGTTGCAGTGAGCCGAGATTGCACCATTGCACTCTAGCCTGGGAAACAAGAGTGAAACTCCGTCGAAATAAATAAATAAATAAATAAATAAATAAATAAATAAAAATAATATCTATTTATTAGGATTGCCATGTGGATGTAGAATTGTTTGAAGCTCCTGGCACGTAGGAAACACTCAATAAATCCTAGCTACTATGGTGCTATACTCCTCACCTTAATAACATCTGCAATGTATTTTGAGTTCCTTTTAAGTAAAAATTATATAAATATATGATTAAAATATTATATTTCAAGGCAACATAAGTCATAAAATCAGAATTTCTTAAATATTGCCCACATCCATTTTTGGAATAATTTAACCTTCACCACTTATTCACTGCGGGAGAGAACTACGAATATTATCCAGTGACTATTACCCAAGACTTACAGGTCTGAAAGAATGTTGCCAGAACCTAACAGACATTATTATCAGGGAAAGTCATTCCTAACTACAAATGACAATGTGATGCTCCATATTAGCATTAAAGAACAGTAGTTGCATCCTTGTTCTTCTTCAGGTAATGAATGAGCCATCTCCACATTTTGGTAAAGTAGGTTATTCACCTGCAGGAAACTGTAAGACTAAATTCTGATTCCGCAAAGACCAGGAAGACCCACCACACAAAACCACAACTGCTCCCCCTGATGGCTGGTGCCTAGAATTTCACGCATGCATCTTAGAAAATCCCATCAGGCTAAAACAACTTTCCTATGAACATCAATAATGTGTCAGTCCATGGACACAGGAAGGGGAACATCACACACCGGGGACTGTTGTGGGGTAGGGGGAGAGGGGAGGGATAGCATCAGGAGATATACCTAATGCTAAATGACGCGTTAATGGGTGCAGCACACCAACATGGCACATGTATACATATGTAACAAACTTGCACATTGTGCACATGCACCCTAAAACTTAAAGTATAATAATAATAAAATTTAAAAAAAGAATACCATAAAAATAGATTTGAAAAAAAAATAATGTTTCAGCCATTAACACTCTCCTATATTTTATAGAGAAGCCTTAGAATAAAGGCATCTCAAAATGAAAGTTGAAGGGAAACTATAAAGCTGGAAAATACATTCAGGATGGGAGACACAGTGAAGGTCAGCTTTGCTGATTTCATAGTTCTGTGTGAATCCAGCACTGGTTACCTGTATACATTGACAATAATCATATGCTTACCCTAATATCTAGAATGGAGAAAAGACTATTTAGGGGGCTGGGAAACCCACTGTTTGTCAAACTAAAGAATGTTTGATTATCTTTCATGACTCCTCATACCATCTGGTGAGTAATAATGAGCTCATTCTACTTCATTGATTCCAACATTTGATATTTAAAAGTGGTAATAAAGACCTTCATTACCTCTAGCTAACTTGGATCTGACTATGAACTGTTTACAAAATTCCAGTTTTCAAAGGGAAATTCTTTTAGGAGAATGCTAGGCAAATGGTGGCCCACGTTGAGGGAGTAAATTGACTCTGTAGTCAGCGAAGTGATTATTTTTGTAATGGAGCCCACAGCAAAACCCTTTGCAGCACTCAGAAGTCATCAACAGAGCTTGTTCTTGGCAAACCAGAGCATTCTCTGCTTCAGAGAATTACTTTCTAATTACTAAAAACATGATACGGGAGGAACACATGTTGGCTCCAACCAAGTGTATAAGTGGTGGAAAAGTTCAGTGTAACTGTTCAGCGAAACTGTGAAGAAGTAGAGTCTATGGGACTGTTGCTGGGAACATAGGAGTGGATGGGAGCCAGGTTTTTCTTCTCTTTGTGGGATTTGGGAGTTAGGTTATATGTCCTGTCTTTGGAAATTAAGAACTGTTGATATTCAAGGATAATCAAGGAAAAGCACTTCCAGGAATGGGAAGGTACATAGGCTAATTGTATCAGTACAGCCTGTTGCCCTGTGGACTTTGGCTGCCGCGGCCATATGATCTAACTAAGATGTTAAAATAGCAGATGAACATTTGCTAGATGAAGTAAGTTTGTCCTGATGGCTAGTTCCACTCTTCACTCTCCTGATTGAAAAAAATGTTGGCTTTCCTTCACTGCGGTGTTCACTAGATAGAAACTAAAACCGGCTCTGTGAAGTGAGTGGGAGGGTGAGGAAGGAAAAACAGTCCAACTAAAGCAGCTGAAGTAGGAAAGGGTCATGTGAGGAAGTGGAAGAGGTGAATGCCCTGGAAAAGATGGATGGAGGCATTTTTCTCAGCCATTTCGTGGTTGGATTGGGAGACACTGAATTTGGAAAAGCAGTCAGACAGAAGCGTTCCGGATAGCCAAGCTGTTGGCGTACCACCGAGTGCCAATTCTCAGGGTGTTACCCAGTCATTCTTGGGGTTTGTTTAAACATGGCAAGAGTTCCTGGGAAAAACCTGAGGCCACATTACTTAGCCATTTGAACTGCGAGTCCAAAGTAATTTTTTAGCAATTACAGTAGCATATGTATTTGCAGAGCAAAGACGAGTCACCAAGTCAGAGGATGTCTGTTGTTCACAGTGTCAATATGAAACATCAGCATGCTCCTGTCTTAGTTATGGGAATTGAGCCCTGGTCCATGCTCCAGCTCTGCCATCTCCAAGGTAGTATCACAAAGCTAAATTGTGCCCCTGGACTTCTTCCTGGATGTAATCTAGGACTTGCCCTGGGGATGAAGGCAGAGTTATCCTTATTCCCACTTCTACTTCTGCCATTCCACTTTCTGTGATTACTTCGATGTTTCTCTCCCTACCTCTCCCCAGCTCATTTTATTCAGCTCATTTCCTTTTGACAAGTAACCATTCACTGACTAGCGAGTACCTGATTCAAGGAATACAAGATGACCTATAGTAACTTATACTCTGTTAAATCTAGATGATGTGACTGTAGAATGAAACTAAACATCAGGTACCTCTCAAGCACCATCTTCAGCAAATCTCAAGTTTCTTGACTGCCCACATGGATCTCTTTTTTAGACTTCATTATTTTTGTTCCTGTCTCTGCCACTCAATAGCTGTATGACATTGGTAAAGTTACCTAACTTCCCTTTGCCTCACTTTCTTCATCTTAAGATTATTATGAGGATTTAATGTAGTGTATGTAAGATCCTGTTACACAGTAAGTGTTCAATAAACATTATCTACTATTATGTTATCCTCTTTTTTTCACTGCCCATTAAGAAGACTTTTTTTTTTTTTTTTTTTTTTTTTTTTTGACGGAGTCTCGCACTGTCGCCCAGGCTGGAGTGCACTGGTGTGATCTCGGCTCACTGCAAGCTCCACCTCCCGGGTTCATGCCATTCTCCTACCTCAGCCTCCTGAGTAGCTGGGACTACAGGCACCCGCCACCACGCCCAGCTAATTTTTTTTTTTGTATTTTTAGTAGATACGGGGTTTCACCGTCTTAGCCAGGATAGTCTCGATCTCCTGACCTTGTGATCCACCTGCCTCGGCCTCCCAAAGTGCCGGGATTACAGGCGTGAGCCACCGCGCCCGGCCAAGAAGACACTGTTTTATATTAAATGTCTTTCTTAGTGCCTTTCGTTTTATTTACTACATGCACTTTATTATATATTGCTTTTTTCTTTATTGTTACGGATGTGGTATCTTAAAACAGCAGCCAGATTTCATCAGTTTGGGGGAAAAGGACCACATCTTTTATTCTCTCCATATCCTACACACTACCTAACAGTGCTAGACATACAAAGGGTGCTTCAAAAATACTTGTTAATTGAATAAAGTATGAGTAAAAAGAAAGACTCTCTCTGAGTTATAACTCCATTGAAATTTCCTCAGCAGAATGGCCCCCATACTTCATAGCTGCCTCTATGTCTTTACATAACAATCTCGGTTCTTTCTTTCTTAAATCATTTTCCTCCAACCTCTGAGCTTCTTTGCCCATTAGATGGGACCAGGATCAAGTAATATGCTGTACAACATTTGATACCATTTGGTGGCTTCCTGAGTAGTGGTCTGTTTAAAGCCATAAGCATACCTTCCTAATCTTGTAGAGCTTTCCTTTAATAGGCTAATCTTAATCAGACTATCTATGTAGCCACCCTTTATCTTTCCAACCATATATTCCCACATGCTACTGCCCCAGCTCACACACTTTGGGAGGCTCTAATCATAAGAATATACGTGTAAACTTCACACAGAACTTACCTGGGGCTGTAAAAGTGTTACAGGCAGATAGAGAATGGGCCTGAGAGTTTAAGAAATTTCACCAGAAACACAGAGCAAATAAGAGGTAGGCCTAGAACTCCCCCAGGTCCTGAAACTCTAAGTTTTCTTTCTCCCATGGTAGGCTGTTTCTTACGAAATTGAAAAACTGAGATTGTAGTAAGTAGGATGAAGTCGGGATGATGTGTATATAAAATGAAACTAAGCTCCAGGTACACATCTCTTACAAAGAGCCCCACCTGGAATACAATTTCTCTGCAAACTTTACCACCCTCGAAAAAAATTGTTTGGGAGCCTCATAAAGTACCTCCTCAGACAGTATGTTAGAAAGTATGATTTCTGAAATGGGAGTGAGAGGATGAAGTATTTGCCTTCTCTGGGGTCTGGACGCAAGAGAATTATTCCTGAGAGGGAGATTCTTTCCTCATTAGTGGCAGCATGATGTATATGGCTGACCCATTACCCGCTCTCATAGGGTATAGCTGGGCATCTCTGTTTTAGCAAAGAGAATAATTCCTTTGCCATGAATGTCCATGGCTGAAGCACACAGAAAGAAGAGTAGATCTGATCAAAGAGCACATCCATGTTCACGGGTAGAACCATGGGCCCAGAGTGGGATGCTATACTGTACACAGTGAATGTGCTTCCTGCCTCCCTGTCTCCATCTGCACAATTGCCTAGCTCTGTGCTGTTTCTATGACTGTGGAGTCAGGTTGTCACTGCCACCCTCACCCTACTAAATGTCAAGATGCCCCATGTGTGAGGCAAGCTGGTGGATAGACACTGCTACTGCACGCTGACCAAGCTGCTTTTCTGGGCTTTGGCTTCCTTGGCTTTTTCCTGCAGAACTTAAAGATGCTCCCTGGAAGTGCCCGGTATCTTTGAAGCAGACTGAGGTCCCTTGAAGGTGGAATAGACTTTTCTCTCTTCTGCCTCCTAGGCAGACTGTTCTCAGAAAGTCTCTCTGCTAGAGCTGTTTAAATTCAAGCAATCAGTGATGCTTGTTACCAAGCAGTGACCAGCTTGCATAAGGACATCCTCATTGTTGCTCCTCTTTCCTCTGTGCTACACTCTCCATTTCCCCCTGCTCCTTAATAACGGGATAGCACATGAGATTTTGCTTTAGGTTTTGTAGCTAGGAATGTCAGCTAAGATAAGCATAGAGGCAGGAGAAAAGTTGAGATTCTGAAATAAAACTATTCAACCTCATTCATTACAACCCAGTCTGGCTTCTACATCTACCACATCACCAATAATCTATTTTTGTAGTTGCTTTTTTTTTTCAATTTTATTTTAGCTTCAGGGGGTACATGTGCAGGTTTGTTACCTGGGTACAGTGCAGGATGCTGAGGTTCGGGGTACAAATGAACACAGTATGGAGCGTAGCAGCCAACAGTTCGTTTTTCAACATTTGCCCTCCCCCTTCCACCTCTAGTAGTCCCTTGTGTCTACTGTTGCCATCTTTCTGTCCTTGAGTACCCAGTGTTTAACTCCCACTTACAAGTGAGAACATGTGGTGATTGGTTTTCTGTTCCTGTGTTAATTTGCTTAGGATAATGGCTCCAGCTGCATCCATGTTGCTGCAAAGGGCATGATTTCATTATTTTTTATGGCTGCATATGCATAATATTCTATGGGGATGTATATCCCACATTTTCTTTATCCGGTCTAGCACTGATGGACACCTAGGTTAATTCCATGTCTTTGCTATGCTGAATAGTGCTGTGATGAACATGCAAGTGCATGTGTCTTATTGGCAGAACAATTTGTTTTTCGTGTGTGTATATATCCAGTAATGAGATTGCTAGGTTGAATGAGATTTCCGTTTTTAAGTTCTTTTAGAAATCTCCAAACTGCTTTCCACAGTGGCTGAACTAATTTACATTCCCACCAACAGTGTTCCCTTTCTCCACAGCATCACCAATATCTGTTGTTTTTTGACTTTTTGATAATAGCTATTCTGCCTGGTGTGAGATAGTATCTCATTGTGGTTTTGATTTGCATTGCTCTAACGATTAGTGATGTGGAGCATTTTTTTCACATGTTTGTTGGCAGGTTATATGTCTTCTTTTGAGAAATGTCTGTTAATGTTCTTTGCCCACTTTTTAGTGGGGTTGTTTTTCTCTTGTAAATTTGTTTAAGTTCCTTATAGATTCTGGATATTAGATCTTTGTCAGATGCGTAGTTTGTAAATATTTTCTCACATTCCATAGGTTGTCTGTTTACTCCGTTAATAGTTTCTTTTGCTATGCCGAAGCTCTTTAGTTTAATTAGGTCTCATTTGTCAATTTTTGTTTTTGTTGCAGTTGCATTTCCAGACTTAGCCATAAATTCTATTCCAGGGCAAGTTTCCAGAATGGTGTTTATTGGGCGTTCTTCTAGGATTCTTATAGTTTGATGTCTTATATTTAAATCTTTAATTCATCTTGACTTAATTTTTGTATATGATGAAAGGTAGGGATCCAGTTTCATTCTTCTGCACATGGCTAGCCAGCTATCTCAGCACCATTTATTGAATATGAACTCCTTTCCCCACTGCTTATTTTTGTCAACCTTGTCAAAGCTTAGATGGCTATAGGTGTGAGGCTTTATTTCTGGGTTCTCTATTCTGTTACATTGGTTTATGTGTCTGTTGTTGTATCAATACCGTGCTGTTTTGGTTACTCTAGCCTTATTCTATTGTTTAAGATTGCATAATGTATTTGCTTAGGATTGCTTTGGCTATTTGGGCTCTTTTTTGTTCTGTATGAATTTTAAAATAGTTTTTTCCAATTCCATGAAAAATGACATTGGTAGTTTGATAGGAATAGCATTGAATCTGTAGATTGCAGTATGGCAGTAGTGGCAGATTGCAGTAGTGGCTGTATGGCCACTATAACTATATTGATTCTTCAAATCGATGAGTATAGAATGTTTTTCCATTTGTTTGTATCATCTATCATTTCTTTTAGCAGTGTTTTGTAGTCCTCCTTGTAGACATCTTTCACCTCCATGATAAGATGTATTCCTAGGTATTTTGTTCTTGTTGCTGTTGTTGCTATTGTAACTGAAATTGCATTCTTAATTTGGCTCTCAGCTTGAATGTTATTGGTGTATAGAAATGTTACTGACTTTTGTATACTGATTTTGAATACCGAAACTTTACTGAAATTATTTATCTGTTCTAAGGACTTTTTGGCAGAGTATTTAGAGTTTTCTGGTTATAGAATAATATTGTCCGTGAAGAAAGATAGTTTGACTTCTCCTTTTCCTATGTGGACGTCTTTTATTTCTTTCTCTTGCCTGATTGCTCTGGCTAGGCTAGGACATTCAAGTACTATGCTGAATAGAAGTGGTGAGAGTGGGCATCCTTGTCTTATTCCAGTTCTCATAGAGAATGAGTCTAGCTTTTGCCTGTTCAGTATGATGTTGACTGTGTGTTTCTCATAGATGACTCTTATTATTTTGAGGTATGTTTCTTTGATACCTAGATTCTTGAGGGTTTTAACAAGAAGGATGTTGGATTTTATCAAAATATTTTTCTACATCTACTGAGATTATTATATAGTTTTCAAAAATTCTATTTATGTGGTTAATCACATTTATTGATTTTTCTATGTTGAACTAAACTTGTATCCCAGGAATAAAGCCTACTTGATCCTGGCGAATTAACTTTTTGATGTGCTGTGGGATTCAGTTTACTAGTGTTTTCTTCTGGATTTTTGTGTGTATGTTCATCAGGGATATTGGCCTGTAGTTTTCTTTTTTTGTTCTGTCTTTGCCAGGTTTTATTGTGAGGGCGATGCTGACTTCATAAAATGAGTCAGGGAAAAACCTCTCCTCCTGATTTTTTTGGAATCCTTTCAGCAGTGTTTGTACCAGCTCTTCTTTGTATGTCTGTTAGAATTTGGCTGTGAATTCACCGGATCTGGGCCTTTTATGGTTAGTAGCCTTTTTATTACTCATTTAATTTTGGAATTTGATATTGCCCTGTTCAGTGTTTCAGTTTCTTCCTGATTCAATCTTGGGAGATTTTTTCCAGGAATTTATCCATTTCCTCTACAGTTTCTAGTTTGTGTGCACAGAGGTGTTCAAAATAGTCTCTGAGGATCCTTTGTATTTCTGTAGGATCAGTTGTACTGTCATGCTTGTCATTTCTGATTGTGCTTATTTGGATCTTCTGTCTTTTTTGTTAATCTAGCTAACAGTCTGTTGATCATTTTTATCCTTGCAAAGAACAAATTTTTGGTTTTGTGGAATCTTTGTATAAATCTTTGGGTCTCAATTTCATTCAGTTCTGCTCAATTTTAGTTCTTTTCTTCTGCTAGCTTTGGAGTTAGTTTGTTCTTGTTTTTCTAGTTCCTCTTGGTGGGTGTTAGATCGTTAATTTTGAGATCTAACTTTTTGAAGTAGGCATTTTATGCTATAAACTTTCCCCTTAACACTGCCTTTGCTGCATCCCGTAGATTTTGATATGTTGTGTCTCTGTTTTCACTTATTCAAATATTTTTTGAAATTTCTGCCTTGAATTCTTTGTTTACCCCAGAGTCATTCAGGAGCAAGTTGTTTAATTTCCATGTAATTGTGTGGGCTTAAAAGATCTTCTTGGTATTGAATTCTATTTTTATTCCACTGTGGTTCAAAAGTATGTTTTCAAATTTTTTGAATTTATTGAGACTTTATGGCTGAGCATGTGGTCAATCCTGGAGTATATTCTGTGTGCAGATGAGAAGAATGTATATTCTGTAGTTGATAGGTGGAGTATTCCGTAGATGTCTATTGGGTTTAATTGATCAGGTGTCGAGTTTAAATGCAGAATTCCTTTGTTAGTTTTCTGCCTTGATGATCTGTCTAATGCTTTCAGTGGGGTGCTGAAGTTCCCCACTATTATTGTGTGACTGTCTAAGTCTTTTCACAGGTATAGAAGTACTTGTTTTATGAATCTCAATGCTCCAATGTTGGGTGCATATATATTTAGGATAGTTATGTCTTCTTGTTGATTTGAACCCTTTATCACTATGTAAGGTCCTTCTTTATCCTTTTTTTTAATGTTGTTGTTTTAAAGTCTCTTTTATCTAAGAATAGTGACCCCCTGCTCTCTTGTCTTTTCCATTTATATAGTAGATCTTTCTCCAACCCTTTACATTAAGCCTATAAGTGTTGTTGCATGTGAGATGGCTCTCTTGAAGACAGTAGATGGATAAGTTTTCTTTCTTTATCTAACTTGCCACTTTATGCCTTTTAAGTGGGGCATTTATACCATTTACATTCAAAGTTTATATTGATATGTGATGTTTTGATCCATCTTGAGGTTGTTAGCTGGTTACTTTGTAGTTTCTATTGCGCAGTTGCTTTATAGGGCCTGTGGGCTATGTGCTTACATATGTCTTTGAGGTAGCAGGTATTGCTCTTTTGTTTCCATGGTTGGAACTCCCTTAAGGATGTCTTGTAAGGCTGGTCTAATGGTAACAAATTCCTTTAATGCATGCTTGTCTGGAAAAGATTTTATTTCTTTTTTGCTTTTGAAGCTTGGTTTGGAGAGAGATGGAAATCTTGGCTAGAATTTGTTCTCTTTAAGAGTACTGAAAATAGGCCTTAAATCTCTCCTGGATTATAAGCTTTCTGCTGGGAAGTTTGCTGTTAGCCTGATGGGGTTCCCATTTTGTGTGATCCGCCCTTTTTCTCTTGCTGCCTTCAAGATTGTTTTCTTCAGTTTTGACCTTGGACAATCTGGTGACTATATACCTTGGTGATGTTCATTTTATATAGTATAAGTGTTCTCCGGATTTTTTGTATTTGAATTTCTACCTCTCTAGAAAGATTAGGGAAGTTTTCTTGAATTATTCCCTTGAATATGTTTTCAAAGTTGTTTACTTTTTCTGCTTCTCTCTTGAAAATGCCAATAATTCATAGGTTTTGTCACTTTACATAATCCTGTATTTCTCAAAGACTTGATCATTTTTTAAAATTCTTTTCTTTTTATCTTTGTCTGACTGGTTTAGTTCAAAAGACAGGTCTTCAAATTCCGAAATTCTTTCTTCTGCTTGGTCCAGTCTATTGATAAAGCTTTCAATTGTATTTTGAAATTCCTTAAGTGAGTTCTTCAATTGCAGACACTCTGACTGATTTCTTTTTAAGATGTTTATCTCTTCTTTCATTTCTTGGACTGCTTTATAAGTTTCCTTGTGTTTATTTTCAACCTTGTCTCGGATCTTGTTTAGCTTCCTTCTAATCTATGCTTTGAATTCTTATTCTGTCATTTCTGAGTTTTTGCTTTGATTGGGGACCATTGCAGGGGAGCTCGTGCAATCTTTTGGTCATGTCACTACATTCAGATTTCTCATTGTGCCAGAATTCTTGCACTCATTTCTTTTTATCTGGAGACTCTGGCATTTTTAATTTTTGTAATTATGTTCATGTGAGTGGGTATTTTTCTTTTTCTTTATTTCTTTCCATATAATGTTATTATTTTCTGTTTCCCTTTTCACCTCTCCCTAGGGGATATGATTATAGAGAATGCTGGATAGGGTCTTTTGGGTTGTTTCTATAGCCCTATGCATTTCTTTCAGCAGGTTTTATATTGGGCAGTGCAGTTTGACCCACAAGCCCATAGATGACATTTATTAGTAAGAGCTGGCTGCAGCCAATGTGGCTGGGTATGTACTTGATTATTCCTTACTGGCAGAAGTTCTCTGTTGCCTCAGGCAATGGGCTGATTCATGGAATACACAGTCATCTGAGCTCCCTGCTTAGCCACCAGAGTGCAGGGCCCACTAAGTGTAGGACCAGACCAGGCAGGGTTGCCTACAGATCCCTCAATGGCAGGCACAAGCACCAGCACTGAGGGAGAATCCAGTGGGCAGCCATGAAGCACCTAGAGATGTGCCTACACATGGAGCTGGGAAACCTCCTTGGCCCCAAGTTCTCTGCACCCCTGGGTGGGGAATGGCCTAAACTTCTAATCCAGGAGGGTGGGTGCTCCAGTTACCTGGAGATCTGCCTAAGCATGAAGCAGAGAGGGTCCCCCAACACCAAGATCTTTGCACAGGAGGAGTGGGGTGACTCAGACTGCTGAACCAGGAAAGCAGTTGCTCTGAGTGACAGGACATCTGCCTGAGCATGGAGTGGAGAGGGCCCCCCGCCTCCCCAGCCCATGCATCAGGATCTCTGCACAGGAATGGTAGGATAACTCAGACGGTTGAACCAAGTGAACAGTTCCTCTGAATGCCTGAAGATCTGCCTGGGTGGGAGGCAGAGAGGGCTCTTCTGCACCAAGCTATCTGCACAGGAGGGGTATGGTGACTCAGGCAAGCTGGTGCTCTGAATGCCTTGAAATCTGTTTGGGCATGCAGTAAAGAGAGACTCACCACACAAGGTCTCTGCACAAGAGAGGTAGGGCTATTCAGGTTGGTAGACTATACAAGTAGGTGCTCTGAATGCCTGGAGACCTGCCTAGACAAGTGTCAGAGAGGACCCCTGCACCCCATACTACAATCTATGTCCAGGAAGGGTTGGGTGGCTCAGGCTGCTGGACCAGGCAAATGGGTGCTCCAGATACCTGCATTTTTGCCTGCATGTGAAGCAGGGAGAGACCCACTGCACCATAATCTATTTTGAGGAAGGGTGGAGCAGCTCAAGCTGCTGAACTAGGAAAATGGGTGCTCCAAATGTCTGGAGATCTGCTTGGTCATGGAGCAGAGATAGCCTTGCTACACCACAATCTATGTACTTAAATGGTGGGGTGACTCAGGCTGTTGAAGCAGGTGAATGAGTACTCTGAATGCCTGCAGATCTGCTAGGTGTGGAGCAGAGAGAACCTGACTGCGCCACAATCTATGTCCAGGAAAGGTGGGGTAGCTCAGGCTGCTGGTCCAGGCAAGCAGGTGCTCTGAATACCTGCTATTTTCTCTGGGGATGGAGAAGAGAGGACACCACTTTGTACCCCAATCTCAGGAAAGCAGGGTACGTACACCAGCAGTGGCACATGCAGATCAGTTCCTGCTTGCCAAGCTGGACTTTGCTGCAAGTGTTGCCACCCAGGAGAAACTGCAGCTGTAGTATCTCTACTCCTGCCCCAGGCTTGGGATGGGGGATAGCATATTTCCAGGGTCTACTTCCGAGGCATTTCCCACAGTTGTAGCTGTGGATGTCCCATACCCTGCTCCAGAGCAGGTGCTTCAATTTCTGGCCTGAAACTACAATGCTTGCATAGCCAGACTGCCAGGACACCAAGGAATGGCTGACTTTGTATGCACCTGGATTAAAAATGGCATCCTGCTTTGAATCTTGGGTCTTGAAAAATATCTGCAGCTTTTCCTGGTGTCTTTTCCTCACAAAGTCTTCAAGCCTCTCCCAAGTTAGCTGCAGGGCTTGGTAGGAGACAGTGGAAAGGTGAGCCTGAGTTGTTCCTATTCCTGATTGGAAGGTGATTCACAGAGGGAGGCTCTCTGCCTCTCTTGTGTACTGGGGTTTCACTTACTTTTATCAGCTGACGCTGTCATGTGGGCTGTTTGCTGGCATTCTCCTTTCCAGGACCTGCGGTGTCCTTCCCAATTCCAGTGGACTCCCATTTTCCTTCTTGAATTAAAGCTCACAGAGTTTATCTTTTTGTACTATCTTGCTATTTCCAAGTGGCTGAGTCACGCTGAAAGCCTCTAATATGCCATCTTGGGGGAAAAAAACCCTTACTGTCACAAAATCTTCATCTTCTTTGATGTTTGAACAAATGACATGAGCTGTCTAACATAAACAGGGACCTCTTGATCCTTTTAAAGCCATCCTACCCACTGGCTTCTAAGACACCAAATCCTCTGCTTTCTTCCTTTCCCTCTGACCCTTCCTTCTCAGGCTTCTTCTCTGTCTCTTTCACCTCTGTTCTCTAAATGTCAGAGTAGCCTGGGGCTTAATCCTTCTACATGCTCTTCCTATGTGAATTCATCCACCAGTGTGGCTTTAAATAAATAACTTCTCCATGTTGATACTCCTGAATCTTTTCCTTTACTTTTTTCTTTGTGTTATAACCTCCTTGCCATCCCCACTTGCATATCCTAAAACAAATACATCTAAAACAGAGCACTTATTCTTCCCCAAACTGCTCACTTGATGTTCTTTCCCCATTTCAATAAGTCGTACCTTTATTGACCCAGTTGCTCTTGAAGAAGCCCAGTAGTCATCATTTTGACCCCTCACACAAGCCATTAATAGATCATATCATTTCTGCTCTGAAATAGATTTTTGAATCTGCCATTTTCACTGCCACTATCTCAGTCCAAGCCACCATCATGTCTCATGTAGATTTCTGCAATAACCAGCTAACTGGAGACCTTGTATCTATTTGCCCTGTGTCCAGTAATTTCTCCATTCAACCATCAGAGAGATTCTTAAAAATATATATATCAAACTGTGATGCATTCCAGTAAAACCCTTCAGTGGTTTACCATTGCATTTAGAATAGAAATTTAGAATCCTTAACATGGCCTACATGACCTGCATGATCTGACCCTCACTCATTTCTCCAACTTCATACTGTTCTAACATTTTCTTTCACTGCACTAGCCTTAAGGACTTGCTGTCTGTTTCTCAAACATCTAAGCTATTTTTGATTCAGGGCCTTCAGATGTATTGTTCCCTGCTACCTGGAATAGCCTTCCTTTAGACTTTCCCTATGGAAGTACTAATTATCCTACAAGTTTCAGCTGAAATGTCATTTCCCCAGAGAAATATTCCTTAACTCTTGTGTTAGTCCATTTTCACACGCTATAAAGAACTTCTCTGAGACTGGGTAATTTGTGAAGGAAAGAGGTTTAATTGACTCACAGTTCCACATGGCTGGGGAAGCTTCAGGAAACATACAATCATGGCAGAAGGCGAAGGGGAAGCCGACACCTTCTTTACAAGGCAGCAGGATGGAGATGAGAAACTGCCACTTATAAAACCATCAAATCTCGTTAGAACTCACTCACTGTCACGAAAACAGCATGGGGGAAACTGCTCTCATAATCTAATCACCTCCCACCAGGTCCCTCCCCCAATACATGGGGGCTACAATTCTGATAACAATTTGAGATGAGATTGGGGTGGGGACACAGTCCAGCCAATTAACCCCTAAATAAATTAGATTGCTATTTGTGCATATTTTATGTATGTTTAATACCTACATATCTTCCTAACTACTAATTTTGAAACATTTTGAGAATAAGTACTGGAGGACTGTAGGTCACACTCCTCACTATATATTATATTTCACAGATAACATAGTACTTGGCACATAATGGGTAATGGTTTGGCTCTGTGTCCCCACCCAAAACTTACCTCAAATTGTAATCCCCAGATGTTGAGGGAGGGACCTGGTGCAATGTCACTGGATCATGGAGGCAATTTCTCCCATGCTGTTCTTATGATAGTGAGAGAATTCTCATGAGATCAGATCGTTTAAAAGTGTTTGGCAGTTCCCCCGTCATGGGCTCTCTCTATCCTGCCACCTGGTAAGATGTGCCTTGCTTTCCCTACAACTTCTGCGTGATTGTAAGTTTCCTGATGCCTCCCCAGCCATGTGGAACTGTGAGTAAATTAAACCTCTTTTGTTGATACATATATATACATATTTTTTTTTTTTTGAGACAGAGTCTCACACTATCACCTGGGCTGGAGAGTGCAATGGCACAATCTTGGCTCACTTCAACCTCCACCTCCCAGGTTCATGCCATTCTCCTGCTTCAGCCTCCTGAGCAGCTGGGATTACAGGTGCATACCACCACACCCCGCTAATTTTTTGTATTTTTAGTAGAGACGGGATTTCACTATGTTGGCCAGACAGGTCTCAAACTCCTGACCTTGTGATCCGCCCGCACTGGCCTCCCAAAGAGCTGGGATTACAGGCATGGGCCACCAAGTTTGGCCGGGTAATATCTTTATAGCAGTGTGAGAATGGGCTGATAGAGTGGGCACTCAGTGCATCTAAATGGATTGATTGACTAAGATTTGGAAGCTGTAGGGCCTCTACAGAAGACTGACTGATTAAAATTACAGAAGACAATTATGAATTCCTCTATTCTTTTCTTCATTTTCAGTTCTAATATTGTCAGTTGCCAGGTGTTCTATCTTCACAGTCTGTTTGGACTATAACAGTAAATCTTATGAAATTCTTCAGACATAGAATCATAGGTAGATGGAGCCTTCTTGAGTACCTAGTCAAATTATTATCTGATATGTACATTTCATCTTCAAAATACTCAGCATGTAACTACCCTTTCTCTGCTTGAAAACTGTACCTGCAGGGACATGGAATGCTTTATTTTCTTTGACAGTTGATTGCATCTTTGGACATCTCTAATTGTTATAATGTTGTTTTTAAGTATTCATATCAAGTCAAAATTGATCTTCAGTTCACCTGGAACTTCTATCCATTGATTTAATCATGCTCTGCAGAGTCACAGCAAATAACTTTTTAGCTATAGTTGTCCTGACTCCATCAAAACTTCTGGTCTCCAAAAAATTAATTGCCAATTTCTTCAACTATTTCTGAAATATTAATTTTTGGATCAATCTCAGAATTCTATACTTGGTTTCCTTGTTACAAAACAGTTTTCCAAGGCACTAAAACTTGTGTGACTCAAAACTGACCACAATAGTGGAGCCTTATGACAGGAATAGAAAAAATCCTGCACCAAGTCACTTTTTTTCATGGTACCATTTATTTAATTGGTAGCATGTGTGGGCATGTGAAGTGGGCACAGTGAGCCTGGTGGGCAAAATTGCCTTCTGGATCTTTGGTTTGGATTCGGGATGGGATGTTGAATGTTTGTAGTCTGTAATTTAAGTTATTCCTACAAGGATATTATATGTTAATTTGACCCTTAAAAAGTAGTAATCACCTCAGTTCCATCTCAAGAGCTTATGGTCTTAGAAATCAGAGCAGGCAGCTGATATAAAGTGGAAAGAGATTAGGGCATGTGCTGTTTAAATGATCCATTGTAAGACAGTCTTGGTGGTAGGAAGAGCATTTTTTTTCTTTTGTGGTAAGAGGATAAGAAATGATGTGCTTTATGTGCTGAAGGAAGGGGAGGTATGAGTAATTCTTTCCTATGCTTGGGGATGGTGGTGGTGGACATGCAGACAATAGACACAGAATGCCTTGATCTTGAAATCACTGCTTGACATGGAATAGTTAGATACCAGCCAGTCAAGAAAATTCTCCATTTTACCAAATTTAGAGATTTGATCTTGAGCCCTAAGCCCAGGAGAAGATGTATATAAAGGTAGCAGACATGAAGGGACCTTCACTCTCAGCGTGAGGTGCTTCCTTGATGAGGAGGCAGCAGGTCTGGTTTTTATTTAACTGCCTCCTGCTATCATAGCATATTAGAAATAAAATTACATTGACATCCAATGTAGAGGAAACATACCTCCTCATCAATGAGACTTGTCAGTCTGAGGTTTTGCATTTGAACCAAGGTCTTTAGCAGTTACCACATAGGTTGCAACTGGCAGAAGAAGGTAGGGACCCTCTGACTAAATCTGATGGCATATGTAACCACAAATATGGAGAAGAGATGTATTAAAAATCTCCAACCTATAGTTTATTTTCTGACAATCTGATAAGAAACATCTCCTAAATTTTCCGGAATAAGTGAAAATTCCGTGATTCCCATGGTAGTCTTAGGATCATTGCCAATAGTGTAGAAGTGTGGCCTGGTTTGACAAAGTAATCATCTCTCTTCCCAATACTCCTAGTACTGAGATGGAGACCTCACTCTGGCCTTCAGTCATCTATTCCACCTTTTTTCTCTGTTAGAAAAATCTTCATGGAGTGGCAAAAGTTGTTTACCTGAAGCTCACAAGATGTATCCAGAAAATATCACCAGGGATCAGATCAAGCCTGACCCCCATTTTGTAAGTCAACCTGTCAACTACTTGAACATGTTCTTCGTGTTGCATAGGTAATGTAGTGGTGAGGTATTTGGATTTGGAGCCAGAAGAGTGCATGTAAACACGGGGAACACTCCCTACAACATAGTAAATACACAATAAGAATAAACTGTTATTTTTATTCATATTCCTAATTTCCTCAACTTTTCTTTACAATATGATATGCAACTTTGAGCATACAGACCTTACTTTTCTATATATTCAAAGTACAAATCTTGTCCTCATAGTGAAATTAGGTGTCAGTATTCTTAGAGATAGGGTGGACTGAGACACTCAATCATCACCTACCCAGAACTTCTGACAGTTATGCTAGGGCTATGGAGAGAATTCTGGAGATGAGTCTCAAGTCTCCAAACACTATAGATATGAGGCTTTTATTATCTGGCTCCCATTTGCAGCCTGCCATTGGTGACAGGTCTATTGTAATATGCCCAGACAATTGAAATCTTTAGTAAAGTTATTAAACTCATGAAAGGTTAGATAAGGTGGATTTTTGGTAAAAACCAGAGAAGAGTCTAATCTTCGTGCCTGAAATGATGCATACAAAGATGTTCATGCATGGAGCAGAAAGAAGCATGAGGAACGAGCCAATGCCTAGAGATCAGGGGAAGAGCTGTGGGCAGTTGCAGTTTGGTTCAAGTTAAATAAGATCTCCAAGGTGCAAGCATACCTCAACTAACATTCCTACCTTCAGTTCAGTTTATGCCCTGATTGAATGAACTTTGTCCTAGCTCTTCCTTATTCTCTCATATCAATGTAAGAACTGTGACATGTTCATCCACTATAGTAACTAAGGTCTACTCTTCACCTGCTTGTTCTGGGCCAGTCACTCTCAGGATTTCCTTCTCTTTCTTTTTTCTGTCTCTCTTAAGTACTTCTGCGCTTTACCTCTCTTTCCCAAAGAGAATTACATCTGAGGAATTTGCAGTGAAAAATTACTTCATGAAAAATGAATGTAAGTCTCTTATGGCAGTTCTACAGAATGCTGAGTTAAACAGAAAAGACTTCGGAGTTCGCTTCACTGAAGGGCTTCCCTGTGCCATTCAGTCTATTTTGTTCAAACATTCTCAAAGACCAGGAGCTCATGACTTTGGCTGGTTCCGTCATTCTACCACTGGGCAACTCTGGTTGCTGAAAAGATGTTTCTTAACATCAGCAGAAATCAGCTTCCCTGTATTTCTTATTGTTGGGACTAATTCATCTACTTGGAGCTACACAGAAATACCCTGTTTCTACTCCCACATAACAGAAAATATGTAAAGATAGTTTTAACATAGCATGCCCCACTTCCTGTCAACTCTTCTGCTCCCTTTCCACCTCCTGCCCCTGCATACACACACACACACACACACACACACACACACATATGCACAGGCATACTTGACCAATTATTCTTTTCTTCAGGCAAAAACCAGCCAGTTATTTCATATATTCTTCATATGACTCAATGAACCATTGATATGTCACCATTCTGGTTACTCAATCCAAAAATGGTTGAGCCAGCCTCATTCCTACAGCCAATTTAGCAAAGAGGGTTAAGAGTGAGAGAGGAAAGTTGGGGGGGACTCATATTTATGGAACACTTACCAGATTCTTCAGATATCTGGTTCAGTTCAAGTTTTAGTGGGCCCCTCCACCTTTGGCCTGGTTGACAGAAATCAGTCACGCCTAGATACATAAAACCTTTCCTGCTTGATCCTGACTTGCTATTAGTTGATAACTCATGGCTCCTCCTGCTGTGATTTTGCTTCTCACTTTAACTTTTCAAGACTTACCGTCATTCTTCTTCTGCAAGACAGTTGGATTAAGTTCCATTCTTCCAGCAGATAACATGAGGGCTGAATGTAAGAATTTTCTTCTTTAGCATTAAAGCCACAGAATGGAATTCATATCCTGAGCATTGAGTTGGCAAAGAGCTGCTGAATCCACCATGAGGAAATATTGGCAGGGAGGGGTAAACAGGAGAATATAGATAAAGAAGGAAAAATTTATCTGTACTGGCCCCATACTCGTCTTGGGGATAGGCATCAGTAAAATATAGTCTCTGCCCTCATATAGAAATCTAGTTCAGAAATGTTAGGCCACTGATCCTCATGTAATCCTTCCATAAGAAAAGCAATATGGTATCATGAAAAGTGCTAAACTGGAAAGTAGAAAACTGTGAACAAAATCTCTAATAAGTTGTCTCACTCTTCTTGGCCTCCTCCTGTTCCTCATATACAGACAAGGAAGATGGCACAAATTGAAAGCTCTGTAAGGACATTGGAATACTAAGGATTGGTGATTCTAAGGTTTTTAACACATAGGGATTGTAAGATAATAAGGTAAATTGGAAGAAAAGCTCCAGGACTGAAATAGTTAATTCGTGACTTCACATTAAAAAGCATTCATTGAATATTTAACATTAAGTAGATATTAGCTGTTAATCTTTAGCCGGGCTGGTTTCAATATTTGACATTTAAATTAAATAATCATACCACATTTAATAATAAAGTCACTGTATGTTAAACAAATACTACTTAGTTATTGAAACCATATGTTAGTCTAACCACATTGTGAGGGATTCGCATGTTTTCAATAACCATCTGATCTTATTTCACGTAGAGCACAATGCACGTACTATACCATGAAAAGCAGAGAGGCTATTTATGTCAGCCCTGAATGATTTTAAAATAATTGTATTAAGTTTTACTTTCCTACTGATCCCCCTAGCTAATAACCTATCTACCCATTGTTCAGGTGCTGTCAGTGAAGTTTACTTGTCTTCCTGAGTTCTTATTGTATTCCTGTGTTCTTATTGTATTGTACCTGCATTGCCCAAGTGAGTACCACTAATGCCAATCAACCCTTCCCTTTGTTCATATGGTGCCAATCCACTTTGTTGAGATGATTGGCAGGAACACAAACATTTCTATTTTTAATGTTTCTCTCGGATCATAAAAGACAGACATTGCCTTAAACAGAGTGTTTCCATTTCTATTCTTCTCTCATTTAAACAAATTCACAGTTACCAAATAGGAGAATGTGAATGAGTTCTTATTGGGTCATCGTACTCCATTTTCTCAAGTACTGGTAATTTGTGTTTTTGTTATGAGTGTATTGACAATGTCTTTGCAGCCCTAGTTTATACCAATGATGTACTAGTTGTGCCTAAAGCATCTGAGGTAAAGGAAAGAAAAGAAAGTGGTGGGGAAGGGTCAGAAGAACAACACACCTCTCTTAAGATATTTCGGTGTGTTTCCCAGCCTGCTTTTGAGGTAGATCTTTTTGGGGAAGGCTGCATGTTTGCTAGAGTCAACTACCTTGTTGAAGTCCTATACAAAGTCATATAATTTAATGAATGACTTGGAAAAGACTCCCTATTCAATATTTGGTGTTGGGATAACTGGCTAGCCATACACAAAAGATTGCAGCTAGACCTCTTCCTTACACCATGCACAAAAATCAAGGTGGATTAAAGACTTAAATGTAAGACTCAATCCTACAAAAACCCTGGAAGACAACCTAGGCAGTACCATCCTGGACATAGGAACAGGCAAGGTTTCATGACAAAAACACCAAAAGCAATCACGACAAAAGCAAAAGTCGACAAGTGGGATCTAATTAAACTTAAGAGCTTCTGCACAGCAAAAGAAACTATCAACAGAGTAAACAGACAACCTATAAAATGGAAGAAAATATTTGCAAACTATGCATCTGACAAAGGTCTAATATCCAGAATCTATAAGGAACTTAAACAAATTTAAAAGAGAAAAACAACCCCATTAAAAAGCGGGCAAAAAACATGAACAGACACTTCTCAAAAGAAGATATACAATCCAGCCAATAAGCCTATTTAATAAACATCAATATCACTAATCATTAGAGAAATGCAAATCGAAACCACAGTGAGATACTATCTCACACCAGTCGGAATGGTTATTAAAAAGTCAAAAAATAACAGATGCTGGCAAGGTTGAGGAGAAAAGGAACACTTGTACACTGCTGGTGGGAGTGTCAATTACTTCAACCTTTGTAGTATGGCAATTCCTCAAAAAGCTAAAAGCAGAATTACCATTCAACCCAGCAATCCCATTAATCCCAGGTGGATATAAATCACTCTACGATAAAGATACATGCATGCGAATGTTCATTGCGGCACTATTCACAATAGCAAATGTGTGGAATCAACCTAAATGCCCATCAGTGACAGATTGGATGAAGAAAATGTGGTACATATGTACCATGGAATTCTATGCTGCCATAAAAAATGAGATCATGTTTTTTGCAGGAACATGGATGGAGCTGGAGGCCATTATCCTTAGCAAACTGACACAGGAACAGAAAGCCAAATAATGCATGTTCTCACTTATAAATGGGAGCTAAATAATAAGAACTCAAAAATGCAAACAAGGGAACAATAGACACTGGGGTCTACTTGAGGGTGGAAGGTGGGAGAAGGGAGAGGAGCAGAAAAAAAATAACTATTGGGTACTAGGTGTAGTACCTGGGTGATGAAATAATATGCACAACAAACCCTCATGGCATGTGTTTAGTTATGCAACAAACCTTCACATATACCCCCAAGCCTAAAATAGAAGTTAAAAAAATAAAGTTAAAAAATTTCTAGGAAATATATGAGATCAAGGGATGAATATGCATTTTATGTTGTATTTCACATTAGAAATGACAAGCACTGGAAAAAAAAATCAGTGGAATGGAGCTTTAGAGACTAGTCCACATCTGCATTTTGTTTGTTTGTTTGAGATGGAGTCTTGCTCTGTCACCCAGGCTGGAGTGCAGTGGCACGATCTTGTCTCACTGCAACCTCCACCTCCTGGGTTCAAGCGAGTCTCCTGCCTCAGCCTCCTGAATAGCTGGGACTACAGGCATGTGCCACCATGCCTAACTAATTTTTGTATTTTTTTAGTAGAGATGGGGTTTTGCACTGTTGGCCAGGCTGGTTTCAAACTCTTCACCTCAGGTGATCCACCCACCTTGGCCTCCCAAAGTGCTGGGATTACAGGTGTGAGCCACTGCCCCCGGCCCACATCTGCATTTTAAAGATGATCAGCTATCTAGAACATTTAAAGATTTGCCCCAAGTCACACAGCTAGTTAGTGGTGGAGTTTGCAGTCAAATCCAGGACACATAATTCATTCCTTCCAATACATTACAGGGCTGTCAAATTCTGCTTGTCTTTTCAAATCAGATTCCTATCCTTAATTTTTCCTTTTCTTAAGTCAGCAGAATGGAAGTAGTTGTAGTCCTGGTCGTCTCATCCTGCTCCCACATGGCTGTGAACACTCTTTTTTTTTGTCTTACACAGTTGTCATCTATTCTATCCCTTCCTTGAGTTCAGCCATCTGATCATGAGAACTTAGAGAGACAGGGAGGTCAGCACTGACCAAGTATTGTTTCCTGCTGTTACCTTACTTAATCTCCTTTTTATTTTAGGAGGTAAAGGAAGGAAGAGAAATGGATGGGAATGGGTCAGAGGAACAACACACACTTTTAGGAGAAAGGAGATTAAGTAATATCTGCTTCCTGTATTCCATTGTGGCCTGAATTTCTCATAATGTGGGCCCACTCATTGATTCTCTGAAGATGCAACACATGAGTTATCCTGGGACCTAAGATAATTCCTAAACTTAGGCCGAATCTATAAAATCAATGGATAAGTCCTTCTAGAACAGTTACAGCTGCAAATTTAGACCAAACTAGTCAGTAACAGTGTCAACTTGGTGACATGATTGAAATGACTGGCACCATTAGGATTCTATGAATGGGGCTTCTGGGCAGAACAAGCTAAAGTCAGAATTTGTATTGTAGCACTGCACCTGATTCCTTAAACTAATTTATATGACAGCATAATGGATGCCAGGACCTAATAGAACTTTCTCAGAGAGAATGGTTTTGATTGGGGGAAAACCAAACCAAACCGAAGAAACTACAAGATGATCCGGGGAATCTGAACTCTGACTAGATGTTTAATGACACTAAGGAACTATTGTTAAATGTTAAGTTTGTGGTAGGCTGAATAATGCCTCCTCCTCTCAAGGATGCCCATGTCCTAGTCTTTGGTACCTATAAATGTATTACCTTATATGGGCAGAAGGAATTTGGCAGATATAATTGAGTTAAGGATTACTCTGGCTTATCCAGGTAGGTCCTACATGTAATTGCAAGGTGTATTAGTCCATTTTCACACTGACATATAAAACTACGTGAGACTGGGTAATTTATAAAGAAAAGAAGTTTAATTGACTCACAGTTCCACATGGCTAAGGAGGCCTCTGGAAACTTACAATCATGGTGGAAGTCAAAGGGGAAGCAAAGTGTATTAGTCTGTTCTCACACTGCTATAAAGAAATACCCAAGACTGGGTAATTTATAAAGCAAAGAAGTTTAATGGACTCACAGTTCCACAGGGCTGGGAAGGCCTCAGTAAGCTTACAGTCATGGCGGAAGGGGAAACAGGCACCTTCACAAGGTGGCAGGAGAGAGAAGAGTGAAGAGCAAAGGGGAAAGAACCCCTTATAAAACCATCAGTTCTCATGAGAACTCACTCGCTATCACGAGAACAGTATGGGGGAACCATCCTCATGATCCAGTCACCTCCCACTGGGTTCCTCCCTTTACATGTGGCAATTATGGGGATTCCAATTTAAGATGAGATTTGGGTGGGGACACAGAGCCAAACCATATCACAAGGCATGTCTTACATGGTGGCAGGAGAGAGAGAGAGCGTGTGAGCGCAAAGGGGGAGGTGCCGCTCACTTTTAAACAACCAGATTTCATGAGAACTCCGTCACTATCATGAGAACAGCAAGTGGGAAGTCTACTCCCATGATTCAGTCACCTCCCATCAGACCCCTCCTCCCACAGGTGGGGATTGCAGTTCAAGATGAGGTTTGGGTGGGTACACAGAGCCAACCCATATTACAAGGGTTCTTAGAAAAGGGAGCCAACAAGGTCAATGAATAAAAGACCATACAGCCACAGAAGCAGAGGCTGAGTGATATAGCCAGCATCCAAGGAATGCCATTTGCAGGAAGAGGCAAGGAATTTATTCTTCCCTGTGAAGCCTTGAAAAGGAACCAGACCAGATAAGATCTTGATCCTTAAGACTCATTTCCAACTTCTGACCTCCTGAACTATAAAATGATACATTTTTGTTGCTTTACGCTAGTAAGTTTTTGGTAATTTGTTACAGGAACAATAGAGAAGTAATAAAATGCAAGAAGTCTATTATTCTGTTTTAACAGTTCTTGTCTTTTACAAGTTCATAGTATAATATTTATATGTGAATAAAACCATGTCTTAGATTTGCTACAAAATAATCCAGTGTATATGGAGAAAAGAGTGTGTGTGGTGGGGAATATTGATGAAACAAGATTGCAGATGTTGATAATTTTGAAGGTGGATAATGGGTACATGTTTAAATTTCTTTGCTCTTGTTTATATTTGAATATTTCTAAATTTAAAATTTAAAAAGGTTAGGGGCATAATGACAAGTTTTTCCTACTTAACAAATCTTCCTAGAGCTGACTTGCCTGAGACGGTCATTTTGCCTTCCTTTATTCTTTCTCTTTCCCCCATCCTCAATATTCTTAGCAAATAATGAAGGAGGAGTTCTGGTAAGATTTCTAGTGACCTGGCAGACCTGGTTGGCAGGCAGGGTATGTAATTGCTGCAGGAGAATCGGTTCTATTTGGATACAACATCAGACTGGATTTCAACAGTGCTGGGGAATCCTTCATACCACTGGTCCCATTTTTATACAAAACTGAAAGAGAAAAGGTAGAGAATACCACTGCTTCTGTTATTCATGGTGAATTTATTTAATTTGGCATTTTTATAATCACATGACATACACTAGGACAAAAAATAGTTCCATTTTCTTGGTTTCTCCCTGATAAGAATTTTGAGCACATTATCAGAGAAATGTGTCTATTCTTCAACTCTTTACATAGACAATTTTAATACAGTGGTTCTCAGTAGAGCTATGTATCAGAATTAACTATAGATTTTTGAATTTTAGCATAATTTCCAAGGCTATATCCTAGACAAAAATCAGAAGCCCCAGAACAACAGGGAAACACTTTTTAAGTAAAGAAGTGGAATGATTAGATTTTGTTTTAGAAAGTCAATTTTGATAGCTGTGTGAAAGATAAGCTATAATGGTGAGACACAAAAGAGAATCCAGTTAGGGGAGTATTTTAGTAATGCAAGTGAGATATGATGTGCAGATGAAATAAGGAAATGTTATTGGAGATGGAAAAGAGAAGGTGGATTTGAAAGAGAAACAATATGTTTTGGTAACTTAAATGATGAGAGGAAATAAGTAGTGGGAGATACATATATAATGTATGTATAGGTGTGTGCACATACACACACACACATATATATACATATATAAAATGTGTATATAGACACATATATAAAATGTGTATATAGACACATATATAAAATGTGTATAGACATATATAAAATGTGTATATAGATACATATATAAAATGTGTATATAGACACATATATAAAATGTGTATATAGACACATAAAATGTGTATATAGGCACATACATAAAATGTGTATATAGACACATATATACCTACATATTTCTATATATACACATATATACATATATAATGGTGTATGTATGTATGCATATATGTATATATAACTATATACATGTTATATATACATATATATGTATGTATATATAACTATATACATGTTATATATACATACATATATATGTATATATACCAGGATAATTCTTGGTCTTGTTGTGATAACCAGTAGAAACACAGAGATGGCTTTTCCCCACTGTCCCACCATCTTCATCCTTCCAACTATAAGGAAGAAAATTCCTTCTAAAACATGCTCTTGCCTCTTTTTCCAGAAGGTAGGGAGTGGGACAAGATTTCCATGGTCTTATGCAATTTGTAAAGAAGAAAGAAACAACTGGAGAGGTTCCTGGGAAGAAACACAAAGTGTGGAAATGTGCCTCCACCAGGTCGCAGGATCCCTCATTCTTCTTAATTTCCTCCTAGTGGTGATTCCAAACGCACATCACTCTCTTCATGACCATTTCTCCTTTGCTCACTATCAATGGCACCTTCCCAGTCATTCTGGTCTCTGGCTAACCTGGAAGATTGCCAGCAGCTGTGCATTTTCAGGACCAAGACTTTGTCCTTGGTTCCTACCACTGAGAAACATATCCCCATGAGGAAAACCAACTGTCTGAGTCTTTTCTTTTTCCTATATAAATCACTATTCTGTGCATAAAAAAATTAGAGTGAAAACATGTATATTTTATTCCTATATAAGTCATAGCTAAAGAATGTCTCTAAACAGAGAGTTACTATTCACAGCCTAGTAACTCCCTCTCTAAACAGGGAGTTACTATTCACAGAACTCTAATTAACTGGAGTTCTGTATATTCTTTTACTGTCAAATGTAATATCTGAGTTTTCCTTAGTTTACTACAGCCAGGACATCCCGTCAGGAAGAAATGCTGTGCTTGAAATTCATGAGTACATGTGTGCTGGATGAATATTCTAGCAGAAGCCTACCATTTGTCAGCATTTTCATAAAAAAGAAGCTCTCATGACAATATATGATGATACTTAAGCTAATAATTGCCTATTCTTCCTAATGATGAGGGGACTTGGATAGATTATTTTAGTAAAATTTGGTCTTAACATAGGTTTCTTCATCTAGGGAGTTATCCCAAGCTGTAGTAATACCACAGTTACCACTCCCCTTGCCAAAATTTGATGGGAATGCCCTCAAGGTGGGAGAGACTCACCAGAGCTGGATGGACACCTTGGGAGTGAGTGAAGGACAGGGAAATACTGCATAGCAATGTCTTGGACCATTCTTTTTGATAGAGGAAAAGAACACAGTGGAACATTTTGTTATCATTAGCTGTCAGGCTGTGGCTATTCCACGGTTACTAGTCAGAAGGCAAGATGGCCAGCTTTGTTAAATATAGCAACAAGTTCTTTCCACATGTGTTAGGAGAGGGAAAGTGGAGTAGGTAACAACATTTGTCAGACCACTTCGTTGTCAGCTTCTCTGATGTGATAAAAATTGTCTAAATCCTTCCTGGCTTGCCTTTTCCCCACTTTGAAGGAAAAATATTTTAAAGACAGGATTTCTTAGGATTCTTTGCACAATGGGAGAGACTTTAGAGAACGCCATAATGCCAAGTTGTGTTTAAATCTCCAGCAGCCCTCAAGTTCTTCACAAAGAGCCCCAGAAACCTCCTCACTAGAATGGCTTTGTTGTGAAGACTGGCCTGATTCACTCTGTTTGTCACTAAAGGCTTTGTGCACTGGTGCTTCCGGACAATTATAGAACAAATTTTACAGTGAGACCCCTCTCTAGCACTTTATGATGTTGGTAATCATAAAAACAAGCCATTCTTTGCCTTTACTTTGCTGACCCATTACTAGACAGTTTTCTCTTATAATATCAATGACGTTGCCGCTCTTGAGGAATAACCCATTTTTTCCCATTGTAGTCCTCAAAATACCATGAGTATAACACCAAGATTAGTGTAATTAATGAACTATCCGAGCACCATTGATTGAATAGGAAATCCTTTCCCCATTGTGTTGTGTCTTTACTTCTTTCCTATTACTAAATCTTTTGATTTATTCATTGGGAGAAGGTTCCTGTCCATTTTCTGGCATAAAAATATGAATGAATTCTCAAGTTTAAGCAAAATTCAAGAATATAGAAATATCTGCAGTCTGGTCTCATCTTGGGCTAATTTTGAAAGTTTGACAAAATTACAGTAATTAATTGTGACTTGTGACTGTTGTCACAAGTACCTTTGTAGTAGGTGATTGCTGTTACCCATTCTTGTACCTAACAGCTAATACTGTTTTGACTTCTACTGATATCATCAAATAACAGAATATAAAAATGTTACAGCCTCTACTTGTTGATGATTATAATCCAATTCAGTTGTTTTGTAAAGAGTCTGAGTAGGCAAAGCAATCCTAAGCAAAAAGAACAATGATGGAGGCATCACATTACCTGACCTCAAACTAACTATAAGATTACATTAACCAAAATAGCATGGTACTGGCAAACAAACAAACAAACACACAAAAAACAGACACATAGACGAATGGAACAGAATAGAGAACCCAGCAATAAAGTTGCACACCTATAGCCGCTAATCTTGGACAAAGTCAACAAAAACAAACAATGGGGAAAGGATTTCCTATTCAGTAAATGGTGCTGGGATAGCTGGCTAGCCATGTGCAGAAGAATGAAACTGGATCCCTACTTTTCCTCATATACAAAAATTAAATAAAGATTGATTAAATATTTAAATGTAAGACCTCCATCTATGAGAATCCTAGAAGAAAACCTAGGAAACACCATTCTGGATATTGGCCTTGGGAAAGAATTTATAAGTAAGTCCTAAAAAGCAATCGCAACAAAAACAAAAATTGACAAATTTGGACCTAATTAAATTAAAGAGCCTCTGCATAGCAAAATAAACTGTCTACAGAGTAAACAGACAACCTACAGTATGGGAGAAAATATTTGCAAAGAATGCATCCAACAAAGATTGAATATTCAGAATCTACAAGGACCTTGAACAATTGAAAAAGCAAAATCAAATAACCTTACTAAAAATATGCAAAAGACATGAACAGACACTTCTCAAAAGAAGATATACAAGCCACCAACAAACATATGAAAGAATGCTCAATATCACTAATCATTCTACCAAAAAGACACATGCACTTGTATGTTCATCACAGCACTAATTCACCATAGCAAAGACATGGAATCAACCTAGATTCCCAGCAGTGCTGGACTGGATAAGAAAATATGGCACATATACACCATGGAATACTATACAGCCATTAAAATAATGCAGTCATGTCCTTTGCAGCAACATGGATGCACCTGGAGGCCATTATCCTAAGTGAATTAATGCAGGAACAGAAAACTAAATGCTGCATATTCTCACTTATATGTGGGAGTTAAACACTGGGTACTCATGGACACAAAGATGGCAACAATAGACACTGGATACTAGGAGGGGAGGGCGGGAGAGAGTCAGGCAAGGGTTGAAAAACTGTTGGATACCATGCTCAATACCTGGGTGGTGGGACCATTCATATCCCAAACCTCAGTATCATGTAATATAGCTGGGTAACAAACCTGTACATGTTCTCCCTGAATCTAAAACAAACATTTTTTTTCAGTTGTTTGGTGTTGTTTCTTTACTTCTTTCCTATTACTAAATCCTTTGATTTATTCATTGGGAGAAGATTCCTGTCCATTGTCTGGCATAAAAATATGAATGAGTTCTTAAGTTCAAGCAAAATTCAAGAATATAGAAATATCTGGAGTCTGGTCTCATCTTGGGCTAATTTTGAAGGTTTGACAAAATTACAGCACTTATTGTATAGTAATACTGAATTTCAATCAGCTGTTGCTGTTCAAAGACTAACATCATTGCAGCCAATTTTAGAAAAAATTTAGTCCATATTTTTGCTAGTTGCACTCACACCTAATATTACATCTAATGACACATCTTTTAACCTCCATAATGTTAATTATTGTCAAAGTTATTTCACTGATTACAATGTGTCAGGCACAGTGCCAAGAAACTGATATTTATTATCTTCCTTAATCATCACTATTACCCTAACAAGTAGGTTCTATTATTATTTTCATCTTACAGATGAAAAAGACTTAGCAAAGTTAAGCAATTTTACCAAGTTTACATCATTAGACTCAACTGTGCTTGATGCTGAACCCTATGCTTGCTACACTAATGTTTTACTGCTTAATTGTGCAACTAAAAAGTCATTGTCTCACTAGGGTGAACCACAGCAGCCCTGACTGCTTAGGAGTGCTAAAGTGTCTCATTGCTAACCATTCTTAACAGAACTCAGTGTGTTTAAGCGTAAGATGATTGGTACACAGAGCAGAAGGCACGTTGCAGTAAAGGGCCCTGACTTTCAGAATCAACCTGCCTACATCCCATCCCTTCTATTGTTAAACATAACTTCGTTATCAAACCCATGACTGCTCCCTTCCTCTAAAGGAGCTGGAGTTGTGAAGGCAGCCTATAGTTTTGGAAGAACAGACTAGACTTATGCCGTGGCTTATGTCATTACTTGAAGTGAGTACCAAGTAGCCACTAGGTTCTTTCTAACCCAATATCATCTATTTCTATTTCAGATTCATCTGAACTGAACAACAGCTGAGTGCCCAGAAATTTGCTGGGCGTTGTAGGCTACATTTTCACATTTAGTGCTCATGATTACTCTATCCCTACCTTAAAGAAGAAAAAATTGAACCTTAGTAGTAAAATGACTTGCCCAGATCAGAACAAGTGGATAGCTAAGACAAATTATGAATTTCAAGTCTAGTACGTGTCTGTTTCCTACACTGCTTCCTAGGACATAGGTAAATCCCTCTGAAACCTAATATGAACACTGCATATTCTCATTGTTTTGAAGTTTATTGACCTCTTTCTGGGTATTTGACATTTTGCTAATTTTCTTGGCTGTTTTTTTTTTAAACGTAAGAAAAAAATTCTTTTCCAGTACTTCCACAGAGTAGTATTTTTAGAACTTTCAGTGTCCTGGGTCCTTAAAAGTTGAAGAAACCCTTAGCAGTTTTACAGTGGTCACATGTTGAGAACAGGAATCCCATCTACCATTTGCCCTCATGGTACTGACTGGGCCATAGACCCAAAGTTCAGGGCATTAGGGTCTTCATTACTGCTTTCTATTGGCTGTCCTGTAAAATTGGGCTAAGCTGCTGGTCTGCCTCATGCTTTGCATATTTGCGAGTCAGTAGGATTTGTTTTCTGTTAAACCGCTCAATCACAGGGAGGGATAGGGGGTAGCAAATTCACCTTCTATTTACTGGTTTGACCAGTTTAAAGTGAATAGGAGCCCAGAGAGATTTCTCACTTTCCACATCCCGCTGTCAAAGTAAGCAGTGGATCAGGGGCGTGTTTGGAAATGGCAGCTGTCTGGTGCCTCCAGGGCAGCTGAGTGGGAACAGTGAAAGAAAATCTGGCATGGAGAGACCCACGAGTGTCCCATTTCATCCTGAATCCGGGTTGGTCTGTTCAAGGTCGCGCACAAAAGCTGAACCAGTGACCCACAATTTGATTCCTTCAGTTTGGATATTCAGATTTGAAAAGACTTTGCATTCTCTGCTCTCTGCTTCTCCCTAAACCTCCCCAGGCCTCTCTACTCTCATTCATTCACACAACACCCCATTCTTTGAGCTGTAAGAATAGCTTCAGTTTCAGGAGCCTCAGGGTGCCCAGGTGAATGCATCTTCTTTGGGGATTATTGTTCCTTTTCTGATTAACATCTCCAGACAGTTAAAACCATTTTGTATCACCAGAAATATCTTTAATCATTCTCAGCTTTATTCTTAAATGGCTGCTGTAGAGTTTACTTTTTTTTAAGCAATGATATTAATGAGATGACTAAGCTGGGCAAGGGAGAACTTTCTGGAAAGAAGCACAATAAAAATATTTTCTCCTTTATAGAGGTGTTGCCGGCTCAAAGAACACAGGCGAGGGAAAAGAAAAGCAGTAACAAACTGTAAACAAAGGAAAATCCACTCTGAGCTCGCCTTACCCTACATAGCTGCAAAAGGCAGTGCTGAAAACTCACAGTATACACAAACACTAACTCTGATCCATGGTTTGTCTGATTTATATTATATTCCACTCCTCCAAGCCAGCATGATCTTTCAACCTTAGTCCTGACTGATAATCATTTTACCTGTGTATTTCTTTTGCTTTTTAAGTTACTTTTTAAATCTGGTATTATATGTAACATTCTGTTAATTATTTTATGTTCCTTTTAGAATAAGGTTGAAAGGCAAATAAAATATATACTATATGTATGTATATAAATTATAAATTATACATTTACATAAATATAAAATAGATGAACAAATTAATAGTATGGTATTTTTAACTGCCAGTAGTGGCCTTTTTATTTCTAGGTTATATTAATGCAGTTGTTTTCTGCCTGCCTATAATTCAGAACACTTAGGGAGATTTCAAATGTACAGTTCTGCAGCCCAGACCTACTAAATCAGAATTTAGATAGTTAGTATCCACAGGGGAAGAAATGCCAGGTGACTCTTTATTAGCAGTGGTTAGAGAAGAATCATTGCTTCCTGCTCTTTTATTCACTCATCATTTAGTTATCCATTCAATTGCATATGAATTCATGCATTCAAGGATATAGAGACCAAGTAAACACTTTTCTTCTTCTTGAAGAGCTCATTACTTTATGACTCTGATGAGTCTTCAGAAGATATAGCAGAAGTAATGCCAGCTGATCCTGTAAGAAAAATTCCTAGCCTCATACACTTAAAGGAATTCTGTTATAGTTAATGAACATGGTAAGAAATACCCCATGACTAAAGTCCTGAGACTTCATTCATAACATGAGCAATTCACTTGAATTAGTTCCATATTTCTTATTGAGGAAATATTAATAATTCCCATTAAATAAACAGATGGTAAATATAAAAAAAATTTAGACTATAATCTTGTCTCCTAAGTGTTTATCTTAGTCTAGGAGATATTCTATTTGTATTACTATCAGTACATACACTTTCATGAGAAAATCAAATTTCTCCCACTTAAAAGAAATTGAACCATTGATCTTCATCACATTCGTAGTTTTACAATTTGTTGGGGGTCACAAGTATGAGTGGCAGCAACTCAGATGAGGAAACACGTGAACATCTGAACTATACAGACCCATTGTCAGAAATGAAGGGGAGTGATAGCTACAATGCAAGAAATGAGATCATTGAAACTGTTTGATGTGGACTTTACTAATTGTTCCCCTGGAATGCTTCTTCATAATCAGTGCAAATTCTTACCTTCATTGATGGGGGGGGGAAGAAATTCATATAAAGGAAGAGAGTCCAGAGGAGCTATTTTTAATTGCCTGACATATGTTGTGCTCTTTTATGATATTTTTCATTTTAAAACCCATCTTAAACACCCTGGCAAACTATCCAGTACGTGCTGTTGCATAAATGCTGTAGAGTCCGATGGCTAAGTCCCTGATCCTGGGAGTCCACCAGTGCAGGGTTCAACTTGCTGCATCCCTTATTATTGAGGGACCCCATTACTAAGTTCTCTCCAAGCCTCAATTTCCCTATTTGTCAAATTCGCATAATAATAAGTACCTGCCTCTGTGGTTGTTGTAAGGATTAAATGTAAAGCAGTTAGCACTCTGCCTGGCACATCGTGACTGCTCAATTCATTTTATCTACAATATTATTGTTATTGTTGTCATTGTTGTTTTATTAATACATGTGGCTTGACCAAGATAATATGGTGGCAAACCAATAATTTGTGTATATTTGGATACTTCATGAATTTCTCTGCAACCACCTTTTCCACACCTATTGTATATCACGTGAACAGTTATGATTCTGTATTGATGTCAATGGGGGGCCATCTGGAGTGGCTGCTGCCATTGTGCTGGCTGCAACAGGGAGGCACTGGCTGCAACAGAGAGGCACAGCTGGGCTACATGCCCTGCCCCTTCTAAGTTGGGGTGGCAGTTCCCCAGGTGCCACTCCAGCTGCCCAAGCCATGGCTGCAGACCCCAGCATCCCTGTGGTCTCTGGGCCAGGAGTAGGCAGGAGCCCCACCCTCCTGGGTACAGCTATAGCCACCCAAACCACTGCTGCAGACAGGGACCTCCTGCTCCCCAGGGTAGGCAGCAGCCCTCTCCCCACCACCGCTGCACAGCTGCAGCACCTAAACCATGGCTGCAGATTCAGGCATCTCTGCACTCTTAGGGGCTTGGGAAGGCACCCCCTGCCCTTGCAGGCTCGGAAGTGCCTGCTCCCACTGCCTGGCTTCTCCCTGCTGTCAGCAACTGCTCTGATCTCAGAGCAAAGTCAAGGCTGAGCCTGGGCACTGTCACAGCCTGGCTGGGTGTGCACATCCTCAAGGCAGTGCTGACATGTCAGCCTCCTGCCGCCTTGGCCCCCTCCAGACTTTGGGCACTGAGGAGCATGGGAGGAAAGCCAAGGGGGCCTGAGGGCAGCTTGGCAGTGGCCTGCAGGCACCCCTTTGCACCTACAGCTTGGGGGCCATGAAGGGCAGCAGGAGGCAGACAGGTTCCTGGGCAGAAGTGGGCGGGTTCCCAGTGAGAACCCGGCTTCAGGCCAGGGAGGGTCTGAAGGCTGGAGGCTGGGCTGCCAGTCATGCAGACTGGAGTGGGAACTTGTGGTGCCTTTTCTGGGCCTGCTCATCGCCACCCATGGACCAATCAGCATGCTCTTCCTCCCCTCTTAGGCCCACAAAAGCCCGTAAAATCCAGGCTCAGCCAGAGCTGAGATGACCTCGGGAGGACCAGCTGCAGAGAGGAGGCACCCACTCTAGGGCCTCCTCTCTGCTGAGTGCTGCACAGAAGATGGGATTACCAGCTGCAGAGAGGAGCTACCCTCTCTGCTAGGAGTTGAACACTCATTGGGACACCTTAGTGGTGGAAAGGAGCTGCCCCCTATGGAAGACTGAGCTTTTCTATGGCTCAATAAAGCTCCTTTTCGTCTGGCTCACCCTTCACTTGTGTGTGCACCTCATTCTTCCTGATCACAGGACAAGAACTCAGGACCCACCAAATGGTGAGGCTAAAAGATCTGTAACACAAACAGGGTTGAGACATGCCGCTTGCTCACCACGTTGTGGGTGAAGAGAAGGAGAGAAGAGCTGTGGCCCTTTGGGGAGCCCAGACCTGGGAGCTCCCCAAGCCAGGGTTATGACTTCCTCTTTAGGGTCCTGTGGTTCCTGGTGTCCCAAACTTCCAGGGACCATCAAATTCCCTGGTGCCAGCTGTGGAAGCTGCTTGTGGTGTGCTTAGTCCAGCTGCAGCCTCACAGAGAGCCAGCTACCATGCCAGCACCTGGAGCTGCCTTCCCGGAGGCAGCAGCTGGCGTGTCTGACTGTGCGGTGGCCAGACCCTACAATCATTCACACCCACCCCCCCCACCCCCCACTGCTCCACACCTGACTTGCAGTCTCCCTTGGAGGCGTGGGATCCAGGCCAGTAGTGTGAGCTGAACATAGGCTGCCAGGTCGAGTGGGTGGAACAAACCCAGTGGGCCCAAGCAAAACTTGGGCAAAGGCACCACTAGCCACAGGTTTCTGGCCAGAAAAGCGACACCCCAAAGATCCCATAACAGCATTATGTATGCTATTTGATCCATTTTAAAAGGCTTTTCAAGGAGACCCTTGAGGTTGTCCACACGATACTTATTAAGCACGCAGCAGTGTACAAACCACAGAAAACATGGCATCTGTCACGCAAACTACCTGAGAAGACATGTCTACTCAGCAACCGGAACCAGGGTAATAGTCTTAGGTTGCCATCCAAGGAGATAATGAGAAAATGTCTTAAGATGTAGATATATTTTGTTTTATCTTTATTCTTTGATAATCTTCATTCCTTGCCTCCATTACCTTTTTTTTTTTTTGAGACAGAGTCTTGCCCTGTCAGGCAGGCTGGAGTGGAGTGGCACAATCTCGGCTCACTGCAAACTCCATCTCCTGGGTTCAAGCAATTCTCCTGCCTCAGCCTCCTGAGTAGCTTGGATTACAGGCATGTGCAACCATGCATGGCTAATTTTTGTAACTTTAGTACAGAGAGGGTTTCACCATGTTGCCCAGTTTAGTCTCGAACTCTTGGCCTCAAGCAATCCATCTGCCTCAGCCTCCCAAAGTGCTGGGATTGCAGGCATGAGCCACCGTGCCCAGCCACCTCCATGACCTTTTGTGAAGCCAATTGACATTGCAAATGACAGCATCTAATTTTTGTATTTTCTCCCATACAAAGTCAATATATAGTTTTTTTTCACCACTGATTTTTTGCCTGAGACAGCTAGGAGAATGATTCTTTTCTTTTCTGTAACAGCATTCCAATTCTGCAGAAATAACTGCTCTACCCTTAAAGATTTACATGCCACTTTTCCAACAGAGCTCTGGCTATCAACTCATTGTCTTGGTTGTGTGGTGGTGATTGGGGAACAAAGATTCATCAATAACTAGATTTCAAGGATGAGATAGGGTGGGTTAAATCAAGACATTAACAACCAGGAGATATTGTAAACTGGAACCAGTATCTGCTTGTACATATAGTAATCCTATTGAAGTAACTTTTGTGAAAAACAGCAACTCTCCCCTAGTTTAAATAACAGATGATAGATGATTGAAGGAGGAGGAGGAGGAGGAGGAGGAGGGAGAAATAAGAAAAAATGAAAAGAAAACTTACATATTTTTGAGGTAGAGAGTTTGCCAAATTCTAAAATTTAGACTAAAACCCCCAACAACTGAATGACTAACAGATAACCTTCCTAAAACATCAGCCTATCCCGGTGAGCTGTCCTCAGATAATCTGAGATCTCATTGGCTCAGGAGATTAACTTCCAATTTAGTCCTTCAAGAATGCCTGATAATTCAATGAAAGGAGTTACTTCTGTATTACATTTTAATACAGTACGATAACTCAAAACAAGTTAAATATGTTAGTATAGTCCCCAGAAATCTCAGGGACTATATCTATGGCACGTATACTGTCATATAAGAGTATTTTCCAGAAAAAGTCCATGGATTTCATGGGTCCACATATCAAAGGCATGGCTGTCAAAGTAGCAGGAGAATTTTCTAACTCCCAGAAAATATTAAGGTCTCTGCCATTTTTGTAAAGCTACATTCTATCAATTGCATTGTTTTAAACAATGACCATACTAATATATTTAATTATCTCGTTTTAGTTATTGTACTGTATTAAAATTTAATACAGAAATAAGACCTTTCATTGAATTATACATCTATTATAAGAGATCAAAATATGCTACCCAGAAATATACCACTTTGCCATATTGATTGTTGATATTTGCTATCTCAAAATATTGATTACTTTGAGTGAAAGACTCTTGAAAACAGCAGATTCAAGGTCACCCTAACCTTCCTTATTTTTCCTGAAAGCAGGAACTAAAAGCCCCATGTGAAAAGTTCCCTCCCTGTGCCAGGAGGAAGAAAGACATTCTTATCACCAGAGATGGGGAATCAAGATCAAGAGGAATCTGTAGAAACAAATCAAACTAACCTTTATGTTTTTAGTCCCTTTTCCACAATTAACTTCTCTCCCCAAACTCTTTTGTTATTTCATATTTTCACCATTTACTACTCTTTGTCTAACCTAGCATATAATCGTTCAACCCTAACTGCTGTCTTTGGGTTTTCATTTCTTTTGTAAAGGCTCCTATGTACATGTAAAAATTCCTAGATACAATTTGTATGCTTTTCTCCTGTTAATCTGTCTAATGTCAGTTTAATTCTTAGGCCCAGCTGGAGGTCCTAAGGGGATAGAGGAGAAATTTTACCTCCCGTGCACCACCATAAATCCCACTTTTAGGTATTGCCTTTCTCAATCCCATTCCTGATTCAAACCGTATTTTTGACACAGCATGAAGTTGCTCCCAAGTGCTGGCTTGCCTTTCAGTGTAGAACTTTCCCTGTGTCCTGCACTTCTCATCCCATCATTGTCAAAGGATCTGTGGTCAGCCGACTCTTTTCTATTCTTTACCACTTTGGTTTTCTAAGGACCACCTTTTTTTTCTTTCTCTCTCTCTTCAGTTTTCTTCCTTATTGCACTCATCTCCTCCTCCCAACCTCACAACTCTGCTCCCTCCTGCTTTTGTGCTAGAGCTGTGTGTCTTTCAAAGACAACAGTTATTAGCAATTGGGTGATCTTTTTCTTTCTTTGTGATCAGTACCAGTATAATGACCAACAACATCATCTCATTTTGTTTCTAATATTTGGCTCATGAACTATTTTCAGCATAAGGGCTGATCAATGGCTTTAAATAATAATAATTTTTTACAACCTTCAGTATTTGGATGTTGGAATTTACCAAAAATTAGTATTATATGTAACCAAGAGAAACTATTAAATAATAATAAGAAAAATTTCCAAATTAACTGTAATACTATGGACCATGCTACCTGGCTTTCATATTACAAATAATATTTTTCTCTTTTGGGCTTCCTAATGCCAAATCTAAGGCTTTTCTTTCCTCATTACTTTATCTCTGTCTCTCACACACACATACTCCAATGCAGAGACCTACTTGAAGAATGATAGATTGAGGAGAAAAAATAACGACTGGAAACTATCTAGTTATGAAGCAAGAGAGGGACTAAGCAGGTGCATTACTCAGTTATGAATTATTTGGCAAAATATCTCTGAGAGAGATCACAATTCATTCTAAAATGTTTGCATAACTGCAGGCTGCTACATTACCTAAACTCACTATTTGCCATCATCTGCTTTCCCATGAATTTATTTTCTGTGCAATTTGTTTTGACAGAGTCTTACTGTTTAGAAATTCATTTTCTTTATTTTCATGGTTCTCTGAAGACTTCCATGATAATGATTGGTTCTATAATTAAGATATTATATACATAAATGTCTATGGAATGGGTGTGATGGGTTTAAAAACACTTTTTAATATCCAGCTTGCCTTGAAAGCAATTCTCTAGATGGATTTTTAAAAATATTCCAAGATATTTAAAGTACTTTGAAAGGCCACTGGGAGGAGAGACAAATAGAAAGAACTTATAAGTAATAAGTACATGCTTAGTAAAAATAAAACACCAGTTGGTAGAGTAAGTGCTGGATAGAGATTCATCTATTTAGCATTGTCTCTGCTTATGTAAAATGATCATCAATTGTAGTATACAGTTGGTCAAGAATCTTTACAATGGCTTACAATAAATATCTAAGCCACTTTAGAAACACAGGACTGGAGAAGAATATCATAACTAAGAGAAAAGCTCTGAAGTAAGAAATTTTTGATCATCTAAATATTAAAATATGACCCTACTGGTTATGTAATATCAGTTTTTTACTGCACACAGCTATATTTATGAGATAAAGTCTCTATTTAGATAAGTTTGGCCAAATAGATTAGACTTCAACAATCACAGTTTTGGGGAAACAGTAAAATAAATATTTCCAAATAACTTCTGTGTATTTTTCACTTGTCAGATTCTTTGTTGTATAATCAATGTTTTCCAAATCTAGCATCAGTGTAACCTGGGGAGATCTTAAAAATACAGATTCCCCATATGAGCCCTAACTCTACTGACTCTGAACCTTCAGGTGGGACCTGGACATATCTATTTTAATCTGTCTCCAGAGAGAATTCTTATGGAATGATCCAAATGCCAGTCCAAAGAGTTTAGGAATTAATGAGTGGACCCTGAAGAACATGTGCTCAAATGCTATCAAGAAAAATCAGATTGGCTTCTCTGTCCATACATGTATCCCCACCAACATAGGCACGTGCATGCACACACACACACACACACACACACACACACACGCACACATCATGCAAAATAAATAAATACATGTGATGGTTATGTATGCCTGAGAAGAGGGGAATTGAGCTAGAATACCCACGTTTGATCTGCTCCAATTACAGAAATAGCTGCACATAAATAGTCTGCCCTAAATGTGACTGACCTGCCAAGGCTCAGTTTACCTTTGCAGTTGAAGTCCTCAAAGGGCACTGTGCTTTGGCAAGTTTGCTTTGCATTTAGAGTCCCTGGACTTTGGGCAATATTAGGGTCCTTCTGTTCCAGGGATATTTCCAGGGCGTGGCTCTTCTCACAGCATTTCGACCTCCTTGTGTTGCTTACCTCCTAGCTCCTTTTTTTTTAGCACCATTCCAGAATCCTGGACTGAGAAACATGTGCTCTACTCAGGAACACATATGCTCTACTCAGGCTACCCATTTGTTCATAGCCTCACTGGGAAGCAATCTCTATGAATTCCACTTTAGCATGAACGTGAGGAAGAGCACGAGTGTGTGTTTTCAGTCTTTTCCAAATTACTTGGTTCCTTTTCCCGAGGAAGATTTAAGAAACAGACAGACTATGCAGTTCATGACTTCAATTTGACATTTTGATTTGGTGTAAACAGGAGAGAAAGGTGAACAAGAGAGTAACAAGCTGCAGTTAGCTTGGAGATCCTCCCCTCTTTGGTTTTCACTGGTCAAGCACCTTGTCTAATAGCTGGGGCTATCAGCCTCTGTGTTGCCTTTCCCTTCCAAACAGATAATATTCCAAACTTCACTGAGTTTTTGTCTCCAAGGCCTTTGTTCACTCTACTGAGGAAAAGGGTTAGAACAAATATCACTAATAATAAAATTTAGTTCCAAATCAATTCTGCTTTTCCTTAGATGCAAACATTTTAGTGGCAGCTTAATATAGTCCAACTTATTGAGAAAGAGATGCAATGAAGGACAGGCAATGAGGCATGTTTTCCAGGAAAAGGGCTGCTCCAGGTCACCCAGGCTGCTGTCTACAGATCAATGGACAGGCAGGAGGCAGGCAGTCTCTAGCCAGGGGATCGGCCTTGTGGAGGCAAGCCCATGAAGGCCTGCTCACAGTTGTCCTGCTGGCCATTAGAGGGAAACAGAGGCTCATTTGGCCCAGTTGAAAGTCAACTTGTAGATGGATCTCTGAAGTCTAATCGTATCACTTTGAATAGATCTGATATCTGCTTCCATCTCTGATTTCTAATTTTAGACATGTGGGAACATATTTAATTGGCAATATGTCACTTTCAGGACTCTTAAGTGCAAACGTAGCTGCTTTTGCATTCAATATTTATATGTTCTACCTGCAGACTTGCACCCTAATTTCTAGATGCTGGGGAAGGAACAGCCATTATGCTATAATTTATCAGGGGACTGGAGCTAAGTCACATGCCCTAGATTTTTCTCATGTCTTCTTATAAATGTAAACTGAGAGGGTCTCTGTTCTTCACAGTGGCTTAGCTAACATAGAAACAAAAGGTAAGTCTGTGCTACATGTGGATTGCTCTAAATCAGAAGCTGTTTCTAAATGTTCCTAAACTTTCATCTGAAAAAAGAAAATATTTAGTTGTTCATACGAGCTGTCTGTTGCTTATAAGTGGAAAGAAACCCACACCCCTGCTCTTCTAAATTTACTTTTAAAAATTTGTTCTGTCCTATTAGTATGTGTGCGTAGACATGGTATTACTGCATTTCAAAGTGTGCGTTCTGTGTATAAACTTGAATTTACACCGTGGGTGTTTATCTTTCCTGGTAAGCTGTGCAAAGAACTTCCCCATTTCTCAATCCACCAGTGTTTGAGTAATTCAGCCCTCCTTTCCGTTGGGTTTGTTAACAATCTATAGGTCAGATTCTATTCACCTCTCTGACGATCTCATGTGAAAGCACACATAACACTTTCTCTTCTCTGACCCACATCCTGGAAGTGGGCCACCCTCATCAGCTACTGGCATGTCCTCTCGCAGGATTCAGAATGCACTGGGCCCAGCCACGGATAAGCATTTAATTGCAGACTAACCATCTGTTTAATATAAACTACATCTGCCAGCAGCCTCTTGGCAGTCTGAGGAATGAATTTTCTAAAGGATAATGAGAATTGCGCATCAAATGGCAGCCGGGAAACGCTCTTCTTAAAGCTTTCCCACTTTGACACCCTCAGGTCTAGGCCAAGGCCATGCTAGGAAAATAACATCAGTGTTACTCGACTTCGTAATTCAAAGAGAGTTAAATATTCCCCAGAAACTTAAATCAAGCTGGTGTGGATTATTCAGGCATTTTTTTTTTCATACTAACTCAGGCTTTGAAGACAGTAAGCTAAACAAATGACCTAAGGGACAAGAGCCGACCAAATGTGGGAGTGATTTCCCCAGCAATAGTCTGATCATAATCTCATAGTCTGGAATCAGCATCATATTGCAAAAGGTTATCATATTGCAAAATACCTAGTTCTAGATCATAAGGTTGTTAAGGTCGAAAAAAATAGTAAACTGTAGGACAATGGGGGTTGACCATCCTTATTTCTTTTTTTAATTAATTTTAAAATTAATTAATTTTTTGGAGACAGAATCTCACTCTGTCACCCAGTCTGGAGTGCAGCGGCGTTATGTTGGCTCACTGCAACCTCCACCTTTTGGGTTCAAGCGAGTCTCCTGCCTCAGCCTCCCGAGTAGCTGGGATTACAGGCATGTGCCACCATGCCTGGCTATTTTTTGTATTTTTAGTAGAGACAGGGTCTTGCCCTGTTAGCCAGGCTGGTCTCGAAGTTCTGACCTCAGGTGATCCGCCCACCTCAGCCTCCCAAAGTGCTGGGATTACAGGTGTGAGCCACCATGCCTCGCTTACCATCCTTATTTCTTAATGGCATTTGGCAAATTGAGTCTTACCTGTTCTTAAAATCTTTTAGTGGGAGCTGCTGAGCCACAGTCCTGGTGGAGGTTCCAACCCAGGCCACCGTGTTTAGTACTATTCAGCCTCAGAATACAATGAGATCTAACTGGACCAGGGGTGAGTGTTGATGCTGGCAGCCCCAGGCTGGCCAGCATCTTTTGATCTGGTTGGTGTAGAAGATGAGCGGCCCTAATCAGCTGCTGCCGAAATTAGGAATCATTCTGCTTCTTTTATTCTAAGGTGCACATTTCCCTTGTGGTAATTATATACCTGAAATCAACATGTCACACAAGCTACATAGGCATTTAGTGTGACTGTATTATTCTCCCCCTACTAGGTCTTATTAAAACGATGGTACATTAGATCATCAATGACATATTTGAATGACAGTGGGAACTGAAGCCTACAGAGTAGGAGAAGTTCCTTGGGATAGTCAAGACCACCATGGAGAACAAGCCAAAAAATGAGCGAGAAGTTATGAGTAAACAGAGGAAGCCAGTCAGTGCTCAAAGGAGGATGAATATGCAGAGAGACATTGGGCACAGTGGCCTGAGAGGAAACAGAGGGGATAACATCAGGTCTCCAGAATCTTCTCAACAGCCTTGGCCTTGAGGTTCCTCAACAAGAATATGAAGAAGGGAAACTTAACTAAGTCTCTCTTACTTCTTAGCAAGATTCTGAGACTTAACATTCTCAAAAGACTTTTGGGATATTTGAGAATTCTAAGTTTCTATGCCTAGCCAAGCCTCTCATTATCCAAAGTAATTCAAAGCTGGTGGTTCTCAGAGTAGTCTGATTGATAATAAGAGCATAAAGTTGAGGTTCACACCTAGATTCAGTCCCAGCAAAAAACAGAAACCCAACATGAGAGAACAGTTTCCACCAGTGTGGTTGGCCAGTGCTGGCTAGGGTGGAAGATGGGCTTTTAGGTGATGTTAATATGTATGATGACAGAATCTTTTGGCCCAGAGTGAGCGGTTTGATAATTCCCTTCCTGTGATGAAACACTGTGGCTAACTCAGTGAGGTAATTCAAGTTGAATCGTACATTGATATTCACAAGTTTCTTTAGACAATGGCTTAAATTGTCTTTTGCTAATTACTATATTGCAGCATCATGTTTATTGCTTTAAAACATTTACCAAGAGGTGTTTTTATCTTATTTTTCTACTTGGATATTGTCTCTCATTAAAATATCTGTCTCATTCACCAATATATTTTAAGCATTAAGTGACACATAGTAATACTTAATATATATTTGTTAGGGAAATAATAGGAAAGATAAATGTAACTAGTTTATTGAACATGTTAGGCTTGGTAGGGAACAAACAGAAGTTAATTTTATGAATTAATATGTAAATTTTCTTGAACATAGTAAACAATGTGTTGACTAACCAAATAATAACTACTATTATTTCTCATTGCTGACGGCAACTACCCTCTCAACTTTCTTGTCTTCCTCACCAGATAAAACCTTGGACAAGTTCCTTGGATTTTCTGGTTACTCTTGTGTTGGCAAATGTCCAAGGCTGACTCTCATTGAATGTTTTTGTGGATTTTATAGAGACCCTGCCTCATCACTGGGGCTTTCTTGCCTGAAGTCCCGTTTAGTTAAGCAATGCCTCCTCTAAAGTATGCTTATAACCTGTTCTTCATTACTGGTTCCTGACCATGTCCTCCTCTATTGGGGTCACTTCAGCATGCAGGCAAGCTTCTTGGGCTCACTCTTAATATGACCCAGTTTGGCTCCCTTTTTTGGAATCCACATCTGGTACATGGAGAATATCAAAATAGGAGGGCAGGCTATTCCCATGACAGCCACTTCTATTACCATGCCAGAATAGCCACAGCCCCAGCCTCTCACTTTTAGATTCCCCCAAGTTGGAATTGGATGCAGGTACTATGTTCTCAAACTCCAAGGGGTGCATGTCAAGATCTACACCTGTTTCACTTCAAGCTTCTCTTCAGTTGACTTGAGATGAGGGATAACCCCTTTCTTCATCCTCCAGGAGAGACTTGACATCATAGAAGCTGTCCATGACATTCTTCTCCACTGATCTCTTCAACCTCTCTCATGTAGTTAAGAGGTGGGTGAGGGGCTAATGTTGACAGAACTGATATTAGAATCTTTCAGCTTGCTCTGCATAGGTATCCTAGCACCACACTCTAAGACCAGGGAGGTGGAGGGTGGTACCTGGCACTTTTTTTTTTTTTTTGTCATTATTGGCCTTCGTATCATCCAAAAAGCTCTGAAACCAAGAATTCTATTTTAACATCCTATTACCAGAATATAGGTAAAAATGACAACTCCGATAAAGTCTTATTACAAAGTTAGACTAATCCTAATTAATAAGGGATTATCAAATAACTTATTTGATAAATTCTAAACTGTTCTCTATTCCAAACCCCAACCCTAGGAGTGGCCATGATTTAAGAGGGTGGAAATCTAAGGTATAGAATTAGGATTTCTTTGCAAGTGAAATTCATAAAAGTCAATCAAATTTAAAGGATGAGATTTGCTCTCCTGTTTTGTAAATCATGAATGATGGAGATCTGAAAACTCAAATTGAAATGGTATGAATAAAGGCTGCTATAACTTATTGATGGTGGCCATTTGGATTATGTCATTCTTCACTTGGGCCACTCACCAATAATTACTCTAAAAGTTTGACTACCTAAGTACCTTTTTCTATTGAAAGAGAGGGAGAGAGGGAAAGAGAAAGAGAAGATAGTAAAAAAAGAGAGAAAGAGAGAGATAATGCTAACTTGGTAGTACTTTCTCCTTATAAATTAATAAATTGAAAATGTGGCTTTTAATACTCATGTGTCTCCCTAGGTTTAACAACACGAATTAAACTTGAGTATAAGATGGATTAACCCTGGCTTAGCCTAAAGAATATCAGCCAGGTGTGGTGGCTCATGCCTGTAATCCTAGCACTTTGGGAGGCCGAGGCAGGTGGATCACCTGAGGTCAGAAGTTCGAGACCAGCCTGACTAGCATGGTGAAACCCCGTCTCTACTAAAAATACAAAATTAGCCGGGTGTGGTGGCACATGCCTGTAATCCCAGCTACTTGGGAGACTGAGGCAGGAGAATCGCTTGAATCCGGGACACAGAGGTTGCAGTGAGCCAAGATTGTGCCATTGCGCTCCAGCCTGGGTGACAAGAGCAAAACTGTGAAACACACACATACACACCATATATATATATATATATATATATATATATATATATATATATATATATATATATATATGAGTTTTGTGGTATGTCTGATTAGGATGTGGGGTTGTTGGCTCTGAATTGGGTTTTGATTTATTTCGGCTAAAGTATCTACAAGAAATTCTGTGCACAGACATGGGAGGCAAGGGAGAGCTCTAAAATGGGTTTGGACTTATTTTGGCTAAAGTATCCACAAGAAATTCTGTGCACAGACATGGGAGGCAAGGGAGAGAAAACAGGGGGAAAGGGCTATTCTGGTACCACATAGTGCCCTGTGACCAGTTTTTGGGCACCCATCGAGAGCAATGGCCGAATGGAATACAGGCCTCTGCTATTGCTTTGAGCAGTGGGAAAAGCTCCCAAGGAGTGGCAGCATTCTTTGGAGGGTGTGGAGATGGTGGGGTCCGGAGGGCTCACTGGATGCACCCATTGCTCAGGTGAGTTGGGACAGCATGAGCCAAGGCCCTGTGGGAGTAGCATGGGCAGGGCCTGCTTGAACACACCTGAGACATGTGTGGGGAGCTCTGAAGTACCTGGAGGAGACTCCTCAAGTGGCCAAGGTCCTCCTGTTATACGTGGTCCTCCTGATATACATGGTCTTCCTGATATAAGTGAAGGCAGCAAGCCTACAGTCTTTGAGTAATAACACCAATGTAAATGTGTTTGTGCTCACAGGCTGGGGGCATTCAGGTTGTGTGAAACTCTGGACCCGCAATATAGAGGACCAGACCCTAACGTGGTGTCTATCTACTACTTGGCGAGCCCTTGCTTAAAAAATGTGTTGCCAGCTGGGCGCAGTGGCTCATGCCTGTAATCCCAGCACTTTGGGAGGCCGAGGCAGGCAGATCACGAGGTCAGGAGTTCGAGACCAGCCTGGCCTACATGGTGAAACTGCGTCTCTACTAAAAATATAAAAATTAGCCAGATGTGGTGGCGGATGCCTGTAATCCCAGCTACTCAGGAGGCTGAGGCAGGAGAACTGCTTGAACCCAGGAGGCGGAGGTTACAGTGAGCCCAGATCACACCACTGCACTCCAGCCTGGGTGACAGAGCAAGACTCCATCTTGGGGGAAAAAAAAAAATCTATTGCCCTCACTCTGATCTCAGCAAGGTCAAATTTGAAGAAAAATCAATTATCTGTTTTTTTTTTTAAAGAAAACCTATTTTGCATTCTTGAAAATCCTAGCTAAGGTCTCAATTGATCATTAATATTTGTTCTTGAATAGAAGTTTCAAAAGACAGAAGAGTCCTCAGATCACTAAAGCTATAAATGGCAGTGAAAGGGCAGCATCTCCACACTTTCCCTCAGAGGCTAACATATAAGAAATTCCCATATATGGGAGCCAGGAAGAAGGAGGAAGTTTGGGCAAACATCCAGGGCTGTCTGTGGAATAAGTAAGATGGGCTTTAGTAAATTCCCAGCACAGAGGTGCTGACGGCCACCTGACTGAGTCATGCACTGGTGCATCATCGAAGATAAACTGTTACAAAATGAATCAAAATTCTTAAGCCACTGAGGTAAAAGAGCAGTTTCTGAGCTAATACTCTGTCTAGGCAAGCTTTTAGTTTTTTCTTGGATGGATTCCACCCTCATCTGCCTGCTTTAGGTGGCAGACTACACAACTGTCGGCAGAGACTGGCACATTGAAGGGAGATCCTGGAAGGAGTCCCTGTGCTGGGGGAAGAGTTTCCCTCTCCCAGCTTGACTGGGAGGAATGGCAAATCCTTGCAACAGAGAAACGCCTTGCTGCCTGCTTTCCTCTGACAGCCTGCTTCCTGACCTAGGGGTTGGGCCCGCGGATGGCATGGGCATTGGCTAATCATCAATCTAATTGCAGAGTCCTGCCCCCAACAGGCTTGTTAAACTCTTCTGCTGCCAGGCTTTCCAAAGACACTTTTAAAAAATATATACAACGGCTTTTTTGAAGTATAATTCACATACCATAAAATTCACTCATTGGCAATTCATTGTTTTTTACTGTATTCACAAAGTTGTACGGCCATTACCCCAGTCAATTTTGGAACATTCTATCACCCCAAAAAGAAACCCCATGCCTGTTAAGCAGTCACTCCCATTTCTTTGAAATACCTTCAGCCCCTGACAACCATTAATCTACTTTCTGTCCTTATGGATTTGCCTATTCTGGATATTTTATCCAATGGAATCTTGCAATATGTGGCCTTTTGTGACTTGCTTCTTTCACCAGCATAATGCTTTCAAGGTTTATCCATGTTGTAGCACGTGTGGGTATTTTCATTCTTTGTTATGACTGAATAATTTCATTGTCTGAATATGGCACATTTTATCTCTTCATCAGTTGACAAGACATTGGGATTGTTTCCACTTTTTGGATATTATGAACAATGTGGCTGTGAGCGTTTGTGTCTACATTTTTATGTAGACGCATGCTTTCTTTTCTCTTGGCTATATACCTAGGAGTGGAATTGTTAGGTGATATGGTAACTTTGTGTTTCATCTTTTGAAGAATTGCCAGATGATTTTCCAAAGCAGCTGCACCACTTTATATTTCTACCAGCAGTGAATGAGAGTTAGATTTTTTCACATCATCACTAACATTTGTTACTAGCTGGCTTTCAGCTTATAGTCATTCTACCAGGTGTGAAGTGGTATCTTACTGTGGTTTTTGTTTGCATTTCCCTAATGGCTAATGATGTTAGGCATCCTCTTTTGTACTTATTGGTTATTTGTACATTAGAAAACTGTCCATACAGAACCTTCCAAAGATGCTCTTAAATCCATGAAAATGCTTCTGAGGGAGCTGGACCTTAGGCTTGGCCATGATAGGGAAGCGTCACGCAACAGATGCCAGGCGCAGGATCCAAAATTTATTTCTCATGGTTATGAAAGCTGGGGAGTTCAAGATCAAGGCCTATGGCAAGGCTGAAATGAGATGAGCAGAAGAATGTCCTGGGCTAGACTCCAGAGCCTGGGGAGTAATTTCTGGAATGCTGCAGTGGTCAGTTTTAGGTGTCACCTTGGCTAGGCTATAATCCCCACACTATGATCTGAATGTTTATGGGCCCCTCAAATTCACATGTTAAAATCTTCACCCCCAAGGTGATGGTATTAGGAGTGGGAACTTTGGGAGGTAACTAGGTCATGAGGGCTTTGACTAGGTCATAAGAGATTAGTGCCCTTATAAAAGAATCCCCAGAGACACCCTTCACCCCTTCCATCATGTGAGGTTGTATTGGAAAGATGGCCATCTAGGAAAGGGACCCTTACCAGACACCGAATCTGCCAGGGCCTTGATTTTGAACTTCCCAGCTTGTAGAACTGTGAAAAATAAATTTCTGTGACTTGTGACCTACCCAGCTTGTAGTATTTTGTTATAGCAGCCCGAATGGACTAAGATACCCCCGTGATTCAATCAAACACTAACTGAGGTGTGACTGTGAAGATATTTTGTACATGTGATTCACTTGAAAAATCATTTCAGAGAGAAGTAAAGGTTATCCTAAAGAACCTGGTGAGCCTGATCCCATCAGCTGGAAGACCTTGACACAGAGCCGAGGTTTCTCGGCGGAGGAACTCCTGCCTGTGTACTGAAGCTTCGGCTTCTGTTCAAGAGTTTCAGCTGCTGTTCGGACTGCCTGCCCTGTGGAATTAGCCAATTACATCAACGGGGAAGCCCCTTCCTTGCTTTATATTTATGTGAGAGATATATATGTACATACAGATGTTCTACTGGTTACTGAGGAGTTTCTGAGACATCTAAAAGGACTTATTTTCCTGGCATAGGAAGATGTAGGAAGCATGAGTGATGAAAAAGTACTCTCTGTAAGCAGGCCTAATCCTATAAAAGTATTGTGAAATTGGTTATACCTCCCTTTGATGTCCTCACCTCTCAGACCGCAGGTCCTCCTCTACCATCTCTACCTGCCTCTACCCTCCGGCCCTTTCTAGCAGCAATGGTTCTCAACCGGGGGCAGTTTTGCCACCCTGGAGACATCTGGCATTTCCTGGAGACATTTCTGGTTGCCCTGACTAGGTGAGGTGCCATTAGCATCTAGTGGGTAGAGGCCAGGGGTTCTGCTAAACATCCTACATGCACAAGACTGTCCCTACAACAAAATGTCAGTAACGCTGAGGTTGAGAAACCTTGCTGCACAGGTTTACCTGAATGTCTCCTGGCTCCTACTTTACCTAGGAATAGCTAAAAGAAACATCTCTAATGCCTCTAAGGGGTATCACCACTTTTTAAAAGACTGCAGAGGTCAGAAAGACTTCAAGTTTCCAAAAATTGAAACTATAAAATGGAGTTTCAGATCTTCTCAAGGGAGGTTATTTACTTAGAACGAAGTTTATCTATTGTTTAAAGGGGTAGACCAGGTGGTAGATCTGCATAGCTAGAAACTCATTCCCAGGAAGGCTGTTATACAAAGACACCTGTAATAGCTAAATCCCTTCCTGAGGAATGAATCTCTTGTTATTAAACATTAAAAGTGGTCTGCTTTATCTTCATTTATTCATGATAGAATATTAATGTAGCAAGGAATTGCAGAGGTTGTTAAATACATCTGCCAATTTATTTGAATGTAATATAATGTATACTATAAAATAACACAGGACCTGTGTTATTCCTTTTCGGTTGTCCCTGAGCCTCAGTTCCAGAGCTGGAACACTCACTGCCTTCTGAAACAACTTGCCCACTGCCCCACTAAAAACAACTCTGGTTGCTAGAAATTCTTAATATTGAAATGAAATCTTCTTTGACTATGAAATCTTTAACTGTGTTAAACTCATAACTCCTAACTTGAAATTATGACTTCTGAAGGTGGAATGATCAATTTATGCACATTGATTCACAAAGCGTTACGCGACTCCACAAAATGTTAAGGGTTAAGAATTTGCTCATGATCACTCTACTATTGGAGAAGTGTTTTTGGAACAGTTTTTTTTTTTTTTTTTAGATGAGGTTACTGAAGAAAGCAGGGTGTGGTGGTGGAGGATGTTGAAACTACAATGTCTTTGGGAAGCAGTCGGGGAAGGCACAAAGGCTGGGTGGCTTCTGGCAGGTTCCTAATGAGACTTTCCTTAATCTTTTCATATCTTCAAAATCTTGTTCCAGATATCTTGGCTTTGGCAAAGTGTGGTTTGCTCTTAAATTTTCAGCTCTCCTGGCTTTGAAAGGAAGCATTTTTTGTCGGGGAAGGAGATGTTTCTGATCCCCTTACACTTACATCATCAAAGCGTGTTTTTACTCTGCCTATTTGATGTCTGAGAGGCCTCATTAGGAGCTCACTTTATTAGCCCTGTTAAAAGAATTTCTTTCCTGTAGAAACAGGAAGTTACATTTTGTAGCGTGTAACCCCCTAAAGTCTCTAAAGGATCTAGACAAATTTGTAGTTCTAGTCTCAAAGGCTCCAAATCCAGACAAAATTCTTCCCTAATGTACTCCCCAGTGCTCTTAAGAAATCAGTTCACACCTGGGGGCCGGCATCTTGGCATGCCCACTTTATAGGCTCTGCCTTTCATGAGATCTGGAGAGTGATTCCGTTTGTGGTATTTATAATCTGTGCTGTTGGTAACCTTGATTTCTCTGTCACCTTTTAAAGGGCTCTAAAAAAAGATTGCATTTTAATAGGTCATTGGACCAACTCAATAACTTCCTGGCAGGTCTGGCTCCTTCTTCAGAAAGGAGAAATGTTGGGAAACCACAGACGTTGAAATCTTCATGCCTTTCCATTTATAAAATGGGAAAGATGGGGACTAGCCAACTTTTCAGAACCTAGGATCAAAGTGGTCAGCAATGCTAGGGATTCTTTTTCTTCCATTCATTTAGACCTGGTTCCCAGATACCTCATGTTCCCCTAGGTACCTAACAGGAACTGGGTCACCTTGACACCATGAGTATCCTCCTATATCCATCTATCTATCTATCTATCTATCTATCTATCTATTTATCTATCTATCTATCATCTAGCTACCTATCTATTTATTTTGAGATGGAGTCTCGCTCTGCCGCCCAGGCTGGAGTGCAGTGGTGCGATCTCAGTTCACTGCAACCTCCGCATCCCAGGTTCAAGCGATTCTCCCGCCTCAGCCTCCTGAGTAGCTGGGATTACAGGTGCACATCACCATGCCCAGCTAATTTTTGTATTTTTAGTAGAGACGGGGTTTCACCATGTTGGTCATGCTGGTCTCAAACTCATGACCTTGTGATCTACCCACCTCAGCCTCCCAAAGTGCTGGGATTGCAGGCATGAGCCACCGTGCCCAGCCCCTCCTGTATCTTTATCCACCTTCTGTGTGTGTGTTTTTTTTTTTCCTCCCTTAGGATCGCTCTTGTGGGGGTTTCCTCATTGTATCCGTAGCTCCACTCTCTAGCACATCATAGCTGGTAGCTGAATCACACAAATGCATATTTATGTGTGTATCTATATCTTTATGTACATTCACCAAACCTTCGGGTTACCACTCAAGATGAAAAAAATAAACTCCACCAGAATACACTTCAATATTTAAAAAGAAAATAACTAAAGCAGTTTATCTTCCCACCTTAACTCACCCAATAGCCCACATGTTTGCTTCACTTCCTGGCAGAGCATAAACTTGTCCTACAGTGCAATCTTTTGTTCTGAGTGGGTCAAAAATTCTTTCCACAGATAAACTTTCCGAATATTATTATGTCCCTTCCAGGGCATGATCATTTTATGAATAAACTGTGTAATGCTTTTGTTAGCTTCAACCAACAAAAATGGTTTTACCTATATTAGGTGATAATATAATCAGTTCCTGTTTTTCAACTCTTTTCCCAATTTTTCTTTCTTAGATTTATTTCTGTCTCCCACTACAAAAAGCTCCCAAAAGTAAAAATATGATTTTTGCTCCCCCTGCCAAAGCTTACAAATTTATAGGGACATTATGTGTCAATTTATGCCAAAAAGGAAAAAATAAAACATTAATATATCTGAGGCTCTCCTTCATATCTTCACTATACTAACATCTCTGTTTGTCCAATGGATACACATCCTTTTATGATGTTATAAAGCAATGAGGAGATGTCATTGTAGAAGATACTTATTGGTCTGTAGATAGTTGTTTGTATAAATCATCTTAGCAATCATTTATTAAATGGTCCTTATGTTTCCAGAGAAGAAAAATAAACAGAAACCAAAGCTTTATATATTGAGAATGCATTAATATATGGAGTTGATTTTCTGTGCTCCCTTTTCTAAAAGTTTCTGTTTCTTTGCTCCATGTAATGAGTTCAGACTTTTAATTAAAATGGTAGCAATCACCAAGTATTTGTAGTCTCATCAGCCATGATTGATCCTACACTAATATGGAGTCTCCTCCACCCACTCCCAGTGGTTAAAAAAAATCAGAAATCAAGCTATTTCCAACAATCTGGGCTTTGCTAGATAGTGAAGTTTCTCTCACATGATACAGTGGAAAAGAAATTTTCTGCATGAAAACAAAAGACCCTAATTCAGCACAAATGTTATTGTAAGTTCTGCTTTTTTATTTTATGGAGATTTAAACAATTTGATTATTTTTATTAAAATGAAGGAAAATGTCAAAATCTCCTCTCCATAAAAGCCCTAATAGTGTGACCACTAAAAGCCCTAATGCTTCTTCAGCATTTGATTTTCTAACTTAGGTTTGAGAGATGTTTAAGACCATTTTCTTTGTTTGTAAAATAGGAATAATAATTTATGCACTAGAATGACCTAGGTGGTTTGATCACTGGGCATCCCAGATTATACTAAAATGTGTGGTGCAGCTAATCAGTACTATGGAAGAATGAGCAGGGGCTGACATAGTAGTAGCCAAGAGGTTTCAAGGAGGGGGAGGTACCTGCGTATCACTGAAGAATGGTAAGATGTGACACCTACATGTTAGGGAGAAACATTCTGAAACCATAAAATAACAATCACCCATAGATGTAGAAGTGTTGAACGTACAACAGATTCCTTCACTAGGGGCAAAATTATTGTTTTGGTGAGAAACATTTTATATCTGAGAGAAACATTTTAAATTTGGTGAGAAACATTTAATATCTGGGAAGCTGAAATTAACTCTGCCTCTACTGGTTTCCTTGGAACATATCAAATATTTCTCCCCAAATTCCATCAGATCAAAGACTACATCAGATATTTCCTTTGAGGCCTGCTGAATTGATTGTTTTGTGTTTCTTTGTTTGTTTGTTTTTGTTTTTTGATATGGAGTCTTGCTCTCTTGCCAGGCTGGCATGCAGTATCTCGGCTCACTGTAAACTCCACCTCCTGGGTTTAAGTGATTGTGCTGCCTTAGCCTCCTGAGTAGCTGGGATTACAGGCATCCGCCACCACACCCAGCTAATTTTTGTATTTTTAGTAGAGACGGGTTTTCACCGTGTTGGCCAGGCTGGTCTCAATCTCTTGACCTCGTGATCCTCCTGCCTCGGCCTCCCACAGTGCTGGGATGACAGGCGTGAGCCACCACACCCAGCCTGAATTGATTTTTAATGGATTCTTATTGGAAAATCAAAGACAAAGATGACTTACAAAGTTGACTCATGGACAAGGCAAAATCCTTGTAGATTCTATTGTTTATAATAAATATGAGAACTACTGAATTCTTATATAGATAATCTGTATGTTATCTTAAAAAAAAAATAGAAGGCCTAGCTGTTTCCCAGGAAGAAAAAAGATTGAAAGAGAAATGAAGAAAAAGGACATTTTTGCTTCACCCCTTAGTCTGCATTCACTCACCTTGTTGAAAGTTATGTCGTCTGATATTCCTTGGCCCATTCATGGAAATCCTTATAAAGTTTGTTCGTTGGGAACAGAACTTAAGAGAAGTGGCAGGATTGAAATAAGTTGCTATTTCTCTTCTCATGTAGTCATCTGATTCTACCATGTATGAAATGCAAATTTTATGATAAGTACTTTCATCTTTGTTTATGTCTTACATCCTTAGAGCCTTGCTAGGACTTTATTCAGCAAAAAGGGCTTTGTATTAGATGAGACTAAGTATGATTAAATTGTATTGTTACTTGAGAGGAATCTGAAACAATTTCATATTTTTCACAATGCGCATCTTTCAAGGGCATGCAATAGGCCATCCATAAGAGCCCTTTCGACATGCTTGCTCCCCAGTGCAGCTTTTTTTAATGGGAGAAGCAACAGCAAACACCTAGATGTATTGTCAGTTTTATCCAAAGGAATTAAAATTTTGCTCCATTTGATGCTTAATATAGAATATAAAGTATGAAATTGGATGCTCAAACCTGCAGTACTGCTATTCTGAGACCCGAATTAAACCACAAGAGGAAATTCTCAAGTCCTTTTCCCAACCCAAGTCCCTTTCCCAACTGATGCTAATTGGTTTTCATTTTCCATGGTTCATAGAGGAAGCAATTTAATAGGCTAAGGGGTAACTTAAATGTCCCATGGAAATCCATGTTGCATTTGAACCCATGAGCTAAGATTCTGGCTCTTCTGAACATTGCCTCACTGGAAAGATTGTTGTTGTTGTTGTTTTTAATTTTCTTTTCTTATTTTACCTTTTTCAGACATCTTCTGTAACCAGAAGCACTCCAAGAACAACACTTTCATTCATGGACTTAACAACTACATTAGATCATACCAGCCTGTCACTTCAAAGTCACCAGTGTCAAGGTAAAGAAACTATCTGCCAGTTGCAGTTGAAATCCATCAGCTTATGGAATTCTAATGCCAAATTCACTCTATTTATTTTGTCTAGAATATCACAAGCTACTTATTTAAGTCCTACTGTTTCTTCAAAGCCCACATCAAGTCTCACCTTCTCCCAGTCTTTATTCCAGCCCAGCAACCTTTGATGTTTCTCTTAAACTTATTATTTTATTATACTATATTATTACACTGACACATAGACTACTGTATATTTGTTAAATATTTTAATATATGTTCCTTATTTCTCATTATTTCTAAAATATTCATTGACTGTAAATTGATCACTATCTCTATCTCATGGACCTCATAGTCTGGTGAGACTTGCAGGTCAGAAATGACCAATGCAAGGAAGGGAGGTAAGGGCTTGTGTAGGGAGCTGTGGTAACCCAGGAGAGGGGCATTCACAATGGAATGGGGAAGTGAAGCCTTCTGGGAGACATCAAGAGTCTGGAAGAAACAGGAGGGAGCCAAATAAACATGGGAAGGAGGAAGGGCATTTCAAAAGCTAGAACAGAACTAACAGGGGCCTGGAGATGTTTGAAAGTCCAGTGCACATTCAGAGAATGGAAGGCTGTTTGATATGACCACAGTCCAATTAGAAGATGGGGAAATAGTGGGACATGAAGATGGCCAAGCCATTCTAAGTGGTTTGAACCTTTGGGTAATTGAGAGCCCTTGAAGGATTCTAAGCAGGGAAATATTCTATCATAGTTAGATTTTAGAAATACGGTGACAATTGCAGCGTTATGGGATGGTTTAGAGAGCGGTTAGATTGATGGAAAACCACGCCAAGCAGGTAAGACAAAGTTGCTAAGGACCTGATCTAGGAAGATGGTGGATTCAGGGCAGTTTCAAATAATAAAACAAACAGGGCTTGCTAAGACATTGGCAATAAGCAGGAAGTGGGGGATAGGGGTTCTCGGATGACTCAGGTTTTTGACTTTTGTAATTTGTCATTGGATCAAAAGTGATGCATGAAAATATATAGGAAATAAAGGATGAGGGGTAGAAGGAAAAGTAAAGGAGAATAATAAAGAATAGAAAGGGAGTTTAAAAATGAGTTTTAAGTATGTATTTTTGACATCAGTTGTTGATATCTAATAAGACATTAAAAGTCACTCTAAAGAGAGAGGTCTGATTGTAGCTTTATGTGTGTGAACTGAGAAGTGGAGTTTAAAACTATGAGATTGGATAAGATTACCAAGGGAATGTACAGTGAGAAAATCCAAGGACAGAATTCTGAGGAGTGCCATCATTTAAGCTGTGGGTAGAGGAAAAGGAATGGCAGAAGAAAGTGAGGGGTGGCTAGAAAGGTAGGTGGGAAGTTGGATGAAAGCAGGGTCCCAAAATCCAGAGGAAGGAGACTCCAACCAGATGATTGTGTTAGTTTCCCAGGGCTGCCGTAAGTTATCACAGACTTAAAAACCACAGAAATTTATTCTTTAAGAATTCTGGAGACTTGAAGTTCAAAATCAAGTTATGGGCGGGGTCAGCCTCCCTCTACAGGCTCTAGGAAAGACTCCTTCCTTGTCTTTTCCTAGCTTTGCTGGTGGCCTCCGGGAACCCTTGGTGCTTCTTACAGCTGCATCTCTACAATCTTTGTCTCTGTTTTCACATGGCCTTATTCTGTGCATGGGCTCTACTTTTTTTTTTTTTTTTTTTTTTTTTTTTTACAAAGATAGCAGTCTTTGGTCTTAGGATCTACCTTAATTCCAGTAGGATCTCATCTTCATCCTTAATTGATTATCTCTACAAATACCTTATTTCCAAATAAGGTCACATTCTGAGTTTCCAGGTGGATATGAATCTTGTGGGGACGCTATTCAACCCTCTTTGAGAGTTAAGGATTATATCTTATGTCCTTCATAGACCTGTAAGATCTTTCAGCCTCATCAGAAACCATGACATTTCTCTGGGAATTTCTTAGACCTATCAAAGAGAAAATGAATTTATTGAGGGGGGGCAGGGGCTCTAAAGGAGACAGCAGAGTCAAAGCGTATCCTTTACCAGTTTTATTCCCTAGGACACATTCAGATGCTCCCCCTTTCTGTACTCCATGGGATATGCATTGAACAGTTGTCCTAATATGTTGCTAAGACCTCCCACACTAATGGAAGTAGGCCCAAGAAGGCAAATCAGACGTTGGCCCTTGCAGACTGATTTAGCAAGACAGAGTCAAGAGAATTGTATGGTTTTTGACTTGGGGCCCTAGTGTTCAGATTCCCAAATGATTTCTTCTGAGATTTGGTATCTAGATTATCCTTTTAAAGTAAGTTGCTTTGTGGTTTGCCTTCTGATTATTACATCTGTATATCTATCACTGATTCAGCCAAAACACAGAAGTTATTTCCCAGTAATATTAAAGTAAGGTCGAATGTATAACTGCCTATACAATCAAAGATGAACTGGTCTCTGAACTGGTAACTCATAAAAGACAAATTCCGCAGTACATAGGTAAACATGCACATCCAATCCCAAGTCAAAAAGTGAAGACTTTAAAACTGCCTATATTCTTCAGTTAGGTACCAGGTCAGGATTTGGTTTGTAACACATATTAGAAGAAAAGAGAATGAAGAAACTGAACAGTTACATTTTAGCAGAAAGAGCAGAAAAGTGACAGATTTTGCCACTTAGAAAATATTCAGACTGAGAATCTTTCTTTACCAGCTCGTTTGCCACTATCCAATTAAAATCCAACACCAAATAGCAGTAGAATAGATCCTAAACCATGATTAAAATCAAGCCATGCTTTCTATGCATCTGCTCTTCATTAGGTGGGCAAAGAGCAATGGTGACCAAAGTATGTGGGCAAACATGAATTTCATGGCTATTGCTCATGTCTGGGCTGGACCTTAAAGACAGCATTGACTCGATGGTACTGTTACAAAGTTTTTCATGATGTTTCATCTAAAGGGAGTTTACCTGACAAAGGATCATCATCAATATTGTCACTTAACCTCTCCATCCCACCCTTCTCTTGAAAAAAAGTTGCATTGATGTTGTTTATTATAAATAGAGTGGAAAAGCCCATTATAGACCAAACAAAAATGAATTTAGCTATTAAATTCCCAGAGGGAATCATTACATGTCAGTTTCAAAGGCAACACAGCTTTAGCAAATGTAGACTGCACTATATGAACAAAATTATGACACGTATTTAACTACACTATTTAGAACAGAGATTTCAAAGTTTGGCAAGTAATCTCCCCCTCCCCATACTCAGACACTGCTGACAGCACTTTTCCTAACGAGCATGACATAGGCTCATAATACTTAGGGTAGCAGCCACAGAAAGTCAGAGCTGACATGTTAAATGTGCCATTCCTACTATAGGAACTTAGGTAAGATTGACCCTATTCATGGGGAGAACAGAGTGTTTACAATAGTGTTGTCAGTACTAGGGAAGACACCATGATCCAAACCTTCATTTCCCTTACCTGCCACCGGAATGAAATTCGGTAACCAGGGACGCAGTGTTTTAGATACAGCAGTGCCATTGGATGCTGTTATCCATTATCTTCCTAGCAAATTTGACTTGTCACAGCACTGCTGGTTGAGAACACATAGAGACCCAAGGGATGAGTTACCCAGGGTAATGAAGTTCAGATAATTCTGAAAGGAAAGAAATCCAAAGATAGGCACTGTTTGTGCAGGGCAGAAACAGCCAGGGTGCCGTGCAGTGTGGTTCCATGTACAAGACAAGAGCCTGAGACAAGAAGGACCCATGAGAAGAAGGTGGAATGTTATGCCTTCCAGTGAAACAAATCTTCAGTCAAACCTGCTGTTGAGCTTTTAGTTGATGACAAGTCAGTTTATATGAAAATGAGTTGTTTGCCTAATTGTGTGGGCAACATGTTAGCATAACCTGACAGTGTCTCTGAACCTCTGAGGGATCTGCTTAGTGCAAACCAGCAGTTCACACACAGCTAATAATATTTAAAATATAATATCTGGTACCAGCTGCCATCTGTCAGTTAAACTTCAGAACACACATACCATAGGGATGAAGATAAGAAAGGAATGATTGTGACTCTGGATCAAAATGCTCCCAGTTCCTGAAGGTGCATGATTTAACTGTGAATGCCAACTGAGATCCTAACATCCTATACAACCAAAGATGAACTAGTCTCTGAACTGGTAACTCATAAAAGACAAATCCCACAGTACATAGGTAAACATGCAGATCCAATCCAGTTATGTACTATATCAGGATTTGGTTTGTTAAATGTCATGCTATAGAATTGTCTCTTTTATGGAATCATTCATATATAATGAATAAAGGAGTTAGTTTTTAAATCAATCATGGAATACCATGACATGGTAGTTCCCACTTATGATTCAGAAACACCCAACCATTTGAAAAGATGTTCCAGGAGATTTGCCTTTTTAATAATGGCACCACTTTCGATTTTTATATCAATAAATAATATAATTATTTTGGCATTTTTTAATATTGTAGCTTAGGAGGTCTGACTGTGTATTGTGTATGGGCAATAGTCAATAGTGATCAGGAAAGAGAGCTTTATAACTCATTCACAGCTCAAACTGTTTATTGCTTTTCTCAGCCTATTAGCCCTCGATGGTTTTAAACGTTATGACTGTTAGTCATAAAGCATGAGTAAATACAGGAAAGCAAGTGGAATTATGATGTTCAAATATAGTTAATGAATAAAGTGGAAAAATGCTAACTATGAACATCTATACACATTTCTATTCACCAAGGTTGTAGTTTTTATTTCTCTGCCAAAAAGAAATCCTTATATAGCACATCTGGAATTTCAAAATAAAATGCTGGATAAAAAACAATTACAGCAATAATGAAAAACATTGATTTCTTATTAGCAATAAAGACTATCTGTTCCTGTACCAATTAGTTACTAAGAATTACCTACCAATGTCATCTTGAAATCTTGAAAGGCCTTTATCTTAACATTTGAAAGGAAAATTATATGTATGTAAGTATGTATGTATGTGTGTGTGTTTATGTGTTCTCTTAACATTTGAAAGGAAGATTGTATGAGTACGTACATATATAAACACACGTATCTATCTATCTGTCTATCTATATATCAATTGGATTTTCAAAGTGTAAAATGCAAACAATTTAAAGAAGAAACACGAAATTATTTCCCCCAATTTTGATCTTTTAACACATTGTTAAATTTCAATATATATTTACATGTACTTTCACCCTAAATTCAAATAAACTATTATATGTCATTTGTAAAAAATATAATCTCAAATCACATTTTATATTACAAAATGTATTTAAAGAATATGTATTACTCGTTAATTTAAAAATCTACATATTATCTCTATCACTAAGCAGTTATTAAAATGAGATTTATAATACAACAGTTTGCTAACTATAAAAATAAAATGTTTACTTAAAATTACATCACGTACCACACAAAAATAACAAACTAATTTTTTAGATTCTTTAGATTATTTTCATTATTATATGTTAGTAGTAGAGGAATTTCCAACTCAGATCATTTGGAAACACCATCACAGATTATGTATATAGAGAAAAAAATAAAATATTTCATGGAGTAATAGTTGCCCTAAATGACAATGAAAACATTTTCTATTAACACCAATTCACTCGAGGAGCATTTACTGATTCTATTAGGGTGCACTAAAATATTTGAAGAAGAATAAATAATACATGATCAACCATTCAACATTCACAAAACATCTATTTTTGTGATAATCATTCTGTTGGGCTCTGAAGGTATAATATTGAAAAAGGTGGACAACATGCTCACTTTCATTAGATGTATAATTCAGCAAGAGAGACAAATCAACAAAAAATTAAAAATTGTGAAGAAAGCTATGAAAGAAACTAAATTCATAATAATATAAATATAGTTTCTTAATGTTCTGCATTAGGACTGACCTTCGACATACCATGGAAGGTTTAACTATACTTATGGATAGCACACTGGTAGTTCTGATTTGGGCAATATAAATGGTAAAGGTACAGATAATGAAGGTTGTAAAATGAAAGAGAGAGGAGAGGTGAGACGAAATGAAGACAGCTAATTTTTCATTCAACAAAATCATGGTTCAGAGACATTTGTAGCTACACTGCCCAATGCAGCTACTATTAGCCACATGTGGCTACTTAAATTTAAATTAATTAAAATTAAGTACAATTTCAAATTCTATTTTTCCTAAGTCACACTAGCCAGATTCCAAGTGCTAAATATTCACCTGGAGGTAGGAGCTACCATATTGAAAAGAGGGGATACGCACATTTCCATTATTACAGAGAGTTCTACTGGACAGTGCTGGCCTACAGTGAACAGATAAAGCAGCAAGGATTGAAGAATGCCGTTTGGTGGAAGTGGGATTAGTGATGTAACTGGAATGACAGAAGAGGAGACAGGAAGGTGGCTCAACCATCAGTCAAGGCAAAATGTCAATAGAGAAATGATAATGCTCAGTTGAATTATGTTTTTATAAAGCACTATATTTAGAGTCATTGAAATAACCACCATAAGCATTAAAGATAGAAATTGTTTCTGTAGAGAAGTCTTTAGGGGAGAGGTGCAGTGGGGCTAGGGAATACTGCCTTTCATTGTATATCTCTCATTACCGTTTCATTTTTAATCATCTGCATATATCACTGCATTTAAATACATTTTTGAATTTTTGTAAAAAAATTTAAAAATATTTGAGAAAATAAATTGACTTAAGTAGGCAGACTATTTCTGGGGATTTTGTAGTAGTTCATGGGAGAAATAATGGTTTTTCTCTACAGTCAGTAGACAGCCAAATGATCAGTTCAAACAAAGTAGGTGGGAGGACAGTAATGAAAGGGGAGAAAGAATAGGAACAGGATTTTTATGGAGCAAAGGGCTTTGATGTAGCCACAGGTTGATAAATAAATTAAATTCAAGGTATTGTCCTACTTGTGTCTAACAATGATTTGAGGAAAAGATGTGTGGTCTTTCTCAGGGCCTTAATTTCAGCCCAAGGAATAGAAAGCTGTTCAGGGGAAGTCCTCGTCTGACCCATACCCTACCCCTGGTGCACACACTTACCCAGCTAAGGAGTAGGACATGACAGACACAGCTGGAGAGTGTGCAACCTCACCAGAGAGTTCTTAGAAAGGACAAGTTAAACAGTCCCATTTGTATGCTAGAGGAATAAACAGTGATGTTCCTATGCAGTGTTCCAGTTTCTTCAAAGACATGCAATTAGGAACAAGCAGTAAATATTACATTATCATGTTAAGTTCCATTTGGCAGGCTCCAGAGATAATAGGGTCCCCCAGAGTACAGGTACGAATGGAACTCAATGTCCTAGAGAAAAATATTAAATGCACAAGTTATCAGATCACTTTTATGGCCAGCTTCATACTTACTGCTCTACTTGTTTCCTACTGGCTGTGTTTCCCTTTCCTGCTTATTCTTTGTAATTTCCTCAAAACAATATTTAGATAGGTGAGGAAGGTAGCGTGTAGCCTTTAAGGAAGGCAGGGGAATAAAGCAATTAATGAAATGCTAGATTTTTTTTTTCAGAAAAATTAAACATTATGAACTCGTAGCCAAATTTTCTACAGTAAATTAGAAACATAATGCATCTCCTCCACTCGAAACACACAATAATAATATATAAATAGCCAACAAAAACAATATAAATAAACTGAGAAACAAGAGAGGACTCTGGGGACCAGAAACAGAACTGAAACCTAAAATCCATGTGTAAGGCTGAAGTCTCAGATGTGCTGGGCTCTGAGTCTGCAGTGAGTGATGATAGTAGGACCTTAGCTCCTGCAGGATACACAAGATTAAAACTGCTTCATGCAGGTCAGGGAAACACTACCCTTGAAGGTGCTTGAAGTCATTCTGTACTCAGAAGATGGAAGTAATACTAGACCAGCATGAGTCTGCAGCTTTGAGCAAGCTACAGGCCTATCATTGCTGGAAGACAAGAGCAGAGCGTAACAAACCAGACAGTGATTAGTAAATGGGACACCGAATCCCACTGCTTAGTGACTGGATCTGTGATATCATCATAATCCACACAATGGAGATGGTCTCACAACGGCCCCAAAATGCCATTATGGCAAACCCACATAATGAGTGGAAATAACTGCACAATCTCTAACCAGGGATAGTAATATCCTCAATACTAACTTATTGTCTTTATCTAGTCTAGAGTTTAACTAGAAGGCAGAAAGTAAAAAGACACATACAAAATGTCCTCCCCAAATTACACAAACAGCAAAATTCCAAAATACATTAAAACATCTAATGTTAAGAAAAACAAACAAATGTAACCATAAGAATATTTCATTTCGGGTGAAATTAATTTTGTGTAGCAGTTTGACAAAGACTTTAACACACAGAGTACTCTGAGAATTAGGTGAAAGAAATATTTTAAGATGATCAAAAGTTTATGAATCAAACAGAGAAATTTAAGAAGAAGAGATGAATATAGGAAGATCTAATTAGAAATCGGGATGAAATAGTATGAAATAGTATATAGTTATTGACTTAAAAGTACTTGATAAGTTGGTTAAACTCTACGTTGCATACATAAGAGTAAGTTATATTGAAGACATCACTAACAGTGAAGATGAGGAAACAAAAAGATGAAGAATAGGAAGAAGGAATAAAGAGGAAACAAGGGTGGATGAAGAGGCTACAGCATACATCTAATAGGAATTCCAGAAGAAAATAATAAAATAAACGGAGGGAAGTAACACCCAAAGAGATAGTAGCTTCAATTTTTCTATAATTAAAGAGAATTAAAAAATGTTAACCTTCATAGCAAAAGTACACGTTAAGTACCAATATCAATAAAAATAAATCCACATCAAGGTACATTCTTGTGAAACTATAGGAAAGCAGTGGCAGGGAGAATTCTTTAAAAGTTGCCAGACAGGAAAAGACAGATTACTAATAAAGGGATAACCTTCACACATGAGACAGGTTTTTTACTGGCAATGATAGATGCCAAAATACAGTAAGATAATAGCTCCAAAGTGCAGAAGAAAAATAACTGGCAATGTAGAATTGTATATACAAATGAACTATCATTAAAGAGCAAAGGCTAAATAATGGCATAAAATAAAAACATACTATGTATACAAATGCTGGGTCCATCCTGCAGACTCTGGTCGAGTGATGGATGAAAGGAGTACGCAGACACAGGTATTTTACCTGACAGTGTGGCTAGGGGACTGCACCACTTAGCACCACTGATGAGAGTGCAGCCACAATAAGCCTGAGCCGTTATTTATTTATTTAGTACAGATTTAATGACAAAGGCTTGGAGCAAACACAATTTGTGGGCAATTAACATTGTCGACCCCCTGAGTAGACAGCAGTCCTGCATGCGAATGATCAAAGGTTGGTTTCCGGAGACATAACTAAATCAATTTATTTAGATAAGTTTCTTTACATTCCCTTGTTATCTACCCTTTGCCCTTAAGAGAATTTAACTGCCTTCAGCTAAATTCTCTTTCCAAGCTTTTGCAAAACCTCCCAGCCTTCCAAGAAGGTTTTTGTCTTTCCCTATAATTTTTCCCACCACCCTGACCAATCTCCTACATACAAACACAATAACTTACCATCCATAGCCCTCACTAAAAGTACTATTAAAAGATAAAGTTAAGCCAGAAGGAATGTGAAACCAGGGAAACCACATGATAAAAAACAATAGGCAGAAATTGATAAAACAAGTAATTCTAATTAACACACTGTTGCTAAAAAGTAAATTTTTGTAATATGAAGAGAAAAGCTAAAATGTGTTGCTGCAGGGAGGGACATTTAGTTTTAAATATGTAGTTTTAGTATGTAAAGCTCTCTATTGTGATTAGTAGAAAAAGACAAAGGCTGATTAATTGTAGGCCTTGTTGCACAAATTTATATTGAAGCAAATCTGTTTAAATATTTAAAAGTAACTACTAAAATAATGGAAAACAATTTCATTGCATTGAAAACAATTTCAAATTGCACTGAGAAAATGCTGCTACTTTTCACCTGTTGGTTTGGAGGCAATGGAATTTTTATCTATTATTTTAGCGATTGGAAATATACACAATGTAAATAAGTGAACAACATGCAAAATGGAGACAAAAGAGGCAAATAAAAAAGGCATCTAAAAGTGTAATATGATGGGATAAATAATTGCAAATATATTAAAAATCCAATAAATAAAAGTGGGTAAATCTCAATATTATAAGAAAATAAAAGATCAGATTGAATTTCCAGCTACATTCTGTTTACAAAACAACATAGAAAGAGCAAAATAAATACATAAATTAAAAAAACATGGTCTCATGAACAGCCCACAGTGAGTGTTTCATCAGTGGCAGCACTTCTTTCAATGGTGATTCAGGAACCTAAGCTTTTTTTTATCTTGAGTCTCCTTCATCTTCAATACATTACTCCCAATTTCATTTTGCTTTGGTTCACCAAGTGAGTAGGAAAGAAAGAATGGATAATTGGGCATTAGAATATTTTTGTGTGTGGACCTGGAAGTCTCATGCATTACTGTCAGTCACATTCCATTGGCTAGAACTCACTTAAGAGCCCTAAGTCAATGACATTAGAAAGGAAGCTATTAAGAAAGGTAGCCTACTGGATGCCTAGCAAATAGAGGAAAGGGAAACACTCTGTTTTTCTATTCTCAATATTTCACATCTGACACCCAAGTGTCTGGGTTTTTCTCTCCCATTAAGCAATTCCTCAATTCTCTGTCATACCAACTGGGTGTCCTACAATCTAATTCAATTCATTCTAACGCTGTCCACCTGGAGTTAGCATCAGCTCCATCACAAGTTAGAAAGCTCAGTCCCACACAGCTGCCCACCGCTTCAGATGCCAGTTGTAAGTCCTAGGTTGTAACCTGTATTTTTGACCAACTGGCTATAAATCAGGGCTTCCTACAACCCCCTCCTTGGGTTTGGTAATTTGCTAGATTGTCTCACAAAAGTTAGGGAAGTTACTTTACTTGCATTTACCTTTCTAAGGCTTCCTTTCTAATGTTTTATTATAAAAGATAAAACTCAAGAACAGCCAGATGGAAGAGATGCCTAGGGCAAAGTATTGGCAAGGGGGTTACATGCCCTCTCTGGGGTGCCACACTTCCAGCAACCTGGAACCCCTTCCATTAGGGTTTTTACTGTAGGCTTCATGACATAGGAATGATTTGTTAAATCATTGGCCAATGGTGATTAACTCGGCCTCCAGTTTCTCTCTTCCCTGGAGGTCCGGGGGTGGGGCTGAAAGTTGCAGCCCTCTGATCGCATGGGTGATGTTACACTGGCAACCAGCCCCTCATCCTTAGGAGCTTTCTAAAAGTTACTTCACTAATATAAACTCAGATGTGGTTGAAAGGAACTTGTTATGAGTAACAAAAGATGCTCCTGTCACCGTTATAGCTCCAAAGCTATTTCAGGAGCTGAAGAGTTTGTTATGATTATTGTGGGAATGGTTGACTAAGCCAAAAATTGGTAAAAGAGGTAGGGCATAAGCATTGGGAACTGGTAGTTAGAAAACTGCTATATGATGCTGATAAATGGCAACCTGTGTTACAGAGTGGAAAATATTTAATGAAAGTATTGTTTGCTATTAACATAATGAACTTCAAGGTTTTAAGGCAGAATATTGCAGTGGTAAGCTGACTGCTGCCAGCTGCCTTTAACGAGATATTAGAAGAGAGCTGAAAATTAATTGGCTGAGGTGCAAACTGAATTTATGAAGGATTGAGTGACTCAAAAAAGCACTTGAAATGTTGGAATGGGAAACAATTTTCAAGTCAATGGTGTGACCATTATGACATAGACTCAAGGAAAAGACCAAACCCAGGACACTATCAGTAAGACATGGCCTCAAGGTAAAGGACATACTAAGATTTTGGCTACTAAAATCCCTTGTGATGACTTCTGAAAAAAGTTCTGCTCTGCCAAAGTGTTCCTAGAAAGATTAAGGGTATGTCCCACAGAAGCTTGATATGCCCAAACTCTCTGTAATTAGGTCTCAAGAGAAGGTGCAAGTCTAAATAGTATTGTGGATGTAGCTTTTAGCCCATGGGATTGAAGAGAATAAAACAAAATAGTATGAGATATTTATCCTGACAAAAGTGTCATCCTTCAGCCTGAGTAAAAGGAGACTAATAGTAACTAAGATGAAAAAAAAAAAAGTACTCCTAGACCTCAACTTTCTGCAGGCAGGAAGTAGACTGATAAAACTGCTAAGTTGCTAAGAATGAAATATACTCAATGCCTTCTTCAGAAGTGATTTAAAAAGATGGAAAAAAAAGAGAGGGCACAACCAAGCACCACAGGGAAAATATGGGCTGGAGAGCCATTCCAGTTTCAAACTAGAACCTAGTGAAGATATATTCCCTAGCCTCAAAAAAAAAAAAAAAAAAAAAAAAAAGTACTTGGCCATATTTGTTCAGTAGTATTCAAAATCGCTATAAGCCAGTGGCTGCTATGTGTTATTTTCTTTTTGTGAATGGGAGAGTTCATTGCAGTTATTCTTCCCATGTTTCATCATTGCTGGGTGTGTGGGAGGCAGATAACTTGTCTTTTTAGTTCTGGAGTTGCATCCAGACCCAACATCGATAATTAGGTTCTTGCTTTAGAGCCTAATGCTTTGAATGAGTCTTTTGCGGGTATAATAGAAAGGGATTGAGTGAACTTTGTATAAAATGTTATTGTAACTAAGAGCATAGCCTGTGGTAAATTTCATTATTGGTCCCAATATTTCACCCCTCCCTGCAACCACACCCATTGCTAATAGGACACTGCAGTTCTTCCTACTAGAGGCAGCACATATTTCCCTATTCCACTGATTCTGAGCTCGTCCATGTGTCCTGTTTTGGCCATTAGAATGTCAGCAGATGTCACATAATCAAGACTTGAAGTGTTCTAATGAGTTTGGACTTGCTCGCTTTCATTTATGCCTTTGTCCTGGGTAGCCTACTGCTGCCAGAATTATGGCAAATGTGTGAAGCCAACTTCACACAAAGTCTGTATCCAAACTCAGCTGAGCACAGCCAACATCAGCCAAGCTCTAGTCAAACCAAAGGTGTTTAAAATATAAATAATTCTTTTTCGTTACAACTCACTGATGTTGTGGATTGTCTTAAGCAATATTACTGTGACAATACTTCATTAAAAGACTTTATTTTTTCCTACACAGAAAAATTAATGCTAGACAGTTTATTTTTATTTCAACAGTTTTTGGGGAACAGGTGGTTTTTAGTTCCATGGATAAGTTCTTTAGTGGTGATTTCTGAGATGTTGGTGCACCTGTCACCCAAGCAGTATACACTATAACCAATGTGTAGTCTTTTATTCCTCACCCCTCTCCCACCCTTCCCCCTGAGTACCCGAAGTCCATTGTATCATTCTTAGGCCTTTGCATCCTCATAGCTTAGCTCCCACTTGCAAGTAAAAACATAAAATATTTGGTTTTCCATCCCTGAGTTACTTTCCTTAGAAAAATGGTCTCCAACTCCATCTAGATTGCTGCAGATGCCATTATTTCATTCCCTTTTATGCTGAGTAGTATTCAATGGTGTATAGATACCACATTTTCTTTATCCACTCATTGGTTGATGGGCATTCAGGTTGGTTCCATAGTTTTGCAATTGTGAAATGTGCTGCTATAAACATGCGTGTGCAAGTGTTTTTTTCATATAATGACTTCTTTCCCTTAGGTAGATACTCAGTAGTGGGATTGCTGGATCCAATGGTAGTTCTACTTTTAGTTGTTTAAGGAACTCCATACTGTTTTCCATAATGGCTGTACTAGTTTACATTCCCACCAGCGCATAAAAGTGTTCCCTTTTCATCACATCCATGCCAACATCTATTACTTTTTAATTTTTAAATTATGACCATTCTTGCAGGAGTAAGGTGGTATCTCATTGTGGTTTTAATTTGCATTTCCCTGATAATTACTGATGTTGGGCACATTTTCATATGTTTGTTGGCCATTTGTATATCTTCTTTTGAGAATTGTCTATTCATGTCCTTTGCCCACTTTTTGATGGGGTTGTTTTTTTTTTCTTGCTGATTTGAGTTTCTGGTAGATTCTGGATATTAGTCCTTCGTCAGGTTCATAATTTGTTAATATTTTCTCCCACTCTGTGGTTTGTCTGTTTACTCTGCTGATTATTTCTGTTGCTCTGCAGAAGGTAGACAGTTTAAAGATGTAAATATGGAACAAAAATTTTTAATATATATGAATAAAAATAGAGAAAAACATTTTTAAGAATTTCTGAAATAAACCAAAAGCACAAAGCATAAAAATGATTAATTTTCCTACATTTAACTTTAACACTTTAACAAAAGACATCGAATATTAAGATAAATTATGAAGGCCAGATTGAAATATTTACTTATATTTACCAAAATATTATGCAGAATATATAGAACTAACACAATAAGAAAAAGAGAGCTAGACAACTAGAAACTAAGGCTAAACAAACTATAGCTAAACAAACTAGAAAAATTGTTGAAGGATATGAACAGGCCATTTACCAAAGAAAAAACTCAAATGACCGATAATCACATGGAAAAATAAAAAAAATCTCACTAGTAATCAAGGAAATATGAAATAAAATGATGAGATAGTATGATATTTTAGACTTTCAGAATGGCAAAATTTTTAAAAAGACAATACTAAATCTTGATGAGAACATGGTTAATTATGGTGGGATTTTTAAATGGGCACAACCGCTTTGGAGAATATTTGGCATTGTATAGTGAGAACTAAATCCAACCTGATTCCCTCTTTTCTGTCCTTGTGTCAGACAAGTCTGAGATAAGACATACTTTTCTGCCTCTTTGTGAAACAATACTTAGCTACTTGCTCTGGGAAATATTTGCTCCTGGAAGATAAAGTTGTGAGGCTACAAAAATAGCTTACTTATCAAGACTAGTAGCTTGCTCATCAAGGCTTGCTTCAAGAGCCTCACCTCACTGTGCCCACCAATCCAAAGCTTTTATGTCATAAAGGCTACTTAATTCCCTGACATAGAAATTCTATCTTAAAATCACCTAACCCAGGTCATAAAACTCTATAAATAGCTTCTTCTTAATTCACTGTCTTGAGGCACTATTAAGACTTGGCCATGAGAACGTTCTTTCTTATTGCAATGGGCCTAGTAAACTGAGATTTGTTTATCAACAGTAGTTTTTGTTTTTGTCTTCGCTTTGGGGGTAGTGTTTTTGTTTTCTTTTCTGGGGATATTTGGGGAAGCAATAGAAGTAAAGGAGAAGATCCATACACTATTTGATTCAGGAATTCATCTTTGAGTATGAAACCTAAAGCAATATAACTCAAACAATCAGTTTAGACTCATTAGTGAAATGGGAAATTAGTTTGATGAGTCACAACCTACATCTTATTTTTAGAATAAGATAGAATGAACAAGAATGAAATGAAAACAGTAAATGAATAGAAAATAGTAAAAATAGCAAAACAGTAAGAAGTTGTTTTATAAATGTTTGGTTTCAGTATATGTCTAAGTGTGTGTATGTGCATGAGTACACATGTATATTAAGCCACTGCGTTAAAAACTTTTACATATGTACACAAGAAAACCTGTATATATTCAATGCAGAAGATCTATAATAATAAACAACTAGAAAAACCCCAATGTTCGTCAAACAGAATAGATAATACATATTTATGCAGTGAATACTATAGAGCAGCTAAAATGAATAAACTGCAGTTATGTAAAGAAAAAATAGATGAATCTCAAAAACATACGGCATGAAAAAGGAAATTATACAATGATACATATACATATTTATAAATAAGGAAAACTACACTAAATATTTGTTGGGAATTCTATAAGCTAGAACAATATGATGCAAACATATGGAAGCTACAATAACACACAAAATCAGGGCAGTAGTTTTCTCTGCAGAAGGTGGAAATGAGAATGAGAAAGCAAGGGACAAGTTGGAGCAGTGAGAGGAGGGAGAAAAGGAAGAAGGGGAAAGATCAAGGAGGGACAAACAGGGGCTTCAAGTGTCTTGGTATTTTGATTTCCTTAAAAAATCTGAGGCAATAATGGCAAGATGTTAAAACATAATGAAACATAAGGTGGGAATAGCAAACACAATAACTGTTGTCTATAGCCTAGGCACTGTTCCAAGCCCTTTACACATTTCATTTGCAAAGTTATTCATTAAATATTTTCCCTTTACTTTTCTGTACATTTGAACCACTTCACAATTTAAAAAATAAAAGCAGGGGCAAAATGATAACATATTAAATGTAAATGGTGGATATATCGACGTTCGTTGTAATTTTCTGTATGGCTAAAATCTTTCATTACAAAGACACATTTAAAGAAATCAGTTGTTATGACAGGACTGGTAATTAATTCTTAATCTGTGACCTTAAAATATAGGCAATGCATAAAAGTGTTTATGACGGTCTAGGCACGGATCTCTAGTATTCTCTTTCTTAGCAGAGTTCCATTAAAATATTTGCTGTTGTTTTGTAAAGGATCTGACTGGTCATCCATAGAGATTACAGGGTGTGGCTCTTTTCTGTAGAAGCACAGAAAGTTGCATCAATGCCATACTGGTCTTAGCCCTGTGCCATCTAGGATTAATTAAGTGTCTCCATTTTCCCCCCCTTCTCCTCCAAATAACTGAAAGGCATATTCAGAAATGATGACAGAAAAGGGCCAAAGTTCCCACACCCTGCTTGAGAAAAAGGCTGGATCTGAAGAAAACAGAAATCAATAACATCACACTGGGTGGGCTGTGGGAAAGAAAAGAATGATCTAGTGTGAAGCTTCATTTGAACAGCCTTTTTTGTGGCCTTTATGTCTGGAATTTCTTCACCAATCTAAGGCTGAGATCTCAACTGGTTTTATTATGAGATGAAAACAGTCAACATCAAAATCGTTCATAAACTTCAGATGAGTTATAACTCAATCACCAGCTCTCTGAGTGGGATGTGCAGCTTCTCTTTGAGTTGGTTGTTTGTGTTGGCTTTCCAGGTGGCTTGGCTCCGCCAAAGATGATCCTCCAGTTGGACCATTATTTCACAGCATTGACCAGTTGTTTGATAAAACTGGCTGAACTAACCTCTTGTTTTGATATCACATAAATACCGCCCAGCTCCCTTCCCAGCTCTGTGCCTTCTCTCCTGGAAGAACTTGGCTACCAGCCCAGTTTTAGATACAAAACTGAAGATACGGATCCAACTCTTTCAGATTCAAATCAACACCACATCCTTCTGTGTCTTTCTCTTAAATGAGTAAGAATTTTCTTTAAAACAAATGAAAATAATAAGTTTTTGGACATAGTTTTGAAGCGTATACTTGAAAGTATAATGTAGAACTGAAGTCAATATAAATCGGAAATATCATCAACATATATTGTTAATGATAAAAGTAACAATACTCATAGTTATACAAAAGAGCATCGTACTGGTTATGGTATGCCATATCTTCTTCCAAACATTTTACAAATACAAACTCATCCTTCCAACAACTCTATGAAATCGGTGATTATTACTCTCATTTTATAGCTGAGGATATTGAGGCTCAAATAAATTAAATAATTTGCCCAGGATCATAAAGTCAGTGATAGATCTTAGTGGAAACTTAGAAATTGTATGGTTCAACTCCTCCTCTTAAACATGAGGGAGCTGGCAGTACTAACAGGCTGCATTGTTAATATGAGGAAGTCCACTTGCTTCCAGGGATATTACACTTTTCTCTTGGGAGAGAAAGAAGGATACTTGCCTAGCTCCCCAACCCAGTTATATCAACACTGGGTTCACACCCTTGCCTCCCAGTAAGAACATTTAGGACCAGAGAGGCTGAATAACTTGCTCATGGTCAGGCACTTAGTAAATAGCAGGGCTAAGACATAACAGCTCAAGTCTCTAGAGTATTGACCTGGTTCTCTTGACTGTGAATTTAGCTTTCTCTATCAATTCTTTTTTTCTCAGAATGATTTTAATTTGCTTTATTCTCCATATTTTAAAATTTTTATTAGAAATGGGTTTGTCTTCCCATTCAGCCTCTAGGGTAAATTCTTTTCAGAACTCCAATTCAAATAAGGTTTCATTGATCATTTCACCATAAAGAACTCATCAAAACAAACCTCTAATTTGATTGGGGGTTGGAGATTTCTCACCGATTTGGGAGTCTTCTTGCTTTTTTGTTTAGTTTTGGGCAACATTCATTAGTTGCCTTTCCCCAGACCTTGTAATGAATGGCATACTGAAACCTGGGTGATGCAAGCCCTTTGACCTTTCCTATGGGTGTATGACAACATATCCCTTGACTCCTCTTATTCATTTGTCCCCTTTACAACAGACCTTGGCTTGAAAAGGTAGCTGGAAAAGATCCAGAGATTGTCCCTTTAAGAATTTGTATTGTGCTGATAAATATTAAACAACAGAAAACAGATACCAAAACTACTCAAGACACTCTCCACACTGTCCCCTCCCCTCAAGAATTTACTTGAAAATTGCAACAACAAAAAATCAGCTAACTTCTCCCCTCCCTCCAACTAATATTTGGGCACAACAGTGGTCACATCTTATCCTAAGGTGTTTCTTTTTAAGAGATCTTTTCTAAAAAGTCCACATGTTTAGGAAAATTGATATACCAAACTAGACAGAAAATAGAAGAACCAAGACATTTGATCATGAGAACAGGTTTACTCAGAGTCAGCCAAATATCAAAGGAATACAACCTGGCATTACTTGAATTTTTTCAACCCAATGTTAATGTAAACATAAAAGTTGGGGCATTGTCCAAAATGTAATGATGCTAGTATTTCTCTAATAGCATAAATATGTACTGAATGGCACTTTGGGAAAAATCTTCTGGCTCTTCTGGAAAGTTCAAAGTTTCCTAAGTAATGAGAGAGGTGAATATAGCATCTATTCAATTTCCCTTTCACTTATTCCTCTCTCCTTTGGCATGGCCTAGAGTCCATCTGTCTGCACCATCTGCCTTGCCTTTAATTGCCAGAATTGATTTGTCTGATATGAATGCATAACTAGTAACAGGGGACTTGAAAAAGCATTGCTTTAATTGAATTCTTTACTAATAATATTATTAGGGTAGTCTGAAGAATGTATTCTGCTGAAAAAGCCATCTTGGAAAGTTGAATTTGTTGACCCTAGAAATAAGGTAGTGATTAGTAGAAAATATTTTATTGGATACCTATAATTTTCCATGATTTTTAAAGACCTTTGTGCTAGTAAAGCACAAAACCGCCACTGGCATCTCATTCAGAAAGCACACAGATCTTCAAAAAGGGTATCTGTCTAAAAGCGATGTCACTGCGAGACAAGAGAAAAAAAGTGGTCAAAAGAAAGCACTGTGCAGTGACTATGCAATTTAAATCCCAACTCCTTCAAGCAGTAGGGCATCTTGGAGCAATGTTGCTCAACTCTGGCTACACAGAATCATCAAGAGATGTTTTCAAAATACTATTGGTGACCATATGATCCTTTTCAGGTGCAGTTGCATTCATTTTGTTAGTATTTTGTTGAGGATTTTTGCATCTATATTAATCAGGGATATTAGCAGGTAGTTTTCTTTTCTTGTAGTCTTTGTCTGGCTTTGGTGTAAGGATAATGCTGGCCTCATATAATGAGTTTGGAAGTATTCCCTTCTCATTTTCAGTTTTTTGGAAGTGTTTTAGAAGGATTGGCATTAATTCTTGAAATGCTTGGTAGAATTTACTTGTGAGGCGATCTGGTACTGGGCTTTTCTTTGTTGAGAGGTATTGAATTCCTCATTCAATCTCCATACTAGTTATAGGCCTGTTCAGGCTTTCTAATTATTTATTATTTAGTTTTGGCAGTTTGTATGTTTCCAGGACTTTTTCCATTTCTTTTAGGTTATCTAGTTTTTAGTATGTAATTGTTCATAGAAATTTCATATAATCCTTTTTATTTCTGTGGCATCACTTGTAATATCTCATTCATCTATAATTCTGAGCCTTCTTTTTTTCCCTTAATTTAACTAAGGCCTTGTAAATTGTTTATCTTTTCAAAAAACCAACTCTTAATTTTGTTGATATTTTTCTGTTTTCTATTCCATTTATTTCTGCTCTAATCTTTATTGCCTTCCTTCTGCTAACTTTGAGCTTATTTGTTCTTCATTTTCTGGTTCCTAGAGGTATAAAGTTTGGTTGCTTATTTGAGATCCCTCTTCCTTTTAATGTGTGATTTATCACTGTGAACCATCTTAGTGCTGTTTCTGATGGATATCATAAATTTTATGCTGTATTTTCATTTGTCTTAAGATATTTTCTAATTTCCTCTTTTATTTCTTCTTGACTCAATGCTTGTTCAAGGGTGTATGTTTAATTTTCATTTTTTGTGAAGTTTCCAGTTTTCCTTTTGCTATTGATTTCTAGTTTCATTCTATTACAATCAGAAGAAATATTTTATATGATTGCAGTCTACTTAAATGTGCTGGGACTTGTTTTATATCTAACACGTGATGTATTCTGAGGTAAAATCCATGGGCACTTGAGAAAAATGTGTATTCTGCTATTGTTGGGTCGAATGTTTTGTACACATATGTTAGAGCCATTTGATCTGTAGTGTTGTTCAAGCCTTCTGTTAACTTACTAATATGCTGTTTGGATGTTCTATTCAGTATTAAAAGTGTTATTATTATTACCATTACTGTATTGCCGTCTATTTCTCCCTTCAGATTTGTCAATGTTTGTTTTATATATTTAAGTGCTCTGATGTTGGGTGCGTATGGATTTATAATTGTTAAATCTTCCTAGAAAATTGACCCTTTTGTTATTATATGGTATCATTATTTCTCTCTTGTGATGGTTTTTACTTATGGAGTATTTTATCTGATAAGTATAGTCATCCGTGCTCTCATTTGGTTGCTATCTGCATGAAATAGCTTTTTTCATTCCTTTATTTTCAGCTTATGTGTGTCCTTAAATCTAAAGTGAGTTTCGTGAGTTTCTTGTAGGCAGCATATAGTTAGGTCATTAAAAAAATTCATGTAGTTCCTTCATATATTTTATTGAGAAATTTAATCAATTTATATTTAAAGTAATTATTGATAGAGAAGGATTTACTATTGCCATTTCTTAGTTGTTTCATGGTAGTCCTGTAATTCCTTTGCCTTTTTCCTCTTGTGCTGTCTTCCTTTGGGTTTTGAAAGTTTTTTGTGTGTATTGATATGCTTTGATTCCTATCAGCTTTTCTTTTACATAAATTCAATAGGGTTTTTATGGTTACCTCGGGGCTTACATAAGATATCTTATAACAATCTATTTTAAGTTGGTAACAACTTAAGCTCAATCACATACAAAAACTCAACATGAACTCTCCCCTCCTGATTTTACATAACGTAAAATTATGTAAACATAAATTGTTTACATAATTTATGTTTACGACAAAAAATTGTTGTCATGATTTACATGGTTCAAATTGTATATCTTTAAACATATTTTTAAAGTTGTTTTTAATACTTTTGTCTTTTAAATTTTACATTTGAATTAAAAATAATACCTACCACCATTATAGCAATGCAGTATTCTGGATTTGCTTACATATTTACCAACATGTTTCATTTTTATGCTATTATGTTACTGTTTAGCTTCCTTTTGTTTCAACTTGAAGAATTCCCTTTAGTATTTATTGTAAGCCATGTCTAATGGTGATAAACTTTCTCAGTTTTTGTTTGTCTAGTAAAGTTTATCTCTCCTTCATTTCTGAAGGCTAGCCTTGCTGGGTATAACATTCTTGGTTGTCAGGGGTTTTTTTGTTTGTTTGTTTCTTTCTTTCAACATTTGTCTCATTCCTTTCTGTCTTGTTAGGCTTCAGGTTCCCTTATACATGATTAATTGCTTTCTCTTGCTGCTTTTAAAATTCTCTCTTTGCCTTTGACTTTTGACAATTTGTTTAATGTCTCTCAGTATAAATTTTGGTGTGCTATTTCAGCTTCTTGGATAGATATCTGCTTTTTTATCCAGATGTGGGGACTTTTTAGCTATTATTTCTGTGAATAAACTATTTCTTTCTCACTCTCTTCTCCTTCTAAAACTTCCATAATGTATATATTATTCTGCTTGATGGTGTCCCACCAATCCCCTAAGCTTTTTTCACTTTTTTCATTCTTTTTGATTCTCTGACTAAATTACTTTCAATGACTGGCCTTCACATTTGCTGATCTTTTATTCTGCTTGATCTAGTATTCTGTTGAATCCCTCTAGTAAATTTTTTTCAGTCCAATTATTGTGTTTTTTAGCTCCCTAATTTCTCTTCAATATTTTTTTTGAAAAATATTCTCTATCTTTATTGAAATTCTCAGTTTGTTCATGCATTGTTCTGTTTACTGCTGTAAGTATCTTTATAACAGCTAGTTTGAATTAACTGTCAGGTAAATCATATAATTCCATTTTGTTAAGGTCAGTTCTGAAGATTTATCTTGTTCCTTTATTTAGAACATCTTTTCTTCACTTTCCTTAACTCTTTGTGGTGTTATCTGTGCATTAGTCAAAGTAGATGCCTATTCTTAACTTGAATTTCCATCAAGCCAGACCCAAGACAAGAACTTGGTTACAGGTAGTATACTTTAAAATATCATTTCAGGAAACACAACTAAGGAAATGTGGATATTGAGAAACAGAAATGTGAAAACCATGTAGGAGTATTAATAAACTGCAATAAATGAGTCTCATCCCACTTGGGGTCTCTTTGAAGAGGTATGTAGAATGTGTCCTAAATTGTCCAATCAAGGGACTGAAAAAAATGATATATTCATCCACAAATTGTATCCCTTATTGACTTGGGACTGCCTATGGGAACAGTAAATACCCAACACTTCTAGTGCCTCTATCACCTTAAGGTAAGCAAATGTGGACAATGCTTGAGAAAGCCCACAGGACAAAGTAGGTGTCTGAGGTGTAAAGCCGTCATATTGCTTAACACTGTTACAGCATCTGTGGGTAAACTCAAAGATAGATGGAAAGTTATGTTGCAGACTATCTTGATAGTCATTTGCTTTGGTCATTTTGCCCATCATGCAGCCAAAGCCAAAAGCTTTAGAAAATCATTTCCATTAAGCAATGACTTAGGAACTTCAGCATTATGAAAATCTTTTTTTCTGTTCTTTAGAACCTGTAATATTTCTAAATGTCACTTTTAAATCAGTTGGACTCTGCATCTCTCTATTTTTCTATTATTGTTCCAACTGAGAGTAATAACTATAGGAAGAAGACAACGATTTTTATTATTATTATACTTTAAGTTTTAGGGTACATGTGCACAATGTGCAGGTTAGTTACATATGTATACATGTGCCATGCTGGTGTGCTGCACCCATTAACTCGTAGAAGACAACTATTGCACTAATAAATCTGTTTGAAGACAATATGGCAAAGGAATAGCTTCTTGCTTTCTTTTTAAATTAATATTATAATCAAGTTGTTATGTAGTCTAGTTTAAAATATAGAAATAAAAGAGAACCATTCTAAAATATTAAAAATGCTAATGAAATCATCTCTATTTCAAAAATTAAAAAGAATCAGAAAAATAGGACAGCTCTTCAGAATGTGATAAAATTATTTAATCTAAAAAGAAGTATAGCATTTTATTATAAGAGAATTTGTTTTTTACAGGAAAAAATATGTGACAATAAAACATAAAAATTATACATAATCTTACTACCCATTGGTGTCATTTTTGCTTTGATGTGTCCTTACATGTTTTTTGTACTTTTTTCTATGTAACTTATTCCTATTACTATTAATATTACTATTAATTGGCGATAGCTTTTGTAGATTTCTTAGCTCTCAAACTTATTCCATAAATTTCCTCCTGCATCCTTTTTCTCTTTTACAAATTTTGCTGATTTCCTATTGTCATGTTTGTGTTTTATTATTTATTTTTAAAGTTTTTCAAAAACAGGGGCTATTATCTCTTTGATAAACTATTGAAATTATGGGCTTTTTTGTTTGTTTTGCTTTGTTTTGTTTTGTTTTTATTGTTGAGACAGAGTCTTACTCTGTTACGCAGGCTGGAGTGCAGTGGTGCAATCTCTGCTCATTGCAACCTCTGTTTTCCGGGTTCAAGCGATTCTCATGTCTCAGCCTCCCGAGTAGCTGGGACTACAAGCATGTGCCACCATGCTCAGCTAATTTTTGTATTTTTTTGTGGAGATGGAGTTTTGCCATGCTGCCCAAGCTGATCTTGAACTCCTGGCCTCAAGCGATCCTTCCACCTTGGCCTCCTAAAGTGCAGAGATGACAGGCATGAGCCACCGTGTCCCACCTGAAATTATGTTTTAAGTTTGAGATTGAATTCTGCTTATGGTGTTATTGCATAGATTTTTATGTCATCATATCTACATTTTATGTAATCAAATCTGTCAGTCATTTCTTTACATTTTCTGTCTTTGGCTTCAAGTTTATAAAGATGCTGACTCCTAGATTATATAAATAATTGATAAATCTTTTTGGTGCGCTTAAATATCCAGATTTTACTTTTAAATATAAAATCCAAATAGAAATTGTTTAACCAGTTATAGTGTAACAGAAAAGTAATTTTGATTTTCTGAACTCATGTGATTTTTTTAACTCCGAATTCACCCACCTCGCTTTAAAATGGCATATGCATTATAGCATTTTTTCTTTATATTTAATTATATCTTTTGATGCTTCAAGTCCTTTCAAGTTATTTTTATTTTGTATTATTTTATTTTATTTTTCCATAGGTTATTGGGGTACAGGTGGTATTTGATTACATGAGTAAGTTCTTAAGTGGAGATTTGTAAGATCCTGGTGCACCCATCACCCAAGCAGTATATGCTGCACCATATTTGTTGCCTTTTATCCCTCATCCGCACCCCCCGACTCTTCTCCCCAAGTCCCCAAAGTCCATTGTATCATTCTTATGCCTTTGCATCCTCATAGCTTAGCTCCCACATATCAGTGAGAACGTACAATGTTTGGATTTCCATTCCTGAGTTACTTCACTTAGAATAATAGTCTCCAGTCTCATCCAGATCATTGCAAATGCTGTTAATTCATTCCTTTTTATGACTGTGTACTATTCCATTGTGTATATATATATATATATATATATATATATATATGTACATACCACAGTTTCTTTATCCACTCATTGATTGATGGGCATTTGGGTTGGTTCCACGATTTTTGCAATTGTGACTTGTGCTGCTATAAACATGTGTGTGCAAGTATCTTTTTTGAATAATGACTTCTTTTCCTTTGGGTAGATACACAGTAGTAGGATTGATAGATCAAACAGTAGTTCTACTTTTAGTTCTTTAAGGAATCTCCACACTGTTTTCCATAGCAGCTGTACTAGTTTACATTCCCACCAGCAGTGTAGAAGTATTCACTGCCACATCCATGCCAACATCTACTGTTTTTGATTTTTTTTATTAAGGCCATTCTTGCAGGAGTAAGTTGGTATTGCACTGTGGTTTTGATTTGCATTTCCCTGATAATTAGTGATGTTTAGCATTTTTTTCATATGTTTGTTGGCCATTTGTATATCTTCTTTTGAGAATTGTCTATTCATGTCCTTAGCCCACTTTTTGATGGGATTTTTTTTTTCTTTTTTACTGCTTTGTTTGAATTCATTATAGATTCTGGATATTAGTCCTCTGTCAGATGTATAGATTGTGAAGATTTTCTCTCACTTTGTAGGTTGTCTGTTTACTCTGCTGACTGTTCCTTTTGCCATGCAAAAGCTCTTTAGTTTAATTAGGTCCCAGCTATTTATCTTTGTTTTTATTGCATTTGCTTTTGAGTTTTCGGTTATGAAATCCTTGCCTAAGCCAACAATTAGAAGGGTTTTTCTAATGTTATCTTCTATAATTTTTATAGTTTTGGGTCTTAGATTGAAGTCCTTAATCCATCTTGAGTTGATTTTTGTATAAGCGAGAGATGAGGATCCGGTTTCATTCTCCTGCATGTGGCTAGCCAATTATCCCAGCACCATTTGTTGAAAGGGTGTCCTTTCCCTATTTTGTTTATCTTTGCTTCGTTGAAGACCAGTTGGCTGTAAGTATCAACTTATTTTTATTTCTCTTCACAGTAATCTATTGTGTAACTTTATAATATTTGTTAATATTTGGTGGTAGAAAGTTCTCTTCATTAGTCTCCTTTATTCCAGATTTTACAGATTATTCTTCTGTGTATATTCTAGCTGAATTTAGTAATCAATTACTGAAATTCAAATAAAATGCTAGAAGTTTTGGTTTGAATCTTGTTAACATTGGAGATTATTTTATAATATTTTTGTTAACAAGGCTTTCCAGTCAGAAACACAGTATGTCCTTTAATTTATTCAAATTTTCTTTTATAAATCCTGGAAACACTTTTATATGAGTATTATGCATTTAAGGTTATGATGGATAGTTTAAAATTTTGATTGCTAATTTGAATAGCTGTTTTCCATTGTAATTTATAAGCTTTGGAAAATAGTAAAGCTATTGATTTTTGTACATTTGTAACTAAATTTTATAGGTCTCTTTTTTCAGACAGATATGTATCTTTTTGTCATATTTCCTTTAATTTTTTCCTTTTAAATCAGAAATATATGTTAAATTTTATCAAATGACCTTTTAGCATCTGTCTAGAATCTGTGCTATCAAATCCTGTAGTCAGTAGACACCTGTAGCTACTGAGCACTTGCAAATAGCTGGTCTGAATTGATGTATGCTGTAAGTTTAAAATAAACACTGATTTCAAAGACTTAGTTCCAAAAAAAAATGTAAAGGGCATTTTCCACTAAGTCAACAAGATTCTACTTATTTCTCTTGTTCTGAATTATTTAATTATGAATCCACAGCTTTTTCTTTTTGCTTACTCTCTTCCAAAAATCAATGTATAATGACTTTCTATAGTCACTAGATTGTCACCTAGAATGGACAAAGCTCATAGATTAGAGCTATAAGGGGCCTGATGCAATATAACTATATTACAGTGATTTGAATTAAGGATTAACACTATATTTTAAAAGCAATTGTGTAGTTGGCTTTTAAGCATATGTAAAAAAAGGACTAGGGAGGTATTTTTGTTTGGGGCATTCTAGTCACAAATATATAGCTACCATCGATAAGCTTGGGTAGTTTACTCCCTAAATCCGGTTCAGCCTCTATGAGATTAGACTGTCCAGACCCTATATATCATAGTTACACAAGCTGACCCCATGGTATGGAAGGTCTGGAGGACATCTCAGCAGGACAGCCATAGAGGCCAGGATATCACCTTACTTGTGCTGCAACCTTCTGGGTCTTCCTAGAGAAGATGCTGCCCTGCTTTAGGTGAAGCAGCTTTCAGAGGAAATACCATCAACTGGTTCATTCCCAAGAGACTCCAGAAGCCTAAGAGGGGGGCACATATACTGGCTTATATTTTTTATCACCTGTCTGTGATCTTATAGATCTCAGCATAAAATTCTACTTAAGTAGAGGAAGCACATAATGCGTTCTCCTCTAGAACTAGAAAATCTTTTTTCAGAATAATATGCCAGACTAGTCATTGATGCCTTTCTTTAATGCACCTCAGAAATGCAGTCCTGTTAGAAGGGCCAATAGACATATATTGTACAAACAGGGAAGTGGAAAAGGAAGCCTTGATGGCAGACATCATTGTAAAGTTGGCTAGGGCCCCTCTCTCTTCTCTAGGGTCCTGGAAAGCAATGTGTAAACATACAAGAGTGCATGTGTTGCATATTTGGGAATATTTATAAATAGCTGAGAAAACAGCATCAGAAAGAAACTCTAGAAAGGCTTCAGAAGTACAGGCATTCTGGTATCTTCCCATGAAACAGAAATTTCCTCATGCTAATGGAGCCATCACCTAGCTCTATGCTTCTCTATCGTGGCTCCACATTAGCATCACCTGGAGAGTTTCTAAAAGAGACTTATGCCCAGATCCTACCCTTACCCACACCGAATAACTCAGAATCTCTGAAGGTGGGTGTGGGCACTGATATTTTTGACAGTTTCCCAGGTAACTAGTACATGGCTGGACTTAAAAGCTGCTCCAACTGATGGAACCAGGATATAAAACATAAAAAAAGAGAACAATGAAAAAAATATGATAAAAGGAAATTTTTGTTTGTTTGCTGTTTTCTTGAGACAGAGTTTCACTCTTGTTGCCCAGGCTGTAGTGCAATGGCCCCATCTCAGCCCACCACAACCTCCGCCTCCTGGGTTCAAGCAATTATTCTGCCTCAGCCTCCTGAGTAGCTGGGATTACAGGCATGCACCACCATGCCCGACTAATTTTTGTATTTTTAGTAGAGACGGGGTTTCTCCATGTTGGTCAGGCTGGTCTCGAACTCTTGACCTCAGGTGATATGCCTACCTCAGCCTCCCAAAGTGCTGGGACTATAGGTGTTAGCCACCGCACCCAGCCGATAAAAGGAAATGTTTAGTAGGCTAGTTGCCATGTAAAGTACTTCCTTGCTTTGCCTTTTTTCCTCTTTTCTTGCATGTCCCTGCTAAAACACCATTTCCCTGTGTGTATCTTTTCCCAGAGCAGGCATTCTGTTGGTCTCTCCTGCATTCTTCCTCCTGGTAACAGGATAAGTCAGTTCTCTGTCTTTCAGCTGGATGCTTTCATTCACTTTCAAGGAGTCAAAGGGAAACTGTAGGCTTGTGAAGCTGCATGGTCCTCTCCTTGCTGACCTCAGACATAGGAATCATGGAACGAGTTAGAGTAGCCACTTTGAGGGAAGGGATGAGGTTTCCCCTGTTTTTTTTTAAGGTTGGCAAGCTTCCAGACCAGGTTTATGAACCCTTCTCTTTGTTAATAATAAACATCTAGCTAATAGATATCTATACAGTAGCAGAGTTTGGCATGAGTCTCACTTTTCTTTTAAGAGGTAACCTTGCTAAACTCACATTTCTTTGGCAGCTACTATAAAGAACAAAAGAGTTGTGTATGGCCAGATCGGCTAGGTCAGGCCACAAGGCCAGACTTATGTCTGCACCTTTTGAGGTACAGTAATGTACCTTTTGAAACTGTTTCTGTGTTGCATTTTTTCTCCTTGATTGGGTCTACCTATAATGAATGAGATCCAATTTTGCCTGCAGTTGTGAGAGAACGCGATTTCTCCTAGTCAACTCTTTCTTATGGGAAGAATAAATTATTTAAGGAATTCGAGATTACTCACCCCTCCAGCCTTTTCCCTCTGACCCTTTCATCTGTGTCACCTCAAAAATACTTGTAAATAAACAGCTGGGATGGGATGTTTTTGTTGAAAAGTTATAACTGACAAGAAATTTCCAAATCCTGCTAACTCAGCACTGTACTTTATTGAAGCTGCTTCTATTCTTTCTGTTGGTTGATTCCGCACCTTGACTTGAATTTACTTTGAACTCCACTATGGGCTCAAGTTTATTGAAAGTTTGTGATATTCAAAGCATGAGAAAACTTTAGCTATGATGGTGGCACTTGCTTCCCTCCCCAAGTTGTTTTTTTTTTTGTTTTTTGTTTTTTGTTTCCTACCACAGCATCACATCTAGGAATTTGTGACCCACTAATCCTATTCTGGGTGAATTTTAGAAAACCAAGCACAATATATCTGGATTCTCATCATTCAGGAAGTACCCTGGACTTCAAATGAAACTTCTAAGAGTATGTCAACAAAGTAGTTATTGTAATGGAACAGAATGAAAGAAGTAAACTTTTCTTTTCTCCAGTTCTTAAAAATCAAAAGCAGAAACATGTTAAATGTGCCTTGTGATGTGCTGTGAGTACTTACTGACTGCTTGCTTCTGTTTCTGCTCATGATCTTTCCCTGGTTAAAAGAGGCCTGCACATGTTATATGTCATCACCCAGAGAGGCAAGCATACTGGGCAGGGAACCTAAAGATGATCTTCTGTTGGTTATCTGAAGCATTGGGGTCCTATGTGATCTTTTTGCCACTACATGGATCTAAAGAGAGAGGTTGGCCTGGCTCTTCTCACTATCTCATTCTCAGGTGAGCATAGGGCAACCTACCCATGAGGAAGAGGAATAAGGTACAGAATGCCTGGTGCAGCGCGAAGAGTGACAGTCTGGCTGGTCTTACCTGTGCATAGAGGAAGTAAACATCTGTGCTGTAGGATTGCAGGAGTATTGCGGCTCCCCACATAAATGACTACTGAAACCAACCATCAGAGCTTTACTTCTGTTGCTTAAGATTATGACTACAGGTGCTCCTTGACTTACAGTGGGGTTATGTCCTGATAAAACCATTACGATATTTTCAATTTATAAATCTATCCAGAGGTAACCCCATTGTTAAGTTGAGAAGGCTAGTGAATGGGTATGGCTTTTGCACTATGATTAACCTGAAAAGTCCAAGTCGAGCCATCAAAAGTTAGGGACTGTCTGTACTATGTAAATATCTCTGAGACAGGAAGAAAAGTAGGGGGTGGAGGGAACTAACATGTGAGTGTTTACTTTGTGCCAGCACCTGTTCTAAGCCTGTTAGAATTTGTACTTGCTACTCCTTTAATTCTCACCACTCTTTAGGGAGATACTATCCCGCCTTCTAGAATGAAGATATTGAGTCTTGAAAATACTCAGTAAATGGTGGACTAAGGATTTTGAACTCCAAATTTTCTGACTCTGGATGGAGTCCATGATATTTAGGAGAAATACACATAAAGCTGTTATCAGTTATTTATAGTTTTGTATTGATTTGGAGAGGAATTAGCAGCACTTCTGACTTGAAGAGTGTCAGAAGTAGGTTGTTATCTGATAAAAGAAATACCTAAAGCAGCTGAAAACAACTCTTGGCTCCCTTTTAGTCTTGCCCCAGAGCCTGGTAGGGCTTTCTACCCTGGGGGGCTTTTACTTCCTTTACTTTCTGCTGCCTGATCCAAGTGGGTTTGTTCTAAGGGGAAAAGCTCATTATATGAAAATAGCAACATCAAGCAAGAGGCTCTCTTTCCTAGTATGCTCCTGAGTAACCTCCGCGATATATAAGCACTTAGTAAATTAGGCATGAATTTGTGATAGAATAAACAGCCTACAGCCTGCCACTGTGTAATGAGGATTTGGCAGTTGAACCCACTAAATATTTTTAGATGAAGAGACCAGAAAGGTGTCAGAAGAGGCGTAGAAGGTGCCTCATGCATTTACATATGTGTCACTCTTTGGGTATGTTTTGAAGTTTGGAATAACAGATGTGGTTGACCTCTTCAGTGGAGCAAACCCTGGACGTGGAAGGAGAAGACTAGTGTGAGAGGCCCAGCCCTGCAACCCATTAGTGCCACCACTTTCAAGGAGTGGCTAGAAAAGAGAACAGATGCAAATCTGGGTGCCATCACATACAAGAGCTGTAATCCCTGGGAAATTTTACCTAATCTCTTAGTTTCCCCATCTCTCATTCTCATAGGATAATTAGATTTTAAGGAGAGAATGAATGCAAATGTTTGATCACAGTTCCTAAAACATCTCAAGTACTCAGAATTGGCAGCCTGAGCCTCCATTTCCCTCCTGTGTAATATTAATTATAACAATTGGAATATACAGCTGAAAAATACCATACGTGGTAAGGTAAATTTTATAATTTTTTCCAATTCTAATTTCCTATGAAACCACAGCCTTGCTTACAATTCTATCTAAACCGGGCTCTTGAGAGATACTGAAGGCCATTCCTACAAGACTAGAGGTGAAAGCAAATTGGGCCTGGGGTGGCAGACCACTGGTCCCTTTACTCAAATCTAGCATAGCTTCAGACAACTGACTTTATAATTCCAGACCAGCCTGGGGTGTCTATTTTCCATGAATAAAAATACCAGTGCATGATTTTTCTTGAAACTCTATCAACTAGTTGGGCCTTGGAATTCATCATGAACCACAGGAGGGAGAAGCTCAATGTAATGAGCAAGCTTTATAGTGATCTGTTCTCCTCATTTGGCCCCTGTATCTACTTTGCAATTAAGGAAAATAACTGCTCTGGCAGCATATTTGGATCAAAATCCATTTAATGAAGATAGTGAAGAGGCCAGTGTCGAAGAGGCCAGTGTTGAACAGCCAGGATTTAGGATGGGGCTGGCTCTGTATCCTGTATCCTAAGGATACAGGAACAGAGACTAGAAACAGCCCATGATTAGGATGCCCATGAGCCACTGGGTCTGCCCCAAAAGGTCCTGCAAACCATTTCAAAACACAAGTGCAAATGAGAATTCTTAATACTAAATAAAAGCAACCAAACTCTTCACCATCTCTGAGTACTGGTGGGAAAATTCAAGTCTGAAGGATACAATTGTACCCTTACATGTGATGGGTGCAGCTCTGAGAATTTGATGCTCTAGATCATCTACATTTGACAATAGAATGGACCAGCTAAAATGGCAAAGAAGAAGCTTGGCGAGCAGTTTAATCAGCTCTCATCTCTCCCCAGTGCAGAGGTGGGGAGACACAAGATGGTTATGCAAAGAAAATGGCTATCCTGAAGGCTTACGCAATTTTTGTTTTTTATTTTTGTTTTTTGAGATAGGGTCTTGCTATATCACCCAAGCTGCTTCAAACTCCTGGTCTCAAGCAATCTGCTTCAGTCTCCTGAGCAGCTGGGACTACAGGTGCATGCTACCAGGCTCCACTCTAACAGCTTGTTGAATAACTGAGCCTCATCCTCATTGCATGGGGTATGAAGTTCAAGTGAATTACCCATTTCACAGGGCTCAGTATGGCAGAACATGCTAGGTGTTTTCCTGCACATTATTTCATTCTCACTAGCACCTGAAGTAGGCAGTAGGGGAAGCAGGGAGGACATTGTTTATCTGAAATCAATGAGTTCACCACTGTGGCTAAAACAAAGGTAGGAAAATAATTGTTTAAAGAGAGTGCTTTGGAGAAGATTAAAAACAATGCCAGATTAAGAATTTGTGCCTTTTCTGAATGAGAATGCTTTGAAAAATTTTAGGATGTGAGAGTGGTTTTAAAGAGAGTGGTTCAGAGAAGATTAAAAATGATGCCAAATTAAGAATTTGTTCTTTATCTGAATGAGAAGTCTTTGACAAATTTTAGGTTGTGAACTGGAATGAAGAAAGGAGAGATATCTGACTCTGGCATATAAAGTGATTTAGAATGGGGAGGAGGTTGAGGTTACGAAGACTACCTAGGAAACAGTGTTGATAATCTAGCCATGTGGGCTGACAGTGGCTCTTTGGGTGGAAAAGAAAAGAAAGGGACATGGCATACTGAATGAGCAGGGGTGGGGCTTTCCTGAGTTCTTTTATTTAGGTGAGAGACAGCAGATTCTGACAGATAAGACCAGCTTCCTCCCTCTATAGAAGAACCTGCAACAAAGACCATGCATTTCATATTCACCTGAGGAAGGCAGACAGCTGGCCAAGCTAAGCGCATCTCCTTTGAAACAGGGCAGAATTTCATATCATGATTACTAGACACAGCCCTGAAGAGGCCAGTGGTTCTGCTAACACTGGCTGCTCTCAAGGTAACAAACACTGCCAGCCAGGACTACCTCATCCTGATGGGTGATTCCTAGAGAAGACGATGAAAAATCTCCTATTCCTGATAGTACCATAACTCCTACCCCTACAAAGGTCTAGTTTCCCAACATGCTACCTCCTTTGCTTCCAGACTTCTGGAGAGAAACTTCTTCTTTCCATTTTACCACTTCCAGAAACCCCAGTCTCAGAGAGACAACAACAGCTGGACTGTCACCAGGGCTCAGATAATTCATAGCACTGACAACAGGCAAATGAGTTAATAATCATGTTAGGCTGATAAGCAACTTCAGCAAAGTCTCAGGATACAAAATCAATGTACGAAAATCACAAGCATTCTTATACACCAATAACAGACAAACAGAGAGCCAAATCATGAGTGAACTCCCATTCACAATTGCTTCAAAGAGAATAAAATACTTAGGAATCCAACTTACAAGGGACATGAAGGACCTCTTCAAGGAGAACTACAAACCACTGCTCAATGAAACAAAAGAGGATACAAACAAATGGAATAATATTCCATGCTCATGGGTAGGAAGAATCAATATCATGAAAATGGCCATACTGCCCAAGGTAATTTATAGATTCAATGCCATCCCCATCAAGCTACCAATGACTTTCTTCACAGAATTGGAAAAAACTACTTTAAAGTTCATATGGAACCAAAAAAGAGCCCGCATCGCCAAGTCAATCCTAAGCCAAAAGAACAAAGCTGGAGGCATCATGCTACCTGACTTCAAACTATACTACAAGGCTACAGTAACCAAAACAGCATGGTACTGGTACCAAAACAGAGATATAGATCAATGGAACAGAACAGAGCCCTCAGAAATAATGCCGCATATCTACCACTATCTGATCTTTGACAAACCTGAGAAAAACAAGCAATGGGGAAAGGATTCCCTATTTAATAAATGGTTCTGGGAAAACTGGCTAGCCATATGTAGAAAGCTGCAACTAGATCCCTTCCTTACACCTTATACGAAAATTAATTCAAGATGGATTAAAGACTTAAATGTTAGACTTAAAACCATAAAAACCCTAGAAGAAAACCTAGGCGTTACCATTCAGGACATAGGCATGGGCAAGGACTTCATGTCTAAAACACCAAAAGCAATGGCAACAAAAGCCAAAATTGACAAATGGGATCTAATTAAACTAAAGAGCTTCTGCACAGCAAAAGAAACTACCATCAGAGTGAACAGGCAACCTACAAAATGGGAGAAAATTTTCGCAACCTACTCATCTGACAAAGGGCTAATATCCAGAATCTACAATGAACTCAAACAAATTTACAAGAAAAAAACAACCCCATCAAAAAGTGTGTGAAGGACATGAACAGACACTTCTCAAAAGAAGACATTTATGCAGCCAACAAACACATGAGAAAATGCTCACCATCACTGGCCATTAGAGAAATGCAAATCAAAACCACAATGAGATACCACCTCACACCAGTTAGAATGTCAATCATTAAAAAGTCAGGAAACAACAGGTGCTGGAGAGGATGTGGAGAAATAGGAACACTTTTACACTGTTGGTGGGACTGTAAACTAGTTCACCCATTGTGGAAGTCAGTGTGGCGATTCCTCAGGGATCTAGAACTAGAAATACCATTTGACCCAGCAATCCCATTACTGGGTATATACCCAAAGGACTATAAATCATGCTGCTATAAAGACACAGGCACACGTATGTTTACTGCGGCACTACTCACAATAGCAAAGACTTGGAACCAACCCAAATGTCCAACAATGATAGACTGGATTAAGAAAATGTGGCACATATACACCATGGAATACTATGCAGTCATAAAAAAGGATGAGTTCATGTCCTTTGTAGGGACGCGGATGAAATTGGAAATCATCATTCTCAGTAAACTATTGCAAGGACAAAAAACCAAATACCGCATGTTCTCACTCATAGATGGGAATTGAACAATGAGAACACATGGACACAGGAAGGGGAACATCACACTCTGGGTACTGTTGTGGGGTGGGTGGAAGGGGGAGGGGGGAGGGATAGCATAGGAGATATACCTAATGCTAAATGACGAGTTAATGGGTGCAGCACACAGCATGGCACATGTATACATATGTAACTAACCTGCACATTGTGCACATGTACCCTAAAACTTAAAGTATAATAATAATAATAAAATAAATAAATAAATAAAAATAAACATAAGGGAAAAAAACAAACAACAACATATTACAACAACAACAACAAAAATCATGTTAGGTTTCTATGATTAGTGACAGTGTATAAAGATCTTTCAATGTCAAAGTAGTTTGTGGAACAGAGCAGATTTTCAAATAAACATTTTTTTTTTCATATCACTTTCTCACATTTAAAAGTAAAGTATGCCCTTGTAGTGAAGACATCCATTAATGAAATAAAAGCAGTAATGAGAAGAAAAAGAAAGCGCTTAGTATAATTCCTGCTTCATGGTAGAAAAAAGGGTACCCATTGTTTTCATGATTTAGGATGACTTAATGCAATCCAAGAGAAGAGGTCCAATTTCTGTTAGACAAGAGGACTAGAGCTTGTGAGAGAATTTGAGGTTGAAATGATGATTTGAAAGTCACTTGCATAGGAGGGTTAGTAGAAATTTCAATGAAGATTTCCATACTTGTGTGAAATTTGGATATTTGCTAAGAAAGCAGAGGACTCAATCCCACCTCTTTAGGATATGAAGGAAGTGAAGTAAGTAGATACAGGCCAGGAGCCGTAGGGAGAAAATAAAGACAAAGGCCTCGATGATGGGGAAGGAGAGTCTTGAGAGGCCACAGAGGAGAGCAGTTCTAAGAGGCCTCTACCTACCATTAATCATGTCTTTTAATGGCGGGCACTGGGAGCTATGGCCTGGCATGTGCAGTTAATGAATCCAGAGGTTCCAGCCCACAAGATTTCTGCCATTGCTTAATCTTGTGTTTCCTGGGCCCTAGATCTGAAACCATAAAATGTGCAGTATTTATTTAGCATTAGACCAGGTTCTGAGGATGCTTTTTCTGGAACTGTTTTGTGACCACAGAATTGAAAAAGGTTTTGAGATGAAATGCTAGCCCTGTACCCACGTTGGCCTGTCATTCTTTCCATTTAAAGCCACTGGTAATATGGCTGCAAGATGTATTTTGCCCATTTTTTAAAAGCCATTTTCTACTTTCTGCTTTCCAACCACCAAAGTATTTGGGAGTGTCATAATTGTTTTTCTCTTTGGAACTTCAGAAAAGATTGTTTTTTATGATAGAAATAGCATTTCTTTAATTTTTTTCTTTGTTTAATCGCCAGTGACTGCCATACCAAACCACGGACTTGGCTCATTATATTTCCAATTCTAGCTTTTGCTCTCTGGCAAATGAGTGTCACAGGACTGCCCAAAATATTTCTGAGGAGGTTTATCTCAGAGGATAGTCAGATGAAAGACTAAGAAAATGAAAATGGACTTAAATGCATTGATTCAAGTAAAGCATTTAGAATAGGCTCTGGCACATAGCAAGCATATATAAGTACTGGTTATTATCACTGTGGCATTCTAAGATAATGTAGCATAAGAG